>NC_000016.10:68198863-68501894 GCF_000001405.40 Homo sapiens | reverse complement strand
ATTGGCCAACAGATCCCCTCTATCCAGTGCTCGGCTGCTTGCTCCTTCAACCACGTTGGTCTCCATGGCCTGGTTGACTACTCTTGCTCCTTCTTTCGGGCACCAAGGGGCACCAAGCATGTTTACCCTGCCTGTGGAGTCCCTCTGGGGATGCTACAGCCATCAGCATGATGACAGAGATCATCATTCCTACAGTAAGAATGGAAAGTGAGAGGAGAGAGAAAGAAGGAGGCCTCCTCACTCCCTACCTTTGTGGCTGTCTCCAGGATGAACCTGGCAAGACAAGGCTAAGGAGACCACAACGACCCAGCCTCCCAAGTAGCTGGGATTACAGGTGCGTGCCACCACACCTGGCTAGTTTTTGTAATTTTTTTTAGTAGAGACATGGTTTCAACTTGTTGGCCAGGCTGTTCTCAAACTCCAGACCTCAGGTGATCTGCCCACCTTAGCTTCTGAAAGTGCTGGGATTACAGGCATGAGCCACCACGCCTGGCTCAGAAGTTGCACATCTGCTGTGGAGAAGGCCAGAATGTCAGATCCCAGCTCCAGTGTCAAGAAAGCCCTTCTCAGACTCTTGCTTGTCTTTCTACCTCTCCCCAACTCTAGTTCATCCCTGAAGAGATGGACAGCACTGCAGCTGTCACATGGAGGATGAGTTGCAGCAGGACGTGTCCCCATGCAGGACGTGATTCTAAATAGATTCTAATGGTAGCCCCCATTTCAGATACCATTGCTTTTCTCATCTTGGCCTGGTCATTCCAGGCTCTTCTGCCTCCCAGACCAGTGGTTACTGCTGAACAGAAATAGAGGGAGGGGCAGCTGTTCCCTGGACCCCAAGAGGCATGAGGATGGGGTCTTGGGCCCAAAGGACAGGCCAGACTGGGCCTCAGCCTCTCCCACTCCTGCTGCTCAACTGTTCTTTGTCATTGCCATGGGGACTCTGCATCCCAGCCCACCAGGAAGCTGAGCCAGCCCATTTTTCTCATTTTATTTTATTCTTTATTCATTTTGAGATGAGTCTTTCTCTGTCATTCATGCTGGAGTGCAGTGGCGTGACCATAGCTCACTGCAGCCTCCAACTCCTGGGTTCAAGCGATCCTCCCACCTCAACCTCAACCTCCTGAGTAGCTGGGACTGCAGGTGCGCACCACTACACCTGGCTAATTTTTTTTTTCTTTTTCCGAGTTGGAGTCTTGCTCTGTCGCCTAGGCTGGAGTGCAGTTGTGTGATCTCAGCTCACTGCAACCTCTGCCTCCCAGGTTCAAGCAATTTTCCTGCCTCAACCTCCTGAGTAGCTGGGATTACAGGCTCGCACCACCACGCCCGGTTAATTTTTGTATTTCTAGTTGAGACGAGGTTTCACCATGTTGGTCAGGCTGGCCTCGAACTCCTGAGCTCCTGATCCGCCTGCCTTGGCCTCCCAAAGTGCTGGGATTACAAGCGTGAGCCGCCGTGCCGGGCCTTGTTATTGTTTTTTTGTTTTTTCTTCTGGTAGAGACGGGATTTTGCCATGTTACCCAGGCTGGCCTCAAACTCCTAGGCTCCAGTGATCCACACACCTCGGTCTCCCAAAGTCCTGGGATTACAGACATGAGTGACCCCATCCAGCCCCATTATTCTCACTTTAAAGACAAGGCTGGTGAGGTCTGGAGAGGTAGGACCAGCTCAAGGGCACCCAGAGAGCCAATGGCAAAGCCAGGATTCAGGCTTCAGTCTGTTCCTGTAGCAGTGGGTGCCCTGCCCCATGAGACCCTCATAACATGTCCAGGAAAAGCTGTTTCTGTTTCTGATGCCCTGGGACACCCTAGACATGCCATCGAGGCAGAGAACACAAAGCCCGCTATTCCCCTCAGTAGTTTTTCCTAACCACAACACCCATGATTTTCCCTTTCATTTGTTTTCCCACTGATCAACATGAAGAGAACATAAAGAAAACATAATAAGAGGCTTCCTGAATTAGAGATGGACCATAATGGCAGAGAAGTTGAACTATAGATAGAAGAATGCTGGCCTTCTCCAAGCTGCCCCTGGGATGGTCTGCTCAGGCAGGGCCTGCACCCTCTCATTAAGCAGCCTCACAGCCCTCTCTTGGGTCCTGGGAGGCAGTTGGGTGGGGTTGTGGGGTTTGGGTGAGGTTGTTAGCAGGGCTGGGTGGGGGCACTTGCCAGGCACGTCGCATAAAGTCTTGGGGAGGGAGTTTCAGCATCCTTCTATTGTGGACAACATTTCCTCTGTTGGGGCAGGGGGCAGGGGGCTGGGGGCAGGACTGGGGTCGGGTGGTGGACAGGGATCACCTGGGCTTTGGCAAAATGCCTGGCTGCCCTCTTAGGACAGATTTTTAGACATGGATGATGGATGTTCTGGGAGATTCAGAGGCAGGCAGTTCAGCACCATCGTCAGCTGACCTTCCTTGGCTACTTACTGTACGCCAGCCCGACGCTAAGCACTTTCCATCCTGGTCCCATTAAATCCTCTTAATAACAATGTA
Source organism: Homo sapiens (assembly GCF_000001405.40). Lineage (NCBI taxonomy): Eukaryota > Metazoa > Chordata > Mammalia > Primates > Hominidae > Homo > Homo sapiens. The sequence continues at coordinate 68,499,406 of NC_000016.10, read as the reverse complement.
CAGTAGTATTAGGATTGTCCTTATTGTACAGATGGCACACAGAGGTTAAGCAACTTGCCCAGGGTCACACAGCAGGCAAGACTCAGAGAGAGATTGAACCTAGAACCTGTCTCTTGTGCCTGTTGGTGTAACCACAACACTACATTGCTTACCCCAGAGGGCTGGGGAAGAGACCTATGAAGGGAAGTCTCTGGCAGGGAGCCAGCAGGCTCTGGGCTCAGCCCCATCTGGTTTGACAGGCCCCGGATATGGGAAGAAATAAATAATGGCTGGCTATGTTTGAGGAAGAGAGGAAGCCAGTAGGGGAAGAGGGAGGGAGGGACAGCTGACGTGGAGGACGATGTTCACGATCTTCAGAGCCTCCTGGCAGAAGTGACGAGTTACATCCATTAAGATTCAGCATACCTAGGGGAAACGGGGACAGCTGGGACTAGTCCCCAGAAACAGGATCCGACATGGGGGAGGCTGCACCATGTCTTAGCAGCAGTGCACACAACTGGTACCCATCAAAGGGGGTTGGTTAGAAAAGCCAACATAGCAGAAGCTGGCCGAGGGGCACAGGCTCCAGGATCAGCAGGGGTTGGGGAGTATGGATCCCCTGAGTTGAGGACACCCAGAGCCACACATCCTTTGGGTTGCAGATCCTCAAGTTCACGGGCCTCGAGGGTTCCTAAATTGAAGGATCCCCAGGGTTATCGGCCCTAGAGCTGAGAGCACCCAGGGCCACAGATGTTGGCTTCTGGCCCATGTCTCCTTCTAGCTTCTACTCCCCTGGCCAGAGAGCCACCCCAGTGGTTACAAATGGGTTTGTGGCCAGTATCTGAGGGCAGCGAGGCTCTGTTAGAGTGGGGAGGGTTCCACATGGAATCCAGACACTCTTGCCATCAACAGGGGCCCCTGAGGATGGCGTGAGATGCTCCTGGGTGGGTGGCTTACAGGATGATGTGGTCTTGTCAGAGGCATTTGAACCAGAGCAACTCCATCTTGAGTAGGGGCTGGGTAAAATAAGCCTGAGGCCTAGTGGGCTGCATTCCCAGATGGTTAAGGCATTCTGAGTCACAGGATGCAGCACAAGATACAGGCCATAAAGACCTTGCTAAAACAGGCTGCAGTAAAGAAGTCGGCCAAAACCCACCAAAACCAAGATGGCGACGAGAGTGACCTCTGGTCGTCTTCGCTGCTACACTCCCACCAGCGCTATGACAATTTACAACTGCCATGGCAATGTCAGGAAGTTATCCTGTATGGTCTAAAAAGGGGACACATGAATAATCCACCCCTTGTTTAGCATATCATCAAGAAATAACCATATAAATGGGCAACCAGCAGCCCTCAGGGCTGCTCTGTCTATGGAGTAGCCATTCTTTCATTACTTGACTTTCTTTTCTTTTCTTTTTTGGATGAAGTGCAGTGGTGCCATCTCGGCTCACTGCAACCTCGGCCTCCCGGGTTCAAGTGATTCTGGTGTCCCAGCCCCTGAGGAGCTGGGATTACAGGCATGTGCCACCACGCCTGGCTAATTTTTGTATTTTTAGTAGAAAGTTTCTCCATATTGGCCAGGCTGGTCTCGAACTCCTGACCTCAAGTGATCCACCCGCCTCGGCTTCCCAAAGTGTTGGGATTATAGGCATGAGCCACCACACCTGGCCATTACTTGCTTTCTTAAAAACTTGCTTTCACTTTACTGTATGGACTCGCCCTGAATTCTTTCTTGTGCGAGATCCAAGAACCATCTCTTGGGGTCTGGATCGGGACCCCTTTCCAGGGTCTGAGATGGAGTCTGAGGCTCCATCTCTGGGAGGGGTGTCAGAACAAAGGAGAGGGGCTGTGCCCTGTGGCCTGGGGAGAGCGGGATACTTCTGTAGGGGGTGCTGGAGAGGGGTGGTTCTTGACCAGAGCAGAAAGGAGGCAGCAGGCAGGAAAGACTGGAGCTAAGGCAAGATGGAATGGCTCCCTGCCCCAGGCTGCCCTGGGCTAAGGGGCAGTGCCAGTCCTCCCTGCAGGGCTCCAGAGAGCCTGGTGGTGCTTAGTCCAAGGAGGCACATCTAATATAGGAAGGACCGGCCATCTGGGAAGGTGACAGGCATCCTCACTGGGAGTCCTTCTTTAGGTCTGGAGGCACAATCACCAAGACTGCTGCAGGGGGTCTGCCCTGTTGCCTCTCCAGATCCCCAAAGTGGAGGTCTTCTACTCGCTGTCCACTAAGAGTCCGGCCACCCCTGCCACTCAGGGTGGCTGCCCTGGAGCTCCCGACCCTAGGAGTGGCCTGGAAAGCAAGACAAGGGCCACAAGAGCCAGTGGCAGTCTGGCCTGGACTCCGTGGGACCAGCCCCTCCAGGGAGCTAAGTGAGTGATAAGAAGGCTAGCATCTTTCTCCTGCGTAATGCACTGGTGTTAATAAGGCCAGCGTTGTACACATTCACAGAACCTTTGATTTCACAATCACCAAGGGCCTTGCAAGTATTAATTAAGCCTCAAAACCCCTGGAGCCTGGAGCAGATTCTCATTAACCTCATTTGGCAGAGGCTATGACTCTGCTTCCCTGCCAGAGCCCCGTGGATGTAGCATGGCTCCAGCCCTGGGAGCCCGGCTGGCAGAGTTCCCACCCTACGTTATGGGATGGCGGAGGTCAGGAAGGCTTTGGGGCTCCTAATAACTCTGTGACGCTCATGACAGAGCCCAGTTCAGACCAGACAGATCACAGGCTTCTATTAGAGTAGCCGACACAGAAAGGATCCCCACTCCCTTTGGGCTTTATTGAGATCTAAGTTATATACCGCACTCTGCACCTATTGAGTGAGTTCCATCCAGTGGCTTTTAGTGTATTCACAGAGCTGTGCATCCATCACCACGATCAATTTTAGAACATTTCATTAACCCAGAAAGAAACCCTACATCCCTTGGCCATTTTCCTGGCATCCTCCCCAGCCCTAGGCAGCCACGGATCTACTTTCTGTCTCTAGAGATTTGCCTATTTTGGTTTGTTTTTATTTATTTTTGTTGTGGTAAAATATCCATAACATATAACTTTCCACTTTAACCATTTGCAAGTGTCCAATTCAGAGGCATTAAGTACATTCACCTTATTGTTCAACCGTCATGACCATTCATCTCCAGAGCTTTTTCATCTCTCCCAGCTGAAACTCTGTGGCATTAAACATCAACTCCCCATTCCCCCCGCCCCTGGCAACCATCATGCTACTTTCTGTCTTTATGAATTTGACTACACTAGGACCTCATATTAGTGGAATCATATAGTATTTGCTCTTTTGTGTCTGGCTTATTTCACTTGGCATAATGTTCTTTTTTTTTGTTTGTTTTTTTGAGACAGAGTTTTGCTCTTTTTGCCCAGGCTGGAGTGCAATGGCATGATCTCAGCTCACTGCAACCTCTGCCCCTCAGGTTCAAGCAATTCTCCTGCCTCAGCCTCCTGAGTAGCTGGGACTGCAGGCATGCACCACCATGCCCAGCTATTTTTTTTTTTTTTTTTTAGACGGAGTCTTGCTCTGTCACCCAGCCTGGAATGCAGTGGCGCAATCTTGGCTCACTGCAAGCTCTGCCTTCCAGGTTCACACCATTCTCCTGCCTCAGCCTCCCGAGTAGGTGGGACTACAGGTGCCCACCACCACTCCTGGCTAATTTTTTTTTGTATTTTTTAGTAGAGACAGGGTTTCACCATGTTAGCCAGGATGGTCTTGATCTCCTGATCTTGTGATCCGCCCACCCCGGCCTCCCAAAGTGCTAAGATTACAGGCATGAGCCACCATGCTCTGCCTAATTTTTGTATTTTTAGTAGAGATGGGGTTTCACCATGTTGGCCATGCTGGTCTCGAACTCCTGACCACAGGTGATCCACCCACTCGGCCTCCCAAAGTGCTGGGATTACAGGCGTGAGCCACCATGCCCAGCCTTTTTTTGTTTTGCTTCGTTTGCTTTGTTTTTTGAGACAGAGTTTCACTCTTGCTGCCCAGGCTGGAGTGCAATGGCATGATCTTGGCTCACTGCAACCTCCGCCTCCCAGGTTCAATCAATTCTCCTGCCTCAGCCTCCCAAGTAGCTGGGATTACACACTTGGCATAGTGTTCTTAAGGTTCATTTTGGCCTGTTTTTAAGATATGAAATACTTCAAGCAAAATTACAGAAAACAATATACAATACACCCCCATAATTTAACTCAGACATCTTAGACTTAACAAGTGTTAACATTTTGCCATAATATTTGCTTTTTGGTTTTTTTGTTTTTGTTTGTTTTGTTTTGTTTTGTTTTGCTAATGTCCTCCCCAGAGCTAACCAAGTTCTAAAGTTAGCATTTATCTTTGTTTTCTTTTTTTAAAAAATTTTTTCTTAGATACCCTATTAACTGAGAAGTTAGTATGTATGTTTCTTGTTCCTGTTTTTTTGTTTTACAACCTAAGTTTATATTCATAATCCCATACAGTACTATTTTGTGTTTTTAAAACATCTACAAATGGTGTCATATATATTCATCTTGTCACTTGTTCTCTTGACATTGTATTTTGAGATGTGCCCATCTTGACACACATAGCTCTGGTCTATTTGTTTTTCCTGCATTACATGATTTGACTATGTGTGATCAATAATTATATGTCCTATGTAACATGGGATTACACATCCTATGTAACATGGAATTATACATCCTATGTAACATGGAATTTATCCTGGGATTTCTCACTTCTGAATTCTCACCAGGAAAACCATGGTGGTATGGTTTGGCTGTGTCCCTACCCAAATCTCATCTTGAATTGTAGTTCTCACAATCCCATGTGTCATGGGAGAGACCCAGTGGGAGGTAATTAAATCATGGGGGCAGGTTTTTCCTGTGCTGTTCTTATGATAGTGAACAAGTCTCATGAGATCTTATGGTTTTATAAAGGGCAGTTCCCCTGCACACGGTCTCTTGCATGCTGCCATGTAAAACGTGCCTTTGCTCCTCCTTCGCCTTTCACCATGATTGTGAGGCCTCACCAGCCATGTGGAACTGTGAATCCATTAAACCTCTTTTTCTTTATAAATTACCCAGTCTCAGGTATTTCCTCATAGCAGTATGTCTTTATTAACAGTATGAGAACGGACTAATACACAAGGCGACTCCTGTCTCACCTGGGCAGACACAGACACCTCCTGAGCAGAGAAAGAGCCACCTAGCAAGAAGTTGAACACATAAGTGAGCCCAGGACTTTGACTCCTCCACCACCACCCAGCTCTGTGATCAGAGCTGTGAGGGGCACATCTGGTATAGGGACAGTGCCTCATGGTTTTCATTTCAATTTCCCCTAATGCTGTTGAATGGCTGTGTTTTAGCACCAGTTAATCCTGTGGCAAGCGGTCCAGATACAAATGCCCATCCCCTGGGATGCTGGGAGCTCCCAGGCCACCATGAGACCTCTGTGAGGGCAGGCTGCAGGCCCAGGGCTGTCCCAGGACCCCCACTGTGCTCAGCATGAGTGGTGCCCACCACCCCTCCACGCTCAGTCCCTCACCTGTGATGGGCCAGCTGCTGGGTGACACCAGGTTCAGGCAGTACCAGGTGCTGAGAATTCCTCTGACCATCCATAGTGGCCCCTCTTGGGGCACAGATCCACTTGTAGTACCAGGAGTGGGCCTTCTTCTATAGTAAGCAATTGGGTGGAGCTGCCCATGCCAAAGGCCCATGCCAAAGGTGCTGTGCTGCCTCGCATGAGCTCTACTCCAAATCTGTCAGAGGAGGGGTGCTGCCCCATTGAATGGCTGGGGCTTCACAAAAAGGGGGAGTGTCTGCCTCTGCACCCAATGTGGCCTCCCCAGTGACTCATTATCAGGTCCTGTAACCCTGTCCCACCTCCCAGCTCGTGCTGGCAAGAGCCCCAAGGGAGGCTGCAGGTAGTTGGGCCCCAGGCTTCACCCCACCATCCAGAGAGGGCCACACTCAGGTTTCTCACCCTTCCCCCACTGTCCTGTGTCTGACATTGACCACAGCCCTGAGCGGTACCCCAGTGAGGCCCCAGCTTCACCCAGGTTTGATGCTGGAAGTGCTTGGTGGCCATCAAGAAGGCCAGGGGCAGTGGCTCATTCAATCTGCTCCTTTCCCTGACACACTGGAACCCCAGGACACCCTCCCTCCGCTGTGGGCCAGCGGAGGCCTGGGGGCTGAGGGTCCATCTGTCTGGCCACTTTCCATGGCTCTGTAGGGGCATGCAGCCCTCCATACAGGGCCCAGGTAGCACCTGGAGGACACAGAGGAAAGCCCAGAGGATCTTTGAGGGAGTGACTGAGCCTCAGGGAAGGGCCACACCACCCCCGGGCCGTGCACCCCCCATCTGCAACTCCCAGGTGGTGCCAGGGGGTCTGGGGGAGTGTTTGCTGCACAAATACACACAAAGATCACAGCCTCCCTCCTCAGGGCACACCCCACCCAGTTCCCCCCACATCCTCTGCCCCTGAGGCAGGTGGCAGCCATCCCGGGGGACCTCCCAGCAGGGCTGCAGGAGGTATGAGGGGCACCCCACTGGCTCCACCTGGGTTGCTGGCAGGACTCTGTACTCCAGGTTCAGGGATCCCCAGCCTGACCCTCTGGCCTGTGGCCAAACACCTCCTCGCTGAGCCTCCACCCCAGATTCCTCAGGCTGCCCCCCCATTCAGTGCCTGGCTCCAGTCTTCACTGTCAAAGCCCCAGGGGAGTGCCCTGGACTGAGAATAGCAGCTGCACCCACAGCTCCCCACCCTGTGCCAGGCACAGCCCAGCTCCTCACAAACCTTATCTCCTGGCACTGGGGCACAGCCAAGGCCTCTGCCTCCACTCTGGCCTTGGACTCCCCACCTTTGTTATCTGAGCCTGGACTCCTGCACCTGCACAGTTCCCCCCACCCCAACCCTGTGGCTGCTACTGCTGTGGGAGCCTGGCTAACATGAAGGCCTTGTCCATCCACCAGGCCTGACCGGGCAGGCTCTCTTCTTTCAGGAATTTTATGGGCAAGGGGAGGAGGGCCCCACTGGTGGTGCCACAGGGCAAGGAACAGGCCAAGGCGGTGGCAGTGACCAGGGCAGCGACCACTGGGTGTACCCTGCAGTGTGGCCTAGAAGGCTGAAGCGTTGCGGTCCCTGGGAGCCCTCGGAGCCCATGCGGACAAGCTTGACCACTTCTAGCCAGGGCCTCGGTGGCTGTTCCTCCCCTCGGGATCTCCATTTCATATATCAAATAAAGGTTTCGGTGGACGTGTCTAAGTGCCCTCCCAGCTTTTGGAAACACTGAGACTGAAACCCCGGGTGGTTCAAAAGACTCATGAGTGGCTCACAGGCCAGGAGCCAATGGCCAAATAATCACATTCCTCACAATCAAATGAAATTCTCCCAGCTGGCCTGTTGTAGATCTCGGGTCGAGATTCATGCACTGTAAACACTTGGTATCAACTGGCTGACGAGTTGCAGCCTGCACCGGAGAAGCAAGAGGGAATGGCTTCCATCTATCTTCCCAAAGCCAACTCAGAGGGTCTGTGCCGTGTCTCAACCCTGGCAGGCCCAGATTGAAGGCACGAGAACACGGATTTGCAGTCCCTTGTGATCAGGGTCCAGAATCAGCTCAGCAAGGTGGAGTGAGTCTCATGGGCCCCCAGCAATTGGCACAGGGGCTTGGGACCCAGGCCTCCAGGCTTCCCCGCACATTCCCGGCGCTGCCCCCTCCACACCACAGAGACCCGCGACCCCTGCCCCACTGCTCCTTCGGCCTCTTCTTCGCTGCCCCCCTGGACTCACGTAGCGTTTTGAAGGTGAATTCTGCTTACGGTGAATGCCATTTTGAGGTCGTCTGTGGACAGAGGCTTCTGTGGATCAGTGTAAACGACAGAAACGTGCCTGGCCAGTGCTGTACTTGCCATGCGTAACCAGAAAAAGGTTACAGGATGCAAAGGCTCAGTGATCACAGCTGAGACCCAACTCCTCCTTGGCAGGGATCAAGTTCAAACTTTTAACCTCCTCACCAGGCTCGGGTTTCCTCTCCCCTCCCCTCCTGCCCCTGAGGATGGGGGTCTCCAAAAAAACCTGAGTCCCTTCTTTCCTAGAAGTTCAAACTTGTGGTCCCAGGGAGTCCACAGCCTGAGGAATTCAGGGCAAGAAGGGATCACGTGCCCTTGTTTCACAGGTGACTAACAGCCTCCGGGAGCCCATCCAGGCTGAGAGCTGTCAGACATGAGTCAGTGGTTTCCTGCTGGACTGGGGAGGACACCTGCAGTCCCCACCCGCACCTGGCTGTTCCACACTGGCTGCTCCACAATGGCAGTGGACAGGTGGGTGGGGAGATGCAAGCCTTGGCCCCACCGTCACCTCACAGTGCTCGGTCCAAGATTCGCCCCTGAGCCCAAACACCCATCCCCCATCCCTCCCACCACCCCTCCATCTATTTACGCACACAGTGTGTGGTGGGAACCGGTGAGAGCAGCATTGCTGAAGCCATGAGAGGAAAGGGTTGGCAGCACCGATGTGCTGACTGTCCTCTGCCCTCACCCCACATCTGTCCTTCCCTGTCTTCCTGACACACTGCCCAGGTAGACCCTCCCTCACCTCCTCCTAATAAGCTCCCTGGGCTCTAAATCACTCTCCATATTGCCTGCCAGGGATCTTTCTAAAACACAAACCTTGGCTGGCATAGATGGTGGCTCACACCTATAATCCCAGCCCTTTGGGAGTGCAAGGCAGGGGGATTGCTTGAGGCCAGGAGTTCCAGACCAGCCTGGGCAACATAAGACCCTGTCTCTTTAAAAAAAAAAAAAGAAAGAAAAAGAAAAAAGAAAAACCCTGGACAGCATTTAACAAGTGCCCCTCCTGTTAAATACTGTCTAGATCCCTTGGAAGGGAACGGGAGGCTTCACAACTGGATCCAACTTGCCTGAGTCATCTCTGGCTCCTAGGAGACATTGATAAATGTTGATGAATGAATGGATGGATAAATGCATAGCACACCCCAGACTCTGGAGGGGCTCACACCCTAAAGATTGTACCACCTCCTAACATCAGGGATCCTGAGCCACAAGCAGGGCCAGCTGGAAAGGCCAGGCCCCAGCAGTAATGGGTAGGTACATGGACGTTGTCCTCTAGTCCTGGGTGCTGCCCCATAGCTCCTTCCAGTGGGGAATAGGCCTAGATCAGTATCCTTCCACCCAGGAGGGTCCTCAGGACTCTAGGGCCCTCAGTTCTTCAGGTCCTTCCTGGGCAGTCTACTGGGGGACCACCTCCCTGGAACAGGTCTCTGAGCCAGCGACCATGACTGCTTTTGGGGGCCCTGACACCAGCTCAGATACTTAGTTATGCAAAAGTGAGTTTCATGAGAGTTGGGCTGTAATATGGGACTGTGGCCTCTTCAGGTGCAGAGTGATTTTTTTCCAATGCTGAGCTAGAGGGCCCCTTGGGTCCTGCTCAATATTTCCCACCCCTGGGGCAGTCCTGGGGCCAAGAAGCTTCCTTAGAGAATGCAGATTCCTGACACTGTCTTCAGCAAGTATTTCTAGGACACCCCTCCCTCTTTGTCTGGGGCCCAGGGAGTGCAGGCCTCAGGGCTTTGATTGTAGTCACCAGCCAGGTAAACCCAATGGGAGACTCAGTTCTGAAGCTTCTGCAGTAGTTTGTAGCCAGCCAAGAAAGGCTATGCGGAAGCCTCATACGTGCTGATGGGAATGGCAAATTGACTGCTTTAGAAGGTACTTCAGCAGTTTCTTTAAAAGTTAAATATTTTCCCGGACGCGGTGGCACACGCGTGCAATCTCAGCTACTCAGGAGGCTGAGGCAGGAGAATCGCTTGAACCTGGGAGGCGGAGATTGCAGTGAGCCGAGATCGCGCCATTGCACTTCAACCTGGGTGACAGGGCGAGACTCCGTCTCAAAAAAAAAAAAAGTTCAATATTTCTATTCTGCTGTATTGGCCTAAAGAACAACAACAACAAAACATTAAACATATCTATTACATGACCCAGCCATTCCACTCCTATATACTGAATGATTGATTAATTGACTGACTGAGACAGGGTCTTGCTCTGCCGTCCAGGCTACAGTGCAGTGGTACAATCATAACTTACTGGCTACAGTGCAGTGGTACAATCATAACTTACTACAGCCTCGAACTGCTGGGCTCAAGCAATCCTCCTGCCTCAGCCTCCTGAGCAGCTAGGACTACAGGCTCATGCCACCATGTACAGCTAATTTTTAAATATTTTGTAGAGAAGTGGTCTCACTGTGTTGCCCAGGCTGGTCTGGAACTCCTGGCCTCAAGAGATCCTCCCACCTCTGCCTCCCAAAGTGCTGGGATTATAGGCATGAGCCACCACTCCCAGCCTTCACTACTAGGTATTTACCCAAGGGAAATAAAAGCATGTATTCACACAGACCCTTGCATATGAACATTCATGGCAACTTTATTTGTAATGACCCCAAACTGGAATCAACCCAAATATCCATCAACAAGTGAAGAGTTAACAAATTGTGGTATAATCTATACAATGGAATACTGCTTAGCAATGAGAAGAAATTAACTATTAACATACACAGCAAGGATGAATCTCAAAATAATTACACTGAATGAAAGAACAAACAAAAATAGTACATAGTAGATAATTCCATTTATTTAAAATTCAGAAAATGCTAACTCATCTACAGTAACAGAGAGCAGCAGATGGGTGGTTGCCTGGAGACGGTGGAGATGGGAGGGAGAGATCACAAAGGGACAGGAGGAAACTTCTAGAGTTGATGGATGTGTTCATTATCTTGACGGTGGTAGCAGTTTCACAGGTGTATGCATACATATGTTAAAATTCATCAGATTGTACTTTTTAAGTATGTGCTGTTTACATATTTCAACTATATCTTAATAAAGCTGTTTTTTTTTTTTTTGTTTTTAGAGACGGGATCTTGTTCTGTTGCCCAGGCTACAGTGCGGTGGGGTGATCATAGCTCACTGCAGCCTCAAACTCCTGAGCTCAAGCGATCCTCTCACCTCAGCATCTTGAGTAGCTGGGACTGTAGGCGTGTGCCACCACGCCTACTTTTGTGAAGTTTTGTAGAGATGGGGTCTCGTTTTGTTGCCCAGGCTGGTCTAGAACTCCTGACCTGATCATCCCCACTCAGCCTCCCAAAGTGCTGACATTACACACATGAGACACTGTTCAGGGGTCCTGAGCAGGTCCCTGGCCTGATAACTGTGCAAGGGAGACTCTTTCCCTACCCAGCCCCATGGCCTTGTCGTTCCCGTTCAGCTCCAGCCTTAGATGAGCTGGTCTTTCTTGGGGGAGCTGGGTCATACAGGCGGGTGAGAACTCCTACTCTGCCTAGATCAATCAGGGAACAGTGCAGAGGACAAGTATAGGAAGCCCAGGGGGAATCAGTCTTTGGGGATCAAATCTAGGAAATAATGCCCCAAAATAATGCCCCGCAAGCTGCTATGTTGGTAGCTAGAGGCACATGTGTACCAAGGGCCAAAAGTCTTTGCACATAGCAGCGTATTTGCGGGGAGGAGCAGCCAAGAGCCAGAGGCACTGTCCCAGGGGAATAGGCCTGGGCTGGAGGTAGATGTGCTGTCGATTGATGGTCAAATGATTTCCTGATGCCACAGGCAGGCAATCATTTATGCAACACTTCTTTCAAAACCCAGGTGACACCCACGGGGGCTCTTTGCCTTGTTCATCCTTGAGCAGAGCCAGCCGTGAGCTGGTTGTTCTCAGATCTCTTCCCAGCTGGGTTAGTAACTTGTTTCCCACCAAAGGGCTCCTCAAATTTCAGCCTCTTCTAGAAGGTACCTCTTGGCACCTTTTTGGGGGATGGGCCCCCTAATGTCACATTGCCTTAAAATTTCTCAAGGTGGCACCCCAAAGTGAAGTCCTAGAAACTCACTTTGAAGCCCACAGATTTTAGCTTAGGAAAGTTGCTAAGGCTCTCGGCATCCTCCATTGCAAAGGATCTAAAATAAAGTCTGTTTTCTTTTTGCATTTCAGTGTGTTTAAGGTAGCTGCTGCATGCAGAGCCCTGTACTAGATGCCTTGTGGAGGGCAGATGAATACCGTACCGGAGGGAGGCTTGCTCAGAGGCTCATTGACTGCCACAGCCTGCAGAGCCAAGCCCAGCAAGGGTCCCTGGGGACATGGAGAGTGGGTGGAGTGAGTGTAAGGAGTGGAGGTCTCAGGACTTCTCTCAAAGAGCTCACAGCCCCATAGAGGCACGAAGAGGCAGACACAATGCAGAGTGCTTTATGCACTGCTGGAAGAATGTTCCAGAACAGGTGTACAGGAAGAAGGTGAGAATAGCACCTGTTTTATCTGATTCTCATTCATAGCTGACTCTTCAGCAGAATTCAGTGAGCTGGTCTTCCTGTTGGGAGTGCCAAGGGTCAGGACAGGCTTTGTGGGGAGGCGCCATTTGAACAGTCTCTTGAATAATAAACAAAGCTTTGCCTGGCTGACAAAGGGAGGAGGGGCAGTCCGGGGCAAAGAAACAACATGAATGAATCTCAGAAAACATCTTATGATGTAAGATAAGAAGTGCCTTAAAAGAAATACCAACTTTGCTATGGTAATTCAAAGAATTCCAGAGAAATTCCCAGATTTAAAAAAGATGCAGTGACGTTTGCCTCTTGATACCTGAATGTGTGCCTCTGAGTCTGGCACTGGCCTAATTCTCCTCCCTCTGCCTCTGTAGGGAGGAGACAGCTCATGCTAAAAGCCCTTAGAAATATTTTCCTCCGAAGACACACTGATTTCCCACTGGGTAATTAGGATGTAGTTGAAGCTTCCCAGAATGGTTGCTGTCTCTGAAGGATATAACTGCAGCAGGCCAGGGATTGGGACTTCTTAATTGATATATTTAATCCACATTTGAATCTCATTTTTCATCTGGCAAGGGCATGTGCCTTTTTTCACCATCTGGATGAGCTTGTTTAAAAATTCATCTGTGCGGCCAAGGAGGGCAGATCACCTGAGGTCAGGAGTTCAAGACCAGCCTGGCCAACATGGTGAAACCCCATCTCTACTAAAAATACACACACACACACACACACACACACACACACACACACACAAATTAGCTGGGCGTGGTGGCGAGCACCTGCAATCCCAGCTACTTGGAGGCTGGGGCAGAAGAATCACTTGAACCCGGGAGGCAGAGGTTGCAGTGAGCCGCGATCGTGCCATTGCACTCCAGCCTGGGCAACAAGAGCAAAACTCTGTCTCAAAAAAAAAAATTCATCTATGCATGTATACAGGTAAAATGGCCAAAGTGCTGCATTTGATTGGAAAATGGCTTCATTCTATAATATATTCTCTAATGATTTAGGATCAGAGGACTTTTCATTCTTCCAGACCTGGGCTGCTCTGTGGCCAATACAGTGTTTTCCAACCTGCTCCTCGTCCCAACCTGATTCTGAAACCTAGAAGGACTTCTCTGGACTGGGAACTTCCGATGTACACTGTTAGAGTGGACATGCCCAGCCTGCCTGGCCAGACCTCACCTTCCAGGGATGTCATGTAAGGGCCATGGGGACAGAAATGACTGCAGTAAGCTCAGGGAAGGACAGGAGGCTCCCTAACCAATACCAAATGAGGCTGAGGGGACAGGAGGCTGCAGTGCCAGCTGACCCTGAGTGTTGGGAACCTTTGCTGGGGAGAGAATGGCATCCACATTCTCTCATTAAAACCCTCTGATGGGTCAGGTGTGGTGGCTTATGCCTGTAATCCCAACACTCTGGGAGGCCGAGGCGGGCGGATCACTTGAGGTTAGGAGTTCGAGACCAGCCTGGCCAACATGGTGGAACCCCGTCCCTACTAAAATACAAAAATTAGCTGGGCGTGGTGGCCTGCACCTGTAATCCCAGCTACTCAGGAGGCTGAGGCAGGAGGAGAATCACTTGAACCGGGGAGGCAGAGGTTGCAGTAAGCCGAGATCGTGCCACTGCACCTCAGCCTGGGCAACAGAGCGAGACTCCATCTCAAAAACAAACAACCAAACAAACAAAACCCTCTGGTGTCAGGGAGGGCTATGGTGACCCTGGCCAGGTGGTGGGTGGCCAGGTGGGGGACTGTAATGGAGGCGATGGAGAGGTTAGAACTGACTCTGGGAAAAGCCTGCACTGCTCCCAGGAGACCCTTATTCTAGCTCCCCACAGTGCAGAGGAGCACCCTAGCTTTCTGGTCTGGGAAGCTGTTCCCTCCAGGATGGACACATACCACTGGCTTCTAGATCCAAGCAGGAGGGTTTTCCCTAGAGGCCTGGCTCACAAGCCAGGCTACCCCAAGCCACTTGCAGTTAAGCCACCCTCACAAGCCAAATGGCGGCACTCCCAGGGATGCTGCGGTGCAGAGGCCATGGGTCTAGGCTCCCCCAGGGGCCCTTCCTGCTCCCCGGCACTGGTACTGTGATCATATGCCTCCCCTGCCATTGGCATCTGGCCCAGCTTGGTTGAGCTACAGGACTCCCATCTCCAGGAGCAAACATTTAGCTGGTACCTCAGAAGTTGAAAAAGGATGAAGAACTCTGGGCATTGGCACTCGAACCTCAGCTGCTGCTGTAACCCAGACCTTAGGCCGGATTGGATGACTAGGTTTCTGTTTTATCCCAAGGACCCAGCCCCACCAGGCAGTAAGAGGGAAGAGAACTCATGTTCATTGAGTGCCCTATGTGCTGAGCACTGTGCTAGCCCCTTTACCTTCATTTCCTCATTTAATCCTCCCAACCATGCCATGAGGTAGGCAAGGCTGAGGTCCAGAGAGGGGAAGTGACCTATTTGAGGTCACACAGCAAGATCTGCCAAGCTCTGTTTTACAGGATATAATTGTTGAAAACAACCAAAAATGCTGGATAAAACATGAAAAACACCTTGTTAAAAGCAATGAAGAGCTGGCAAGAGAAAAAGGAATAAGGTCAGAATCTAAGGAGAGGTAAGAACCTAGACAAGTAGGAAGCACTGAAGTCATTTTGGCTATGTGGGTGTTTGCTGATATGCAAGTGAGAACCTCAGGTTTTTGTTGTTGTTGTTGTTGTTTGATATGGAGTCTTGCTCTGTTGCTCAGGCTGGAGTGCAGTGGCACGATCTCAGTTCACTGCAACCTCGACCTCCCAGGTTCAAACAATTCTCATGCCTCAGCCTCCTGAGTAGCTGGGATTACAGGCACATGCCACCATGCCCGGCTTTGTATTTTTAGTAGAGACAGGGTTTCACCATATTGCTCAGGCTGGTCTCGAACTCCTGGCCTCAAGTGATCCACCCACCTCGGCCTCCCAAAATGCCAGGATTACAGTCGTGAGCCACCGCGCCCAGCCAAGAACCTCAGTATTAATGATCTTGTGGGCCAGTGTGATAAATGTCAAAACTCAGGGCCTGTCCCCAGTGGGGAATCTATCAGGAGGCTCTCCTAGTTTAAGCTGGCACCCTAACAGGTCTCCCTACCTTGGGAATGCAAGAGAAGAGGGGAGGAGTTGTCACTGAGATGTAACCACAAGCTGGCCATCACTTAGATTGGCGGCCCAAGTTCACGTCATTTGCGTGATTCATAAAACCTCTGCTCATGAATTTAAAGTACCCTTGGGGCCGGGTGTGGTGGTTCATGCCTGTAATCCCAACACTTTGGGAGGCCAAGGTGGGCAGATCATTTGAGGCCAGAAGTTCAAGACCAGCCCGGCCAACATGGTGAAACTCCGTCTTTACCAAAAATATAAAAATTAGTCGGGCGTGATGGCATGTGTCTGTAATCCCAGCTACTCAGGAGGCTGAGGTAGAAGAATAGTTTGAACCCAGGAGGCAGAGGCTGCAGTGAGCTGAGATTGTGCCACTGCACTGCAGCCTGGGCAACAGAGCAAGACCCTGTCTCAAAAAAAAAACATAAAATAAAATAAAATAAAAAAATAAAGTACCCCTGGACTGCTAATGCCCCTGTCACCTGGCAGAGGGACCCATCAATCCTCTCTGGAGAGAGGCATATTCATCCTAGGCCTCAAGAAGTACCCACCAATAAGTTTTCAAATATACTCAGTGGTATATAAGCCCCAAATAAGCCAGCTACACAAGGAAACACTGAGAATCAGCAGAAACAACAGACAGCAGACATAGACCTACAACAACTTCAGATCATGGAATTATCCAGCATCAATTAAAAAACATACTTAACATGTGTAACAAAATAAAAGACAAGCTTGAAAATACCTGTAGGGAGTAGGAAACTATAAAGAGTGACCTAACAGATTTGAGAAGGAAGCAAATTTTCAGCAGACTTGAGAAAGGGGTATATTTTTCAGAGGTGAAAAATATATCATAAATGAAATTTTAAAATGCAGTGGAAGAGAGTTTGTGAGCTGGCAGATGGTTTAGAAAAAAGCAGTGGAGGCCAGGTGTGGTGGCTCATGCCTGTAATCCCAGCACTTTGGGAGCACAAGGTAGGCAGACCACTTGAGGTCAGGAGTTTGAGACCAGCCTGGCCAACGTGGTAAAACTCTGTCTCCACTAAAAATACAAAAACTAGCTGGGTGTGGTGGCGGGCACCTGTAATCCTAGCTACTTGGGAGGCTGAGGCAGGAGAATGACTTGAACCTGGGAGGTGGAGGTTGCAGTGAGCTGAGACCGCACCGCTGCATTCCAGCCTGGGAGACAGAGACTTTGTCTCAAAAAAAAAAAAAAAAAAAAATTAGCCAGGCGTGGTGGTGTGGGCTTGTAATCCCAGCTACTAGGGAGGCTGAGGCATGAGAATCACTTGAACCTGGGAGGCAGAGGTTGCAGTGAACCAAGATCACGCCACTGCACTCCAGCCTGGGCAACAGAGCAAGACTCTGTCTCAAAAAGAAAAAAGCAATGGAAAACAGCACAGAGAGACCAAAAGACAAAATATATGGAAGAAAAGTTAAGAGACGTGGAAGAGATCAGCCTATGATTAGTGGGAGTTTTAGGAGGAAAGGAGAGGGAGAATGGAGAGAGGCAATATGTGAAGAGATATTGGCTGAGAATTTTTCCAGAATTGATAAGACACACCATTCATAGATATTAAGAATCCTAAGGAATTCCTAGCAGGATTTTTAAAAAAGAAGAAAAGAAAGAAATACATATTTAAATGTGTATCGTAAATTGCAGAATACACACACATCACTCACATATGAGAGAGAGAGAGAGAGAAAACCAGAGGGAAAATGTCAGTATACCTTAGACTAACAGCTGATTTGTCAACCTCCACATAGAAAGGTAGGGAGGGATGACCTGACACCCTAGAATTCTTTATCCAGTGAAAATATCTTCCACAAATGAGCACCAAACAAACACATTGTCAGAAAAACAAAAACTGAGAATTTATAATTAGGGAACTCTTATTAAATGATATTCTAAAGGATGTACATTAGGTGGAAGGGAAGTGATCCCAGATGGAAGATCTAGGACGCAAGAAGGTGTGAGGAGCTACGAAACTGGTAAATACGTGGGTAGAGCTAGGCAAACGTGGACTATATAATATAATAATCATTCTAAGGTTTTCTGAAGTTACAACAAAACAAGAGAGAATGAAAGTACACAGAGTCAAGACGGGGGGGAAACAGTTAAAATGCTTTAAGGTCTTGCATTACTGAAGAGGAAGGTAAAGTGATTGAGTAACTTTAGACTTTGATAAGTATGCATGTGGTAATTTCCAGGGCAGCCACTAAAAAAAAAAAAAAAAGAAAAAGAAACACCATGTATAACTTTCAATTTGTAGAGGAGAAAAAAGATAATAAAAAAAATAATGCAAAAGAAAAATAAACAAGAAAAAGAGAGAAAAATGGCACAAAATAGGATAGTGGATTCAGGATCACATAGTTCGTGTGTGACAGAGCTGGGCCTTGTTCCCTGTTCCATGGAGCTTTGGAAAGTTGTCCCCTACCCCTAGAGTACCCCAACTGTCTCGTACCCCTAGAGTACCCCAATTATCTCCTGACACAGCCCTCAGCACTACTTGTCTACTGTACCTGTCCAAGCACCGCCAGGCTTCACACCCACCCCTTCCTCTGCTCCCCCCACGATGCTGGGATCCCTGAGGCCAGAGACTCAGACTACGGCAGGGGCTTATCCTGGGGAATGAGCTAATGGCTATGTGTGGCCCTCTTAAGTGTCTGTACTTCTGTCACAGTCACCTGGGTTTTGCCTAACCCTGTCTTGAAGTTCGATACTTGTCAGTACTGTTGACCCACATCCCCTTTCCTCTTTACCCCAGTTCTGCTGGTGCCTGGGTTCTGAACTTTTAAGCTCTCACCTGGGCCTTTGCAACAGCCTCACACCTGGTCTTCCTGACACCACCTGACTCTTCTGATCCACCCTTTAAGGCTGCTGAGGCATTGCTGCTATTTGGCTCAGATATGATCCATCCTATGAGAAGGCCAACAGAGTCTGAACAGACAACATTAACAATGATTATCTGTTGGGCACTTACTGTATGCAGGCACCTACTGTGCACATCACAGGCAGTATCTTCACTTACTCCTTACAGCTACCCCTTGAGTTGGTTTTACTGATGAGGAAACTGAGGCTTTGGGAGAGGAACAAACTTGCCCAAGGTTGTCCATATATGAAGCAGCAAAGCTAGATCTGCATGTCTGACTCAGAGAGGTCATGCCCATAAAGCATTAAGCTGGCTTTCAAGGATGTTGATAAATTGGTCCCAAGCCAATATCTTAGCCTCACCATCCCTATATTCACCTGTATTAGGCAACACAGGCCATTTGTTGTCCCCTGAGCATGCCCTGGTTGATCCCTACTCCCTACCTTTGCTCACACACATTCCTCCTCCTGAAATTTCCTTCTCTCATCTCTACCCTTCCAGAAGTCTTGTCCTAAATGTCTCCTCCCCAGGGAAGATCTCCTTCCTTTAGTGATTGTCAGAGCCTTGCATCACACTCAAGCGTGTTCATGTGTCACCTTCTCTAGTGGGCAGCAAGTTAACTGGGAGCCAAGACCAAGCCTGGTTCATTCTCAGCTCCTCAGAAGTGCCCCGTACTGTGCATGGCATGCATGTTTTCTGAATTCTTTCAATCCAGTTCACGCAGACAGGCAGAAGCTGCACACAAACAGATCCTTTCCTGAGCAGCACAGCTTGGAGGATGTGGCATGTTTTATGGAGCTTGGCACATGGGGCATTTGTGCATGTGCTGTGTAATCATCCCAGCCACATACCCTTTCTGCCTATGGTGCAATGGAGACATTCTCGTGGGCAGAGGTGCTCCCAGGAGGTGTAAGCTCTGAGCTCAGGACCTCTTTTCGGTGGATGTTCTTATTTCTCTTACCTTCAGAAATGAACGCCAGCTTTATTAACCCCAAGCCTCCATCCCTGACAGGGGCATGCATCTCACTATCAGTGTTCCTCCCAGAACTTATAGGAAAACTGTAAACTGCAGCTTGCAAACCTCCCACCTTCTCCTGCCAAAACTTGGACCTGGGCAAATCACACTGAAACCATCCATACTGGCCGGGCGCAGTGGCTCACACCTGTAATCCCGGCACTTTGGGAGGTCAAGGCGGGTGGATTGTCTGAGCTCAGGAGTTCAAGATCAGCCTGGGCAACATGGCAAAATCCTATCTGTACTAAAAATACAAAAAATTAGCCAGGCGTGGTGGTGCTCACCGGTAGTCTCAGCTACTTGGGAGGCTGAGGCATGAGAATCACTTGAACCCGGGAGGCAGAGGTTGCAGTAAGCCAAGATCACGTCACTGCACTCCAGCCTGGGTGACAGAGCAAGACTCTGTCTCAAAAACAACAACAACAACAACAACAATCCATATAGATTTGGGCGGTGTGGAGGATGCCAGATGCAGAGGAGATATGATGGAATGAGGAAGAGTCAGACCTGTCTGTGCCCAGGAGGAGTTTACAATTTAAGTGGGAAGATAAGACACATGGGAAAGCTATGCAGAGGGAAATGAGATGATGCTTAATTACCAGTTTCAGGCCACAGGTGAAGAGGTTTTGCAAGACTGAGCCTTGGAGACAGGCTTAGCACATGGAAGGGTGGCCAAGCCTGAGGAGTGACAGGGCAGGAAACAGGCCTGCCCACCTCACAGAAATTGGGATCCAAGCTGAGTCTTGGTCCCCTGAGAGGAAGGGCATTCGTGCATGCAGAGCTGAGGGCTAGGAGAAGGGTATGCACCTGGTAAAGGGTGTGGGTGTCCACCCTGGCTGGGTGGACAGAGGCCTGAATGAAAAGGCTGGGAAAAAGGTTGGAAATTGGCCAGGTTGAGCAACTTGGGTCCTGAAGGGGTCAGCAAGACATTGTGGAGGGCCTGCTGCAGGCAGAACTGAAGGAAGGTACATCCGCAGCCTTTACTTCCTCTCCTCCACAGCCTTGGTGCTGTGAACTGACACCCAAACCCTCCAGGAGCACTTCCTTTCTAGACCCAACAAAGGGCAGAAGAAAAAAATAAAGCCTGGATCCATTTGAAAAGGGGCCAACCAGCCCCTCCCAAACCCAGTTCTTTGACTTGCACCCAAGACTTAAATACATCCTTTGAAACTCCTCATCCATTGAAGTTCCTTTCCTTTGAAACCATAAAAGAATGTGGGGCTGCATTTTGCCTTGGTGGTAGGAAAATTCCACATGCAACTTGCAGCATTTACAGAGTGGAGACTTCTGGCCTGGGAGCAGGAGGTCTGAGCCCAGGCCTTTCCACAACAGTGACAGCCAGGGAGGGGCCTGGCAGTGCAGCCCAGAGGTCGAGGCATGTTCTGGAGTCAGGTCCTCTGTGATAAGCCAGTTGAGTGACCTTAAGCAGGCCACTGGATCTTGTGAAACCCCAGTTTTCTCACTCCTAAAATGAAGATAACATCTGCTCTCACTCTGGAAGGCTGCATACCTTTTGTGCACAGGGTTCTCTGCATGTGCCAATAAGGTATCAGGCCAGTTGACATCTGGTTAGTTTTCTCTCCCTGTGGCAACTTCCATATCCCTTGGCTGTTACTGCTGCAGATGAATATATGGGATGGCAAATTGTCACCAGAAATAAACAGCCGTCAAGAGTAGAATGGCCTCAAAGGTATGCCATCTAGTCTTTGCCTCTGTGACCAATACCAAATGAAGCTCCATGACATCCAGAGCAGGGTGAGAAGGGTCTCTGTCCCCACCAAGTGCTTGAGTGTACAGCAGGAGGTCAGAGGCTGAAGAATACATTATAGGAGACATCAGAGACTGGAATAGATGGCAGCTTCATGAAGAGGTGGAGACAGAGGTGTAGTGGGGAGAGGGCAGAATACTAACTCAGAGCACCAGGAATCTTAAAAGAAAATGGCTGAACCTAGACCCTTACCTCACACCATAGACAACAATTAACTCAAAATGAATCACGGACCTAAATGTAAGAACTAAATCTATAAAACAACCAGAAGCAAACATAGGAGAAATTCTTTGTGGCCTTGGATTTGGCAAAGATTTCCTAACTAGTACACAAAAAGCACAAGCTGTAAAGATAATCAATACAATCTTCATCAATATTTAAAACTTTTGTGGGCCGGGTACAGTGGCTCATGCCTGTAATCCCAGCATTTTGGGTGGCTGAGTGGGTGGATCACTTGAGGTCAGGAGTTCAAGACCAACCTGGCCAACATGGTGAAACCCTGTCTCCACTAAAAATACAAAAATTAGCTGGGCGTGGTGGCAGGCATATGTAATCTCAGCTACTCGGGAAGCTGAGGCACAAGAATTAAGTGAACTCTGGAGCTGAGATCATGCCACTGCACTCCAGCCTGGGCAACAGAGTACGACTCCATCTCAAAAAAAATAAAAATATCTTCCCGCCATCTTGGATCCTGTGGAGGCCTGCTGGGAACAGGACTTCTAAAAGAAAATATGTCTGGAAATATGTCTAAAAGAAAATAGGCTGTGGTCAAAGGCCATTTTTGCTGGGTATAAGCGGAGTCTCCAGAACCAAAGGGAGCACACAGCTCTTCTTAAAATTGAAGGTGATTATGCCTAAGATGAAACAGAATTATATTTGGGCAAGAGATGCACTTATGTATACAAAGCAAAGAACAACACAGTGACTCCTGGCTGCAAACAAAACAAAACCAGAGCAATCTGGGGAAAGGTAACTCAGGCCCATGGAAACAGTGGCATGTTTCGTGCCAAGTTCCAAAGGAATCTTCCTGCTAAGGCAGGAAGCCTGTCATGGGGACACAGAATCTGAGTGATGCTGTACCCCTCAAGGATTTAAACTAATGAAAAGTCAATAAATATACATGGATTTGTGCTTCTGTAAAAAAATAAATAAAATAAAAATAAAAAAGATTTAAAACTTTTGTGCTTCAAAATGCGCTGCTACAAAAATGAAGAAGTATGGGCCAAGTGCAGTAGCTCACACCTGTAGTCCCAGCACTTTGGGAGGCCGAGGTGGGTGGATCACTTGAGGTCAGGAGTTCAAGGCCAGCCTGGCCAACATGGTGAAACCCCATCTCTACCAAAAATACAAAAATTAGCCAGGTGTGGTGGTGAGCACCTGTAATCCCAGCTACTTGGGAGGCTGAGGCACGAGAATCACTTGAACCCAGAGGCAGAGGTTGCAGTGAGCTGAGATGGTGCCACTGCACTCCAGCCTGGGTGACAGAGGGAAACTGTCCCAAAATACAAAAACAAAACCAATAAAAAGGGTAAAAAATTTGAAGAGACACTTCACCAAACAAGATGTTTGGATGGCAAGTAAGCATATGAAAAGATGCTCAACATCATTGGTCATTAGAGAAGCACAAATTAAAATTACAATGAGATACTACTACACACTCACTAGAATGGCTTAAATTAAAAAGACTGACCATACCTAGTGTTGACAAGGATATAGAGCAGCTGCAACTCTCATAAACAGCTGGTGTGGATAGAAAATGGTTCAACCACTTTGGAAAACAGTTGGCAGTTTCTTTAAAAGTTGAACATATGGCTGGGCACAGTGGCTCACGCCTGTAATCCCAGCATTTTGGGAGGCCGAAGCGGGTGGATCACAAGGTCAGGAGATCGAGACCATCCTGGCTAACACGGTGAAACCCCGTCTCTACTAAAAATACAAAAATTAGCCAGGCGTGGTGGCAGGCGCCTATAGTCCCAGCTACTCAGAAAGCTGAGGCAGGAGAATGACGTGAACCCAGGAGGTGGAGCTTGCAGTGAGCTGAGATCGCGCCACTGCACTCCAGCCTGGGCGACAGAGCAAGACTCCGTCTCAAAAAAAAAAAGTTGAACATACGACAGTCATTCAATTTGTGGGCACTTTGCCAAGAGAAATAAAAGCATATATTCACACAAACACTTGTATGTGAACAGTCATAGCAACTTTATTCGTAATAGCCCCCAAACTAGAAAGAACTCAAAGTCCATTGACGAATGGATAAACAAATTGTAGTATATTCATATAATGGAATACTACTCAGCAATAGAAAGGAACAAACTGTTTATACAATGACGTAGATGAGCCTTAAAACAATGACACTGAGTGAAAGAAGACAGACCCAAAAAAGTGCACATACTGTATGATTCTACATGTGTACAATTCTAGAATATGTGAACTAATCCATAGTCACTGACAGCAGGTCAGTGGTTGACTGGGAGTGGGGCAGGAGGGCAGCAAGGGGGGATTTCCATGGGTACAAGGCAATGAGTGATGGAGATGGTCATTGTTGATTGTGGTGGTGGTTTCACAGGGGCAGACGTATGTCAAAAATCCATCAAAGTGTGCAGTTTACTGTATATCAATTATGCTCAATAAAGCTGTGCAAAAGAAGGAGGAGGGGAGGGAGGCAGCAGCTCTTGGCCCTAGGGGGACAACCAGTCACTCCTCAACTCTTCCAAGTATGGGTATGGGGTTTGTCTATAGAATCTATGAATTCACTCTCCTATGCTACCCAGGGGTTCTTTACCAACTCAGCTGCACCTCCCCAACTTGTCCCAGGTTCTTTGAGAGCAGGGACTATGCCTTCTGTATCAAGTCTCTCCTGTTGAGAAAGCGGATGGTGGCAATGATGAGGCAGCTTCCGTGGGTAGTAGGAGAAGGGCTGGTCTATCACTAGGACCAGGGCTGATCACACCTGGATCTTGGGGGAGTCCACCCAACTGTGGGGCAATAACACCACTGTCATTTCTGCCTTGTTTGTGGAATGCATGGTGACTCACTCCAGGAAGACTCCCAACATTGCTGAGGAACAGGATAAGGCAGAGGTGAGATGGTGAGCCACACTTGGCTCTGAAGGAACTGAACCCCCAGGGCTCACCCTTCAGGTTGGGGCTGTTGGACAAGACGAACCTTATGTAACCTACAGAGAACCATTTACTTCTGGAGCGAGGAAGCCAATGCTGTGTGCAAGGTGGTCTTCTGAGCCTGCTGAACCTAGATTCCAATCTTTACCACACTGACCTGATTGAAGTCTCTGTGATCTGTGGTCACAATCATTCTGGCTGAGGCACCCCAAGGCTGACAACCTTGCTAAGCCAAAGCTGGAGCTCTCTCCCTTCTAGAAGCCAGGCCAGAATTCTGCGTGGCCACCAAGCCTTGACTTTCTGAAGCCAAACACTTGATTCAACACGATGAAGCTCATTTCTGTTGCATTCAAGCACCATGAGGGCCTTCAGTAGTGATGGTTCCCATAGATTTGTGTAAACCAAAGTATGGACTAGGCTACACATGCAGTCCTTCACTTTGATGCTGGTCCTACCAACATCTATGATCTGCCCTCACCCCTGTGGATTTTCCTTGATAGCATTAGTCTTACTAAAGAAAAGCTTGATTCAAAAATCCAACCACATGGGCTGGTTCGAAGGTAGTGTGTTATTTCAGTTGATTGCTCACTGTCAGTTACAGGTTGAACTCCTTGTTCTACTCTGTCCCCCTTCTTGCCACTGCACTTGACTAGTTTAAAAAAATATCCAATCACAAAATGGACATATGTGTTGGGTTATATGACAATTATATGGCAAAGGAATAAGTCATTTGATGAATAAGTGTCCTGGGTGTTCCTTTAAATCAGACACTGGAGCAAGGCACAGTGGCTTAGGTCTGTAATCCCAGCACTTTGGGAGGCTGAGGCAGCTGTATCACCTGAGGTCAAGAGTTTGAGACAAGCCCGGCCAATATGGTGAAACCCCGACTCTACTAAAAATACAAAAATTAGCTGGGTGTGGTAGCAGCACCTGTAATCCCAGCTACTCAGGAGGCTGAGGCGGGAGAATTGCTTGAACCTGGGAGGCGGAGGGTACAATGAGCCAAGATGGTGCCACTGCACTCCAGCCTGGGTGAAAGAATGAGACTCCATCTCAAAAAATAATTAATTAATTAATCACACAGTCTCTCATGGGCATTCACAAAATAATCTGCTTTGTGGAAACTGCCTGCAGGGGGATTTTCAAATGTGCCTGGGAAGTAAGGTGATACGTCTAGCGAGAGCCTTCCTTTCCTCTGGGCCCTGCTAGGGCTCCATTTCCTCAGGAAATTCCCCTGACTTTGAAAGGGGCCAAACTGCAGAGGGAGGAGAAGGGTATGTGTGGCGGAGAGTCTGCACTTCCTCTCTAGGCCATTCTCGGTGCCCTGCTGACCTCCATTGACTCCACAGACCTTGCCCTGCTCTCAAGCCTGGCACAGTGGCTCTGTAGACTTTGAGCTCACCTCCCATGCTCCCAGGCACTCCTAACCAAGCTCAGCTCCTCAAATGGTGGGAAAGGTCTGCTGTTTAGATCTCTCATCCACTAGACATCAGGTGACACCACTTGGCCAAGTAATCTGGCAAATCCTGCTGATGCATTTTAATTGAAACCATGTGCCCAGAATGGCCACCCCAGTGAGCAAGGCAAAATAAAGTGGCCTCTCTCCAGGATGAGCACCTACACAGGGCACAGCACATTGCCACAGCACGTGTCTCCCTAGTACAAGTGCACTTGTATCTTAACAGAAGAGCTCTCATGGCCACTGCACGTGGGGACACAAGGGTGTGAAAATGAGCAGGGCACTAAGGCCAACTGCAGAGTCAGACGGAGGAGGACACAGGCATCTGAGATCTAAGACCTATCCTTGGAGCCCTGAGGCAAGCCATGCATCCCACACTGGTATGTGCATCTAAGTGGCACTGGGTGGAGGGGAGTCAAGGCTCTGACCCTGAGACCACCCACCTCCTTGATGGGAGCTCAGGCCCCTATCCAGATAGTTACGGTGTGCCCACTAAGTGCTGACACTGCAGACTCAGTGGTAAACAAGGACAAGCCTTTGCCCTCAAGTTTTCACAGCCTCATCTCTGTGGCATCAGCCCTGAAATATCATGAAGCAAGAACAGGGCTGGCCAGATTGGGTGCCAAAAGTGGCCCAGGTAGAACTGCAGAACTCCATCTCTTAGTGAAGGGAGAGAGAACTCAGGATAGGACAGGGCAGAGCCAGACATTCTCAACTGAAACCGCTGAGACCTTGGTCAAAACTAAACAGGGGCATGTGTGTGAATTCTGGCCGGGATCAGAAAACAGCCAAGGCTGGCCAAGCTTCAAGAGGGCCTGAACCAAGTCGCAGGTCACATCAGAGCTTCTTCTAAAAGGGCAGCTCCTACAGCAGCCTGGCGTCAGAGGTGCAGCAGCCTGGGCTAGGAGCAAAGGCTGGGCTTGCAGGGAAGAGCAAGAGTGCACAAGTGAGTGGAGAGGTTCAGAAGGTGGCCTGAGAGGTGGCAGAGGAGGAGCAACCCTAGTGGACATAGAGGTGACAGCAAAGGATGGGGCCATGCTGTGCATCACAGCCCAGGGGGCAGACCCTAGTCAGGACTGTGGCTCCACGCTACCTTCCCACAAGTCCCCATCTGAGATGCTCGGAAGCCAGAGCCCCTCAGCTGCTCCAGCTGGCCTCTGGTTCCTGCTTTTCACTCACCACCTCCCTCCTAGCCACCCTTCATAGGCTTCAGTCTTCTTGGCCATGTCACCTGTGTCCAGGCTGTGGACCCTACATCAGGGTTGGGCTTCCTTGGTTTGGCTCTGGGGTAGCCCCATGTCCAGCTGTCTTTCCCATCTTCTGTCTATTGGGGTCCTAACTGACCCAACTCTGGCCCCACCCCACACCTACCTGACAAAGTATGAGGTTCGCTGGTGGTTCCTGATAAGGCTTTCCATGATCCCACTTTTTAAATTATTATTTTTATTACTATTTTTGAGACAAAGTCTCGCTCTATCCCCCAGGCTGGAGTGTAGTGGCGTGATCTTGGCTCACTGCAACCTCCGCCTCCTGGGTTCAAGCGATTATCCCACCTCAGCCTCCCAAGTAGCTGGGACTACAGGCGTGCACCTCTACTAATTTTTTTATTTTTAGTAGAGACAGGGTTTTGCTATGTTGCCCAGACTGGTCTCGAACTCCTGAGCTCAAGTGATCCACCTGCCTCAGCCTCCCAAAGTGCTAGGATTACAGGTGTGAGCCACTGCGCCTGGCTGTATTATTACTATTTGAGACAGGGCCTCACTCTGTGTGATCATAGCTCACTACACCCTCTACCTCCTGGGCTCAAGCAATCCTCCCACCTCAGCTTCCCTAAGTGCTGGGATTACAGGTGAGAGCCATTGCTCTCGAGCCTCGACCCCATTTGATGTAGGATGGTCCAGACAGGAACAAGGAGTATGTGGCTCTAGAGAAGAGGGCAAAATGCAGGAAATCAGAAGGTTGACACTTCGGTGAGAAACCAGGGACCACTCAGGAGCTGGGTCTGGAGGTGCCCCAGGTCTACTGGGCAGGCACGAGCTGGAAGCAGGTTTGGCTCCAGGTTCAAGAGACAGAGTTCTGAGGGCAATTAAGGCTGGGGCTGGGGAGCCTCCTGGAGACCCCAGGAGCTGAATGAGAGATGTTGAGAGTGTCTAAGCGAGGTTGAGGCCAGGAATCTGAGAGACTGAAGGGAACTAGGCAAGTGGCTGGGGACAACTGTCAAATTTGGCATCTTCCTTACCTGGGCTCACTGTCTTCCTGTCCCTCAGCATCTCACAAATGCTGCTGATCCCTGAAGGGTCGGGGCCAAGCAAGCCAGAGAGGTGGGAGAGGCTGGCAGGGGGAAGAGCCACAGTGACTGTGGGAGCTCGCCTTTTACCCTGGCTGGACAGGATCATCCCCAGGGCATGTCAGCCCTAGGGTCTTCAGAAAGTCCCTTAGCTCCTACAGGCCACAAAGACACAGTAGTAAGTCTTGTTCTAAGGAATTTCAGGTGAATTTCTCCCACCTATTCACCCCAAATCTAGAACAAAGTTGGGGTGAGACATAAGACACATACTCAAGATCCCAAGATCTCAAATATCAATGAGTTAATTTAGTTTGGGGACACATATAATCAATTCCCAAGGAAAACATGGCTCCAAGGCTCCTAACAAATGGGAATGATGCCAAGATACCAACATCCAGCAGTCCTACAAGTGGCATCTACAACCATTTGCAGCTGCATGGCCCATGCTGACTGGAGCAAAGGCTGCCAGAAGCCCAGTGCGGGAACCACACTCTGCCACACAGTCTGCTGTGGGGTCCTGGGCAGATCACTTCTCCCCGGCCTCGGGGTTCCTGATCAGCAGAACACTTGCAGCTCTTGTCAGGCTGCATGGGGGAGCCTCACCCACTGAACACGGCTCACTCCCCCAGGGCTGAGCTCTGGGGAGAGGCTGTCAGGGCCATTCACCTTCTTCCACCAGATAAACTGAACTTCCCCTAAAGCTCTGTAGCTGGGGGAGCCTCAGCCATCACAGAGCACTCAGGGACTGCCTCCGAAAGCTGCCAATTCTCTCCATGTGACCAAGTGGAGTGACCAAGGACAACCGAAAGGAGAACAGAGAAAGGAGAACCAGACTAGAGGCATACATGCCCCCACAGAACATGCAGCTTCCTCCCCCAGACCGCAAGGCTCAGCAGCCCCCGATTCCCTGCTGTTCTCGAGTGGGACAGAGTGGTGTAAGCTGGACGGGCCCTGCAGCTGCTCCCCTTTGTGGCGATGGCCAAATGACTACCCTGCCCTGCACCTCAGTTTCCCCACCTGCCAAGTGGCATGGTTGTGAAGATCAAATAAGAACGTGTATTAAACAAAGGTCACATAACACACACCCCACGAGTGTAACTTCCCTCCGGCTTCCCTTCTGACCACACCATCACTCCACCTCCAAGCAGGGCCAACAACCGCTCTGTCACTCTCAGTTTATCAAAACACAAATTAGAAGTCTGTCTCCCCAGGCTGTCAGATGAAATGGTTAAGGACTGTAAACACGTGTAGCTGCATTTCGAATAACAAAAACGTGGTTGTTCCGTGTTGCTTCCTTTACAATCTATTATTTTTTTCTGGCAAACGCTACCACTAACTGCACAGAACGCAGCATTTTGGAAAGTTTTAGTGGCTAGGAATAGCAAAAAAAAAAAAAAAAAACCTATGTCAGCCCCAATTACTTTAAAAGATGAAGAAAAGAAAAAGAAAACAAAACTGAAACCAAATTTATTTTTAGAAATGCCGTTCTTTGGGCAAATATTGATTTTAAAACAGCAAGAATATTTACACACACACTAAACAGGATTTCTCTTACAAAATCTTTAGCTGCTGAATCTCAGGAAATCCTGGAGTTATTTTCAAGTTTTCCATTCTGACACAAAGCCAATTTCAGTTCACTTTAAGAAGAGATTGCCTTCTACTCATATAAAACAATATGAAATTGATTTTTCTACTCTCAATAATATTTGTTGAGAAAATAGTCTTATAGTTTTAAAAACAAATCTGGAAATATTTCAAAAGTAGCTTCACACTGTTTCTTAATATGACATTATTATTTTGATTGGAGTATAGTTTCATTAGTCAAAAATCACCTTTATTTTTACTGGTGATTATCAGGCTCACTTCATGTTTCACTACATTACACAAGGAGCCACACAATGGATCAGCCAAACAGCTTTAGCTGGCTTCATCTGTAGTGGGATTTCTGTACTTTTCCATCAAATCGTTTTAAACATTATTTTGGTACCTGAAGCCTTAGTGACATGACTGTAACCATCATGAACAAAAATATTATTACACTACAGAAACATAGAGAACAATTACGTTAAATGGCTGAGGCCACTGAGGAGAAAGGGACAAATACAAACTCCAAATAGACAAAAAACAATTATTTGGGGATCTTTTTGCAGAAACCATGACACCTGTGCCAGTGAAACTCAATACACATGCACCAGGGCCTCCAGCGAATCCAGGCTATGACAAAAGCGAGGGGGTCTTGGGCACTGGGTCTGAGGAGTGAATCAGGCAGCTGCACAGGGCCCTGAGCTTGAAGTTTAATGCTCTGCAGTCACCATCTCGAAATCCTTAATAATTCTATCATTGAGTTTGTGTTTTCTAAGTGATATCTTATGGGACAACACCTAGCAACCTGGGAGCAAAGAAAAGGAAGTAGGTATCTGAATTGAGGCAGGCGTGGCTTCTGCCTTTTCCTTTGGTTAGAAATATGTTGTATGCTGGTAGGAATGTACAGCCTTTAGCAGCAACTTGGCATTAATTAGTAAAATTCACGTGCCAGGAGCTGGGAGCCTCCATTCACTTGAGGTCCTACCTCCCTCCACCTCTCCACCTCCCTGGGACAAGTTCTGGGCCACCTGCCCCTCCACCCAGTGACTGCACCCATCCTGGCATGGGTCTGGGTGCAGGTATGGAAAGGATCAGGGTTGGGCATCTGTGTCAAGTAATGCTGCTCAGCCTTCCTGCCCATCAGCTTCCCTCTGTGAGCTTTTTAGTGAGAGGAGGTGTGAATGTGACCAGTGGCTGCTCAGCAGAGGGCAGAGCCTCAGGCACTGAGAGGGTCTGCACTTGAGCTGTAAGGATCTCTTGTGCCCGAGGAAGAGCAACATTAAATAGCAAATAAAAAAACACCATTACAAGTAGAGAGAGAGACTGGGAGAAAAGGAAAAAGCTTTTTCCTGCTTTGTGAACAAGGGGCGCTACATTTTCATTTGCACTGGGTTCCACAAATTATGTAGCTGGCCCTTGGAAGCAGGCACTTAGAGAGAAAGTGCCAATCCTGGAAAAGGTAGAAATAGCCTCACTGTAGGGTATGGGGACTTCTCCCAGCAGCGCTCAAGCAAGAAGGCTGATAAATAGCACTGAGGGCCCAGGTGAGGGTGGAACCAGTCACGGGGGTCTGGTATCATGTCCACATAGTCATGTGGAGGGTTCAACCATCACCTAGTAACCTGGTAGCAAAGAAAAGGAAGTAAGTATCTGAATTGAGGCAGGCGGGGCTTGTGCCTTTTCTTTTGGCTAGAATGTTGGGGACAATGTTGCATGTCAGTAGGAATGTACAGCCTTTGGGAGCAACTTGGCATTAACTAGTAAAATTCAAGATGCACATAGACCCTGGAGAAATCCCTGCATGTGTGCATGAGGAGACCAGCATGAGAGTGTTACGGCAGCAGTATGGGAAATATCTCAAAACTGGAAACAATCTTAATGTTCATCAAGAGAATGGAGATGGGAGCATATCCATGCAGCAGGAAACCATACAGCTGTGAAGACAAATCAATCAGAGCTCCATGTGTCAGCACGGAAGACTCTGGAATGTAACATGGAGCAGCCCTGTGGGCATCCAGCCTTTACAGGCCACAGTTCTGTGTCCCCCAAGTTGGCTGAGTCTTGGAGCAGGGAAAGGCCTGGTCTCCTGTGGAGTAATGTGGGAATCACCTACAAGACCTACCTACATCCAATCCACCAAGGGCCCAATGCCTGAGTTTCCACCATTAGAAATCTGTTCCCCTGGGTCAAGGCTATGTGCTCTGCAGGCAATCAGAGAGACAAGTGGTTTCATTCTGCAGAGCTCTGCTGAGCAGCTATGGGTAACACTCATACCTCCTCTCACTAAAAAGCTCACGGAAGGAAGCTGATGGGCAGGAAGGCTGAGCAGCAGGGTCGGGGCTAAATTCAAAGCACAGTGGTATTTAAGGATGGGTCCGATGACAAGAGGTCAGAGGAGGCAGCTGGAAAGCATCAGGAAACAGAAATGCCAATGAAATTACAAGAATTTTAAGAAGGAGTTGCAGAAACTGGTCAAATATCAGGAGGTAGGTCAATTCAGGTGAAGATAAAAAATATGTCATTTAATAATCCAACAAGAAGTCACTGGTAACCTTAGTGGGGACAATTTCAGTAGACTGATGGGGGTGGAATCCAGACTTGGTGGGTAGTAAAAGAAGCTGAGGAAATACAGGCACAAAGTTCGGGCTCCTTTCAAGAAGTTTGTGAGGGGCAGGGTGGGAACTCTAAGGAGAGAGAAGGTGAAGGTTTTCTAGAATGAGAAAGAATTATGCTTGTGGGGTGAAGGAAAGGAACCACACAAGGGAAGGATTAGAGAATCAGAGAAAGAGGGTAATTTATTGAACTGAATCCTGGAGGAGGCCAGAGAGTGTGGGAGGGGAGGGAGAGCTTAGGGGAAGACTGGTGTTGGAAATACCATGTGGATCCTGTTAGAAGCAAAGAAGAGAAGAGCAGTGAACCTGATGTGCTTCACTCTCCGAGGGAGGGAGATGTTAAGGTCATCGGAGACAGAGATAGGAGTGGGGTGAACAATTGGAGGAGTTGGACACACAGGAAACAGCCATCATGGGGGAATGGAATTAGAGTCTATCCAGGTGTAAATAAAAGGACCAGCAAAGAGCTGGCTGAGTTGGAAACCATGTCTCTGTACTGGTGTTAATTTTCTTCTGTCCCAGTAGAATTTGACAGCCCTGAAGCCCTGCAGAGAAGCTAGAAGGCTGGATTATTCCTTGCTGGGGTAGGCAGGGAAGGTACAGCTGGACATGGGGCTTATGGCCCCTGAGAGCTCTGGTTAGACAACAGCAGCTCGGGGACAGCTGGGGTTGACAAACAAAAGAGACTTTGCCAGTTTTCTTTTCTAACAGAGATCACTATCTGTTATAACTTTAAAAACATTAAATAGAAAAGCGTTTAGAATGGCTGGAGTTGATGTTTTCAACATTGAAGTAGCAACCTGCACCCCACCTTGCTCTGAGTCACTGACCAGGGTCAAGTGCCTTCTATGGGCACATGGCCTTGCCAATATTCAGCTCTTGGCATCGGGTCTGCCCTGCAAACCCAGAGGTCAGTCATAGCGGGATGAGATTCTTCTCTTTACTTCCACCCCAGCCCCTGCAGGCAACTTCTGCTGCAGGTGCTTAAGAAGAAAAGTTTATAAGTTCCTCAAATGTGGCATTTGGGTTAACCTATTGACCTGCTGAAAAAACTGACTGGATTGAAAACTATTATGTCCAGCCACCGCTTTGTTGTTATTGTTGTTGTTGAGATGGAGACTGGCTCTGTTACCCAGACTGGAGTGCAGTGGCGTGATCTCGGCTCACTGCAGCCTCTGCCTCCTGGGTTCAAGCAATTCTCCTGTCTCAGCCTCCCAAGTAGCTGGGAGTACAGGCGCCTGCCACCATACCCGGCTAATTTTGTATTTTTAGTAAAGATGGGGTTTCACCATATTGGCCAGGCTGGTCTCAAACTCCTGACCTCAGGTGATCCACTCACCTCGGCCTCCCAAACTACTGGGATTACAGGTGTGAGCCACCGCGCCCGGCCTCACCACTGCTTTTTGAATAGGGAACATACTGCTGGACACCAGCAGTTTTCTAACCCTGGTAAACATCACTAAGGAATTTTGTCAGTTTTTCAGAATTTTATTTATGGGTCTATTTTTAGTTTGTGTGTTTTATAACTTTTAAGTCATTTTTAGCCAATTATTTCTGCTTGGCACTGTTTATACTTATAAAAAGAATTATTTAAATATCCAATGATAGGATCTGTTCATAGTTCCCTTTATTTTTTTCTTATTAGAAAAGCAGAATTTTGGCCAGGTGCGGTGGCTCATACCTACAATCTCAGCACTTTGGGAGCTTTAGGCAGGAGGATCTCTTGAAGCCAGGAGTTTGAGACCAGCCTGGGCAACATAGTGAGATCCTGTCTCTACAAAATATTTTAAAGTTAGCCAGGCATGGTGGTGCATGCCTGTAGTCCCAGCTACTCAGGAGGCTGAGGTGAGAGGATTGTTTGAGCCCAGGAGATTGAAGCTGCACTGAGCCATGCTCATGCCGCTGCACTCCAGCCTGGGTGACAGTGAGACCCTGTCTCTAAAAAAAAGAAAAGGAAAGAACTGTGTATTCATGACAAAAAAATTAAAAAGCAGAGAAGCAGCCAGGCACAGTGGCTCATGCCTGCAACCCCAGCATTTTGAGAGGCTGAGACAGGTGGATCACTTGAGGTCAGGAATTCAAGATCAGCCTGGCCAACATGGTGAAACCCAGTCTCTACCAAAAATACGAAAAATTAGCTGGGTGTGGTGGTGGGTGCCTGTAATCACAGCTACTTGGGAGGCTGAGGCAGGAGAATCGCTTGAACCCGGGAGGCAAAGGTTGCAGTGAGCCGAGATCGTGCCACTGCACTCCAGCCTGGGCGACAGAGCAAGACTCCATCTCAAAAGAAAAAAAAAAAAACACTGAGAAACACATCTTCTAGCTCCTTTGCTAAGCCTGTATATAATGAGTTCACACCATATTTACTTTTTGCAACCATTTATAATTGCTTTAAGGAATCCAGCTCCCCAGGGCTCAAGTTCCCCCTACCCACCCACCTGCTCTGTCCCTAAGAAAGGGGTGTTGGAAGCGATAGTTGAGGGTGCTGTGAGGATAGCATAAGACAGAGACAGATATCGTGGGCTCCCTTTGGAAGGTGAAGTGGCCACATCTGCTTCAGGAACTGCAATGCTGTCACTGAATAACCATGCTAACAACCACTCCTGGACATCTGTGAATAATCTGGAACCTTATAATTTTGTGTTTTCGGAGAGTTTGACAAAGCCATGGTGGCTCCCTCAACCAGGGTCACTCAACTTATGGCTGAGTGGAGCTAGTGAAACTTGAACTTGAACCATAAACAGAGGAGGAGCAAAGTTTGAAAGATAAAACAAGCAAAAATATCAACAACCATCCTAAATGGTTGTTATCCTGTAAAAACATGGTAAGGCCATCCCTTTCCTTACGGAGCATGCCAAGGTGCCCCCAGCAGTAACAGTGTGGGTATCCAGCTGCCCCTGAAGATTCTGGGACAAGAACTGGACAAAGGTCAGTGAAGAACATCTAAACCAGCAGCTGCTCAGCCCACAGGGCTGCACCATGAGTGGGCAGCAGTGAGGAAGGACAGAACCAAGGTGGGCATAGTTGTGGCACTGCAGATTGGGGTCAAATCAGCAGACATGTCTCAAGACCAGTGTACCTTAGGGTCCTGCAACCCAGAAAACACTGTTTAGGGACAAAAAAAGTCACATACCCCTTATACAATGAAAAGTAAGGGTCTGCTTGGGTTTGGGAGGGACAACATTACACTTTATGCCTACGTGCCTAGCTGCAAGGCCTGCTGGGGGAGAAGGGTTGGAAAGTTCTCCAGAAGCAAACTGGAGTGTGGGCCAGAAAAGGGCCAAGACAGAGGCCGTGGGAAAGCCAGGCCAGAGGGGACATGCAAACTGCAGACAGGACCACAGATTTGGCCTCACAGGGTCCTGGGAACTGGACAGCTTGAAAATTTGAGGATAGGGATCTTAAGAGGTTTCAATGAGCTGTGAGTCCTCCAGGAGAATCTGGTCCACAAATGGGCAAGAAAGATGAGATTTGAGACTTGTAGGAATGAGGATGATGCAGCCCCCACCTCTGTCCACTCCTTACTCAACAGATGAAGAAACTCATTGCCCAAGAGATCCAGGGGAAAGGGGGCTGAGGGAGCTCCAGGAAGAGGCATGGGTGGCAGTAGAAGGGAGAGAGGCTTCAGCTCCACCAGAGCTGAATGGTAAGGCAGGGAGTAATGAAGTCACCTTCCAAAGCTCTGGTTCTCAGGGTGGGAGCTGAGCTCATCACCCCTGATTTGCTAGGCCAACTGGGTGGAGGTCTGCATGTGCCTAGGAGCTTAAGATGCACAGCTGGGGTGGAGCTAGGCTGACTCCATCATCCAGGCAGTGCTGGAGGCCAAGGCTCAAAGAGGACAGGCTGATTTCCTGACTTTCAAGGCAGAGGACAATCAGGGCAATCTCAGCCCCCATTCCAGCTTCACTTGAGGTTCCAGTCCATTGGCTTAGGCTCCAGCCTCTATGCAGGAAACTTCCTGCCTGAGAGGGGGACAGGGCTCTGTCTTAGTCCCATTTTCTATTGCTATAACTGAATACCTGAAACTGGATAACTTATAAAGAAAAGAATGTATTTCTTACAGTTCTGGGGGCTGGGAAGTCCAAGAACAGGAAGCCACATCTGGTCACCTTCTGGTGAGGGCCTTGTGCTGTGTCATAACTGGCAGAAGTCATCACAGGGCAAGAGTGGTGCACTGAGAGCCAAACTGGCTTTTATAACATTAATCCATTAATCTGTTAACCCATTTATCCAGAGCCCTCGTGACCCAATCATCCTTAAAGCCTCCACCTCTTAATATTGTTACATTGCAGATTAAGTTTCAACATGAATTTTGGAGGGGACAACCTACTCTTGTTCACCAGAGTTCATTCCTCTTCCTTTGCCTGCTTGACCCACTTGGCCAATGAGGAGATGCTCCAGACCCTCCAAGATACTGCCTTCCTGTGCCCACCATTGAGTCCTGCAATCCTTTCCCTTTCAGCCTTCAACAAGGAAGACAGACATGAGTCGTTTCTTTCATGCCCCCAGGACACAGAAGTGGGCCATATTCCCCCTGCAGTCTCTAAGAAAATTGTGAGTAAACTGGCCTCAGGCGGTTACATGGTATATATGGAGAGCAGAGCCTCAGACAGACCAGGAAGGATTCCTATCTTGGTTCTATCCTATTCCAGACCTTAAGAAAGTTCCCTAATTTCTATGATTCTCCCATTTCTAGCTTATAAAATAAGGATCCTTGCAGGGTATAAAGATTAAACTGAGGTTACATAGGTAAAACACCTGGCACCTTACCTGGTGTATAGGTGGTACCCACTGAATATTAACATATTTACCTCTCAGCCTAGAGGGCTCACTATGCCTTTTCAGACCTGCTAGGACCTGAGCAAGGGCATCCTGGAGATGAGGGCGAACAACATTCATTCAACCAACATTTTCACAAAGTCCCTTTGCACTGAGCACCCTGGACATCAACTTCACTTAAAGATTTTTCTTGAAAATAATTATTTTGATATTAAGATGAATATTCTGGGCCAGACGTGGTGGCTCATGCCTGTAATCCCAGCACTTTGGGAGGCCGAGGCAGGTGGATCATCTGTGGTCAGGAGTTCGAGACCAGCCTGGCCAACATGGGGAAACCCCATTTCTACTAAAAATACAAAAATTAGCCTGGCGTGGTGGCACACGCCTGTAATCCCAGCTACTCAGGAGGCTGAGGCAGGAGAATCACTTGAACTCGGGAGGCAGAGGTTGCAGTGAGCCGAGATCATGCCACTGCACTCCAGCCTGAGCACAGAATGAGATTCTGTCTCAAAAAAAAAAAAGAAAAAAAAATTGTAAAGACTAATGTTCCTCTTGCCTAGCTATTTCCTAATGATTTTACATTCTGCATTCAAATTCGAAATTCAAAGCAGAAAGTCACAGAATGTCTTTCCATAGGATAGGAGGCTAGAAAGCCAATACCTCATGCATATTGCTCTTTATCAGGCTGAATCAAATTCAGATTTATACTTAGGGTTACATGATCAGATGAAATTGCTTTAGAAAGGCTGAGCGCAGTGGCTCACACCTGTAATCCCAGCACTTTGGGAGGCCAAGGCGGGCGGATCACCTGAGGTCAGGAGTTCGAGACCAGCCTGACCAATATGATGAAATCCCGTCTCTACTAAAAATACAAAAATTAGCCAGGTATGGTGGCATACGCCTGTAATCCCAGCTTGTCTGGAGGCTGAGACAGGAGAATCACTTGAACTGGGGAGGCAGAGGTTGCAGTGAGCCGAGATCACACCATTGCACTCCAGCCTGGGCAACAAGAGGAAAACTCTGTCTCAAAAAAAAAGAAAAATTGCTTTAGCGGCAGAGTTATTTATTCACTGTACTTTACATATTGTTAAGGCTATCTTCTTGTGAATCAAAAATCACACAAAAATTAGAAAAACTGCTAGTAAGATAAGGGAAAACAAAATTCAAAGCCATGGACTTGGGAGATCACATTATTCCCCCCAAACAATTTAATAACACAAGAAAGCAGCACCAGATGTGGAATTGTACTGTTAACTCATTCAACAAATAGTTCAATATTTACTATGCTCCAGGCACCATTCTAGGCACTGGGAACTCAGCAGTAAACAAAAGTAGCAAAAGTTTCTGCTCTCAGGAAGCTTGCATTCTAGTCCGAGGAGCAGACAGAATATTCCTGTTCAGTAATACAATTCTTAGTGTAGTAGTAGTGCTGTTTCTGCTGTTTTGTTTTCTTGCCATTTTTCTTGGGGAAAGAGAATGTTCTACCAATCCCCTTCTAAAGTTTGTGGTCATATTTATGATTTCTTGCCATGCCCCTGCCAGGAGTAAGACAAACTGGATACCAGAACCTTTGGAGTCAAAGTAAACAAAGAATTGGAGAGCTACCTGCAGTGATTCTTCCAAGGACTTAGCTGATACAAAATGGTTCAGAGATTCCTAGAGGAAGAACTTGAAGTGCCCCCAGGAACAAATGGGGTAGAGAACTGAGCCAGAAGAATGGGAGACCAGGAGCCACCATGATGGGCTACTAGGATAAGCAGAAACAGGAGTGGGATTGACAGGGAGAAGCAAAGTTTAGTTCCATGTGAGGAAACGCATTTCAAAAACTAGAGCCTCCCCCCCAGTGGAATGGGCTGATGGAAGGGCAGTTCTCAGTCTCTGGGGGTGGGTAAACAGACATTTCATGGCTATGTGACCTTGGGCTAGTCCTGTAACCCTCTGGGCATCCATTTCCTTGGCTGTAAAATGGGGAATTCTTACATAATAGTACCTAGTTCATAGTGTTGTGGTTAAGATTAAATAATAGAAAGCATGTAAAATGTCGGAGCACTGCCTGACACAAAGTAACTTAGGCATTGAAAGGCTGTCTAGATCAGATGATGCTTAAGAACGTATACTCTATGTTGTTTTTGTAATGGATTTTATTTTAACTGGTATCAAAACAGTATTATATATAGTCATATCTGGCAAGAAAATTAAAGTCTGTAGTTGCGATCTTAACATAGCAAAAACCAATCAGTCACAAAAACCAAACAGAATCTACAGTTCCCTATGAGGATCCCTCTGAATGATGCTATCATATTTCTGATATGACTGTGGTCCAACCCCAATACATGACCCCTGGCTGCTTTGGACACATGTGATCTCAGGCCTCCTTGAAGGTGTGCCAGGCTACTGGGCAAAGACAGGCATCCAGCCATACCAATGTCCAGTGTACACTGGGATCAGGGAACACCCTAAGGCAGGAATACCCCCCAGCCCAAACACACACTCCCCAGCAGGACTGACTTGGGGACAATCTGGGGTTCATGAGAAGAAGACCCCAGAGAGGCTGTGCTCATCGTGACAATGCTACAAAGAGCCCATTACTCTCCTGACCAGAGCAACAGTGCCAGCCTCAGCCCCAGGGCTGATGGACCCAGGTGTCAGTCTGAGGGCAGCAAAGGATGGAATCCCAACTCACCCATGACGGCTTCTGGGTCCCAAGGGCAGAGGGCAAATCCAAGCAGGTGTCCTCTTCCACCCCCTGTGAGAACGCCCTACAGGCAGCTACAAAGCCCCAGGTGACCTGCTTACATCCTAGCCCCACTTCCTAGCCCTGACGGTTGGTAATGGTCCAAGGGTCAGAGAGGCAGGCAGTCAATCTGCTCATGTGTGCCCAGTAAGCCCTCTGGCCTCTGCTATCCCTACATCAAGCTGGTGTGACTCTGCTCACACCTGCTTTAGGATCAATGACCAGCCTTTAAATGTCAAGCCAATGTCCAGTCCCCAAGTTCTTTCTATCCCACCCTCCCACCGACCAGCTCTCTGGGCATGCTAGACTTGTCTGAACTCTCAGCAGGTACGGCGCTCAGGCCTATCCCCTCCCAATGCCCTCACCCCCGACTACTTAAGAATGAAAATCTCAAACAACAATATCTTCTACACTTGTGGTGCTTAGCACTTTTCAATGCACTTTTCATAACCTGTATATATTGATTAGGATTTTTAGTTGCAAGCAAAAGTAACTACCTTTGGCTGTCATGTACAGCAAAGGAATTTATTTAAAAGATAGTGAGTAGAAAAAAAGAAAAAAGAGGAAAAAAAAAGATAGCGAGTAGCTCATAAAATCTCCAGGAGGCTAGGAGAACCAGGCTTGGAAGCACACAGTCAGGAACAATGCCCCAATCCCAACTCAGCACTGGTCTAAGAAGACATTATTGTGACCACCAAGGCTGGAATACTGCCCCCCAACCCACACCACGGACAACCCCATGCTGGATGCTGCCCATAAAACTGTTGTCACTGGTAACTGAGATCATACCCATCGAATCACTAAAAGGGCTGCTAAGCAGGCCCTTCCCCTTTGCTGTCTTTTGCTTCCAATTAAAAATTGATGGAGGGAGCCAATAGTGGGTATGGTTTGTCTGGCCAGAGAAGCCTGAGCCTCAGGCCAGTGCCCATGCCCTAGGTGCAAAGGAATATGGCTCTACCTCATGACACATGGAATTCCTCAAGGACAGAAAGGCGGCTCAGATGTCAGGCAACAAAAATGAGTGACACACATTTAACCCTGCATCTCACAATCAATCATCACACCTACACGTGAAGTTGTCAGGATTATTCTTATTTCCTTTTCAGATAGGAGGAGTGGGACCAGGGCAGCTTCTCTACAAGCAGGTTGAAATAAAACAGGGAGAAAACCAAACTCTTGCTTTCAGGTTTCAAAAAGAAAAAACAACAACAACAACAACAACAACAACAAAAACTGCAGGAGTGTAGGATAAGAGGAACTAGGTTTGGCTGCAGGTCACATAAAGATCTCAGCATCTCAGCTTACCATAAGCTTCACATGAACCCAGTTGGAAAAGCTGCTGACTTGGCCACTGCAAAGACTTATGGCCGGGACAGGGTCCTGGCCTCTGGGCCTGCCAGACTTCACCTGGGATTGAACATTCTAGTCTGGCAACATATTTGCTGAGATAGGCAGTCATGGAGGAGGAGGTTCTATAACACTTGGTATGTGGGCCCTGATGCTCCTGAGGGCAGAACTGGGTCACATGAAAGCCACAGGGGTAGGCCGGGTGCAGTGGCTCATGCCTGTAATGCCAGCACTTTGGGAGGCTGAAGCAGGTGGGTGACCTGAGGCCAGAAGTTTGAGACCAGCCTGGCCAACATGGTGAAACCCCGTCTCTACTAAAAACACAAAACTTAGCCAGGCATGGTGGTGCATGCCTGTAATCCCAGCTACTTGGGAGGCTGAGGCGGGAGAATCACTTGAACCCGGGAGGCAGAGATTGCAGTGAGCAGAGATGGAGCCATTGCACTCCAGCCTGGGCGACAGAATGAGACTCCGTCTCAAAAAAAAAAAAAAAAAAAAAAAAGAATCAAAGTCACAGAGGGAAAATGCCAGCTCAACACTTGAAGTGCAGGTCAAAAACTGGACAGGCTGTCCCATGAGGTGGCAAGGTCCTCATTACCAGGGATGTGTAAGCAGAGGACGGAAAGCCATCTGTCCAAAATTTTAGTTGAGCTAGATGATGAATGCAGTCCCTTCCAACTTTAAGATGCTATGATAAGCTTCCTTTGTGTGCTAAATATTGGGCACAATCTACAAGGTAGGACATCGGCCCTCCAAGAGCCTCCTGGGGACCTACTGAACTAACCAATGACCAAAAAAAAAAAAAAAAAAAAAGAAAGAAAAAAGAAAAGGTGCATCCTTACTAGACATTAATTACACATAAAAATAAAAGGAAGGATCATTTTATACTCTGCATTAGGAAAACCTGAAAGTAATGCCTAATGTTGGTAAGGCTGCAATAAAGCTGAAACATTCATTCATATTGGTGTTTAGGTAAAATGGGTACTACCCTTTTTATAAGCAATGTAGGGTGCAGTGGCTCACACCTGTAATCCCAGCACTTTGGGAGGCTGAGGTGGGCAGATCACCTGAGGTCAGGAGTTTGAGACCAGCCTGGCCAACATGGCGAAACCCCATCTCTACTAAAAATATAGAAATTAGCCAGGTGTGGTGGCGCATGCCTGTAATCCCAGTTGCTCAGGAGGTTGAGGAAGGAGAATCGTTTGAACCCAGGAGGCAGAGGCTGCAGTGAGCTGAGATCATGCCACTGCACTCCAGCCTGGGTAACAGAGCGAGACTCCATCTCAAAAAAATAAAAAAAAAAAAAGCAATGTGGCAGATGGTATCAAAAAAACCAAAACTATATTTAATCCTACAATCCAAAAACTGCTTGGGAACTTACCTTAAGAATGAAAGGTAATTGCTATAAACTTGAAGATATTCATTACATTATTATTAATAGACAAAAAGTCTTAACTAGGGGAGAAGTTAAGTGTGGTATGGTATATGATACAATACTGGGCCATCATTACAAATGGCATTTATAAAGAACCACTGTTTCTAAAAGGCGAGTCCTGCATCTTCTTCACCACTATAGTCCCAGCACTGTTTAGAACATAGAAACATTTCATTAAAGATTTATTGAATGAATGAGTGAATGGACAACTGAACAAATGAATCCAAGCAAAGGAAAATGCTTATTATATGTTATATATTTTTTAAAAGAACCAAAAATTATTCCTAAGCTATGATTTCCAGAATATGAAAGATTATATATACATATGTCCTAGATGTGGACTGTAATATGGAAAAATAAAAAAAATTAAAAATAGGTCAGGCATGGTGGCTCATGCCT
Organism: Homo sapiens; assembly: GCF_000001405.40. Lineage (NCBI taxonomy): Eukaryota > Metazoa > Chordata > Mammalia > Primates > Hominidae > Homo > Homo sapiens. The sequence continues at coordinate 68,456,575 of NC_000016.10, read as the reverse complement.
GTAATCCCAGCACTTTGGGAGGTCAAGGTGGGTGGATCACTTGAGATCAGCAGTTCGAGAGCAGTCTGGCCCAAACGGTGAAACCTGTCTCTACTGAAAATACAAAAGTTAGCTGGGTGTGGTGGCGGGCACCTGTAGTCCCAGCTCCTTGGGAGGCTGAAGCACAAGAACCGCTTGAACCCAGGGGGTGGAGGTTGCAGTGAGCCAAGATAGACTGCTGCACTCCAGCCTGGGCAACAGAGGGAGACTCTGTCTCCAAAAAAAAAAAAAAAAAAAAAAGTTAGGTTTATGTATTATGGAGGATGTGCTGTTATTCTTATTCATTCAAAGCATTTTGCTGAGTACTTATTATGTACCAGATACTGTTCTACATGCTGTGGGCATAGCAGTGAACAAAATAGACAAAGTCTCTACCCTGATGGAGAGCTTATTCTACTCGGTCACTGGAGAGTTGGGAGTGGGTATAGACAGACAACAAAAAAAAAAAAAAGAGAGAGAATGTATATGTTAGATGGTGATAAGTGCTATTGACGAAAAAAAAAAATAGCAGGCAAGGGTGATAGAAAGTGTCAAGAGAGAAAAGGGTGCCATTTTATAGGATGACCAGGAGCATATTTAGGGAAAGAGCTTCCAAGCGAAGAAAACAGCAAGTTCAAAGGCTACAAAGGCGCTGAGGCCACAGTGTCTGGTACAATTAAAGAAGGTTAAGGTACTGGAGCAGAGAGTCTAGGGGAGGGGTCAGTGAGGCTACAGGAGTCAAAGTTCATGCCATGTAGGCTACCATAAGGACTTTAGGGTTTGCTCTCAATGACACAGAAAAGCCGCTAGGAGCAGAGGTGTGATATGATCTGACTTGGGTTTTAAAACAGTCACTCCTCTTGTAAAAATATTTTATGAAAGTTTAGGATAAAAAAGAAGAATTTTGAACATTGGCCAGATTATCATAACATTCATGAATTGATTCACAAAATATTTTCTGAGCTGCCCCCAACCCCACTTCGAGGGGCTGGAATAGCAGGCCTATTTCAAGATTACAAAGACATATCAACCATACGAAAATGTTTTAATATAACATTCTTTTTTTCAAAGATAGAGATTGCTCAAAGCAATTAACTGATTTTGTCCTTTTTTCTTTAGACGTTACGGAGATTGTTTTTCTTAATTAACATTTAGATGCACGTTTCATATTCTATACCAAGTCCTGTAATTGCAAACTGAGCTCCTGCTTGGGAAATCCTAAAGTTGGCTGCTTATTTGACTTGTCTTAAATATCCCACGCACAGCACTTTGGCAACATCACTCACAATCCAGCATTATTGATAGGAGACCCTCGTGGGAAGTCTAAATGTGCTGGCAAGATTATTTGAAAAACTAATAAAATCCTTGTAATCCCTCTCAAGGATGCAGAGAGGAATATGGCTGCATTTCAAATTCATGGCATTTCAAAGGCATGAATTAAGCTCTAAGCTCTACATTTGGAAAAAAATAAATCAACACAAGTTCTCTAATTTATGTTCTAAACTGAGAAAACAAATCGTTGCTAAGAAATAAAATTTGCAAAAAATATTCAAATTTGTTTCTGAAACACATTTTCTAGTTGATATGCACATACTTAAATCTACAAACTATACCAAAATATAAATTACAGGAATCACTACTGTTGAACTTGGTTGATATAATTTCACCATTAAATCTGAAGTCACTTTTTGGTTTGGTTAATTTTATTCTGACATTCTGCCTTTTAGGTGTGTATAAAACTGATCTTGTGTATTGATGTTGACACAAGACTTCTGTGAAAATGTATGAGAGGCCAGATGTGGTGGCTCGCGCCTGTAATCTCAGCACTTTGGGAAGCCGATGTGGGTGGATCAGGCCAGGAGTTCGAGACCAGCCTGGCCAACATGGTGATTCCCTGTCTCTACTAAAAATACAAAAATTAGCCAGGCGTGGTGGCGCATGCCTGTAATCCCAGCTACTCGGGAGGCTGAGGTGGGAGAATTGCTTGAACCCAAGAGACAGAGGCTGCAGTGAGCTAAGATTGTACCACTGCACTCCAGCCTGGGTGACAGAGCAAGACCCCATCTGAAAAAAAAAAAAAAGAAAGAAAGAAAAGAAAATGTATGAGAAAGCTCATTGCCTCACTTCCTCCTCACCCCACCTATCTTGGGCAAGAGGGCTTCTTCTTAGCACCCACTATCTTGGGTTGTGTGACTCTCATGTCAGAGGGCTCTGTACTCCATCTCTCCACCTTGCCATCATCAAACATGCCACTCACTGTACATTGGCATGGAGCTACCAGGGTTCCTGTCTCCTTCAAACTGGCCATCTTTCCAGAAGACTTGCCAATAACCCATATAACAAACTGGCCTTTCAATCTCATGATCTTCTCTGTCCACCCCAGCCACCCTGCCCCCTCATTCCTGCCCACAGCTCCTCCAACTCTGACCAGCATTGCTTGCCCTCCCTGCTCTTCCCTGCCACCCACAGCATCTGTCCTTTCACTCCGCCAAGAACCTCACTACCCCCATCTGCCCTCTCCATCCAGGCTCACCTTCCTCTTGGTGGACCACCATTTCCACCTCTCTTGTCAGTATCTCCAAATCCCTTCCTTTCTTGTTTCCCTTGTCCAGCAAACCCCAGCCTGGACCAGCCTCACCAAGGCTATCTCAGGGCCAACAAGATGCTGGAGAAAGCCCATAACTGCATGGATTAGTGCTTCCACACCCATGGTCTCGAACTTCAGCAGGCCCCACCACTACCCTACAGCCTCTGTGGATTGCCATTAGCTTTCCCTCCTGTTTTCCACAGCAGCCATCTTGAATCTTTTCTTCTTTCTCCAAGTTTCCCACCCCACCACACCTCCTCACACTGAGCACGTATCCTTGCTTCCAGCATCAGAGAAGTAATGGCCATGGAATATGAACTCCCTCAATTTCCAGAGCCCACCTCTCAACTACCTACCTACATGTTTATTATTGTTAAATGTCCTAATTGCTCCCAACTCAAAACAAAATTGTTCCTCAACCTATATTCCTTCTGGTTTTCTCTCTCCTCCCCTTCCAAAGCAATCCATTCCCCACAGTTGTCTACACGTACTCCCACTCACGGAGACTTCTGTCCTTGCTACTCCCCTGCACCCACTCTCTCCAAGGTCACCAGTGACCTTTTTGTTGCTAAATTTTGTATTTGTTTTTTCAGATCTTGGCTTATCTGAAGGTACTTCACCCCACTTCCTCCCTGTGGCTTCTGTGGCACCCCACCCTATGATTTTCTTCCAATCTCTCTGACTGGTCTCACCTTTTCCTCTGGGTTCCTCTTTCTCTACTTGCCCCCTAAATGATGGTATTTCCCAAGGAATTTTGTTCATTTCTTTGACCCTCTCTACTGAAGGATCCATTCATTCCCATGGCTTCAATTATGATCTATATGGTGATAATTTGATAATTTATGACTCTATCCCTTAACCAGATCCCTCTCATAAGCTCCGAACCACCTCCTAGACATCTTGTTTGGACATATCACACCCAATTCAAACTTACCTACTTCTCTTCCTGCCTAAACTTGCTCCTTTACTGTGTCACATCTCAGGGGATAGCACCCCCATCCATCCCCTAGTTACCCAAGGCAGACACCTAAGCATCATCTTTGACTTTTACTAGTTTCCTCCACGCCCTCAGCTCTCATTCACAAAGTCCTCGGAATATTTACCTTCTTAATAACTCTGTGATGAGCTACTTAAAAAAGATGGGAAACTTGATGAACTATTAATATTTAAAGAACAAACAAATAAATAAATATAAAACTATCTCTCAGATCTACCCCCTCTTTTCCACTCACCATGCTGGATCACCGCAGCACCTTCCCGATCCACATCCCAGCCTCATCTTCTCCTGGCCATTCTCCAAGCAGCCCCTAGACCTTTTCAAAATGCACATCTCCCTAAAAACCTTCATTAGCTTTAGAATAAAATTATATTCTCAGCCTAGAATACCAAGCTCTTCAGGACCCAGCCCTGGTCAATCACTCTAACCCCTCAGTGTCTGAGATTCAGCATTCTAGTTAATCTCCTCTTTACTTACTGAGAAGACCCATGGAACTTCACTGAGATCTTTTCTTCCCCAAGAAGAAGGGAGAAGGCCAGCACTGTGTTCCCCTGGAATCTTTCACTACTCTAGCTTCGAAGTATTTAGAATTCCATTCATTCCTTTAGGGTTCTGTGCCCTAAAACCACCCCTTAAAAATGACAAAACAAATATATTGAGCATTTTCTCATATGAGTCAGGCCTTTTATCACATTTAACCCTCACAATTCTGAAGAACACATTTTAATTTCACAAATGAGAAAACTGAGACCCAGAACAATTAAATATTAAATAACCTAATCAAAGTCATACAATTAGTAAGAGAGAGAAAGGGGATTCAAACTCAGATTACCCAAGAAATTATCTCCTGTTTATTCATGGTCAAACCAATTTCTGGTAATCCAAGAAGAATAATGTGAAAACAGACTAACATTTGGTAAGTGCTTAATATTTATAAAGTACTTTACATAAGGAATCTCATTTATCCCTTATGACATTTTCAAATAAACAGACTGCAAATCCAAGGAGGTAGTTTAGGCAAGGTCACACAGCTAGTAAGTAGCTTTGAATTTCCCTACCTCCACCCTTAAAAAAAATTTCTTTTTTTTTAGAGACAGGTCTTGCTCTGTCACTCAGGCTACTAGAATGCAGTGGTGTGATTGATCATAGTTCACTGCAGCCTCAAACTCCTGGGCTCAAGCAACCCTCCCACCCCAACCTCCTGAGTAGCTGGGACTACAGGCATGCGCCACTGCACTGAGTTATTTTTTTTTTTTTTAATTTTTAGTACAGGCAGAGTCTCACTATGTAGCCCAAGCTGGTCTCAAATCCCTGGCCTCCAGCAATCCTCCTGCCTTGGCCTGTCAAACTGCTGAGATTACATGTGTGAGCCACTACACCCAGCCCCACCTCCAGCCTTATTAGCTGCTACCTAACACCAATAAACAGCATTTTACAACTGAAAAAACAGCTCCAGCCCAGGATCACACATCTAATCAGAGGCAAAGTCAGGATTAGGATCCAGGTTTCCTAACTCTACTTGGCTGTGCAGATGCTGTTATAGTCTCTGGGTGCTGCCAGAATTGTGGAACCCTGACTTTTTCCTATTTATAACAATTTGCCAAAACTGAAATTGGATTCCAGTGGTAGATGGATGGTGGTACACTACTTCTGAAGGGGTAAACGGACCTCCACAGGGTTTCAGCTCTGGCTTCAGGTGGACTTATTTGGTATCCCTCTGCAATACTCGGGTGATACTCTGCTGATGCCCACCTGGTGGCATGGTCCTCCCTGATCCACTTTTCCAACAGCCTCTGCTCTCACTGCATCCACTGAATGAGGCACTCTGCTTTAGCACACGTCCCATTTCCCCCTGCCTCCTTACCGTTTTCTCTTCAGTAATAAGACCCCATCTGTTCACCCAGCTCCAATTGCCTTCCCTGATGGTTTAGCCAGGATCAAAGCCCCTCTGCCATGCCTCTTAAAGTCCTGTTGGTTCTTCCCTAAATGCCATCTGTTTTACTCACTCCCCCACCCTAGCCTTCCCTTCCTGGATGTTACTAACTCAAGGATGACAGAGCTGCTTTCTCTCAGGCTCTGTCTCTTTGGTTTGAATTAGGTCCAGAGTAAAAGTCCCCTTGGTTATTTCCTTCTTGGCCATGAGTTAATTATTCCCATATATTAAGGCATTCTCCCCAGAGTGTATCAGCTGACATACACAAAAAAACATCTGGAGAAGGTGATAAAATGAAATGTGTAGATTAACTAGGCCATCTAGCCAACATCAGAATGTTTAGTGGAGAAATATTCAGGAAAGATGCTACCTAGCAAGGTGGGACATCACCAATGAGGCCTAAGATGCTGAGCAGAGGGTTGAAAGAAGAGCAGGAGGCCGGGCACAGTGGCTCACACCTGTAATGCCAGCACTTGGGGAGACCAAGGTGGGCCTAGGTGGCAGAGGCTGCAGTGAGCTGAGATCGCGCCATTGCACTCCAGCCATTGCACTCCAGGCAACAAGAGCGAAACTCCGTCGAAAAAAAAAAAAAAGAGAGAGAAAGAAAGAAAGAAAAAAGAAAGAGCAGGAATCTTAGGACATCTTTACTTCATAACTGACAGGGCAGAAGATCTTTCTCAGAAAAGGAGTGGGAGGTAGGGCATTTAGGCACAGAAACGAGTAGGGCCAACAGCTAGAAATAGCGGAACATGAAGAACTGATGACATTTCAGGGAGAACTGACAGGAATAATAGGCATGGGTCTATCAATCTCTAGCATCATAGGATTAAAAGGGTACTCAAAGCATTCAGGTAAAATCCCAACCCACTGTACAAATGAAATAAACATTTCTTCAAGGGGGCGGCATGCCTCTAACTGAACACCTCCAGCAATGAGAAATGCCCAACTTTAGGAAATCAGAGTTTTGGAGGTGTATGTGAATGAGGTTCCTTTATTTTCTTTTTTTTAATTTTATTCTTTTTCTCTTTTTTTTTTTTTTTTTTTGAGACAGGGTCTCACTCTGTTGTCCAGGCTGGAGTGTAGTGGTGCAATCTCGACTCACTGCAACCTCCACCTCCCGGGGTTCAAGCGATTCTCCCGCCTCAGCCTCCTGAATAGCTGGGATTACAGGCACGTGCCACCACGCCCAGCTAATTTTTGTATTTTTAGTAGAGACTGGGTTTCACCATTTTGGTCAGACTTGTCTCGAACTCCTGACCTAGTGATCCACCTGCCTCGGCCTCCCAAAGTTCTGGGATTACAGGCGTGAGCCACCACGCCCGGCCCAATTCATTTTCAATTCAACAAATATCTATATTTATATCTCAATAGCTAGTGAGTGCCTACTACGTGCCAGATACTAGACACTGGACTGTAAGTATGAATAATATAGACATGGCCCCTCCCCTGTGGATCTTATAATGAGGAAGACGAGCACATAAACATGCAAGTAGAACAGGGGAAGTAGAGGGTGCTGCTCAAACACAGGGTGGGGCACTCAACAGACAGCCCAGCATCTAGATGTCTTCACAAAACAGGCAATGTCTAGGCTGGGGCTTGCCGACGAGTTAGCTGAGGGCAGGGTGGAGAGGCCCAAGGGAGTAGGAGGCTTCCCAGCTTCCAAAGAAGTTAAGAGTGTTGCAAAAAAGTGGAGTCCAGATCTTGAAGGGGAGAGTGGGCTTAGGTCCGGGGGCATGTGAAGCGCCCTCCGTCTGCTGCGCTGGGGGAGATGCTGCGGTATCCTGGAGTGGTGTGAAGGAGGCCAGGACCTGCGATGGGAAGACGGAGACGGGAAGGCCCTGGTGGCCCAAGGGATGACCAAAAGTGAAGCGCTCCTCTATGACAAGATTGAGACAAAAATAAAGGAATAAAGTTCTGAATGCGGTGGGAGAGTCTCCTCCGTCCTCCCTCACCTTTGCTGGGCAGGAACCAAACCTGCTTGCCCTCGGTTTGCCCCATCACCGACGGGTGTGGTCGGGGGCACAGCTCTTCGCCCTTCTTCTCAGATAGGAAAACTGAGGCCCAGGGTCCTGAGGCAGAAATCAAGGTTTTCTCCTCGAAATGGCCTCCCAAGAGGCTGCCCGGGGTCTCACACGATCCTTCGAGGGTCCTGCGGCCTGCCCCACGCCTCCGCCAGCCATCCTCGGCTGGTCGTCTTTGCTATGGAAACGGTCCTCCCGCCCTGCTCCGCGCCTCCGTGTCTTCAGTGCACTCTGGGAAATGCAGTCCCGCTCTGTTTGCCTACCCGCGGCGTGAGCCCACTCCGCGTCCTTAAAGAACTATAAGTCCCAGAAGGCTGTGCGAAACTCCGCCGGTCTCTGGGGGATGTGGTCTTGAAGGAGAGACCCAGGAACCTGCGGGCGGGGCCGGAGGGAGAGGGGAGGACGCCCCCAATGGGCAGACTCCTGGGCGGGGTCCGGGTCACCATTGGCTCCGGCGGCGCGAGGGAGGCGGGGTCAGAGGAATGAAGCGCGGAGCTGTTCGCCGCTCCAGGTGCTGAGTCTGAGGGAGGCTCCGGACCCGAGAGCCGCGAGAGCCGCCGCCGCTGCGGCCGCCGCCAGATCTGCGGCCGGGAGCCCGGGCTGTGAGGAGCCGGGAGGAGCGGGGTGCGCTGCCGGGCGCTGACCGCCCTCCCGCCCGCCGTCAGAGGTCAGTGCTGCTGAATTCGCTTTTGTTTTCTTGGGGAGCGGGCGAACCGAGGCGTGAGGGGCTGGGGAGTTGACGGGACGTGTTCTCGTTGCTCTCAGGACCGCGGGTCCCGGACAGCCGCCGACTGACTAGGGGCCTCCCGTGGCCGGGCGCCGGAGGTCGGAGCAGCTTGGGTTAGTTTTCGTTTTATCATGGAGAAGGCTCTTGGGTATGAGGGGCGAGGGCTGGGGGTCACCCCCACCCCCCATCTCTCCTGGGAGAGCGAGGAGGCTTGGACCCTCCCTCCCGCTGTGCCTGGCGACGGGGCTGCTCGGATTACTCAGGACGGGAGGATGAGGTGTTGTGGGATGAAGGGACTCGAGGCAGGGGGACCCCTCCCCGCAACACTTCGGCTGCTCGAGGTTACAAAGGAGTCTGGTGGTGATGGATGAGATCGCGGACCGCTCCCCTAGCCCAGACCCTCCCAGGGGTATTCAGGAAGGGCTGCTTGGGATGCAGGGAAGACCCTTGCCCAGGCCCCTTCCTCCACACTCGCCCCCCTCCCTATTCCCCCCTCCTCCCTTGGCCCTAGGGTTTTGTAAAGAGGAGGATCGAGGATGTGGAAGAGACAGAGGACTCTTACCCCTCCCACTTGGACCCTCCTAGGTTACTGGTGAAGGGTGGAATTGGAATGTGGCAGGGAAACGCTGGGAGACCCCTCCCCATCCTTCTCGGAGTCGCGGGTGGAGGAAAGCACTGACACTCGGAATCCCCCGCGCTCGGGCCCGCGCCGAGGGTTGGGTGGCCTGGGTGTGAGAGGTAGTGTAGGGGGATGTACGAGGACAGGAGGGACCCCTCCCCACCTCTCCCCACCTGGGCCTTATCTCCCAGGCCCTCCCTACCTGGATCCAGGCCTGGGGCTCTAAGTCGAGACGACCCGCCCTAGCCCACCACGCCCCGGGGACCGAGCCTCTGGCACCGCAGCTGGGGGCCAATCCCAGATGGGCATGTACAGAGCGGGACGGGGCGGGTCTCCCCTCAAGCACTCAAGAGCTCCAGGTAGACGCTACCCCCAACCTCGTGCCCGCGAATCTTTGGGGGCTGCTCCGCTCCGATGCAGGGCGCACCCCAAACCGAGGCTCGGGGACCTGCTTCCAGGACGCGCGGTGGCTGTTCCAAGGCATGGGGCTTTCGCGCTCGGCCCAGGCATCCTCGAGAGGACAAAGCGGCGGTCGCCGCACTGGCAGGCCTGCGCCGCGGGCTGGGCGGGGGGCGCGGCCGCGGAGGGGGGGCTTCGGGCGCGGCGCGGGCAGCTTCCACGGAAACGTGCCAGGAGCGGGGCGGGAGACAAAGCGCACCGGCTTCTAGCGGGCCCGCGCGAGCCGGGATGGAAAATCCCGAGGGAGGAGGCGGCTGAGCCAGGGCAGGGCACTATGCCCCCACATCTTTCCCTTTTCCCATACCCCCTACCCTAAGGCCAGCCAGGCACCCAGGATTCTGTGCACGCGATGGTGACCAGGGCCCCTTCGGGGGCCGAGAGTGGGGGTGTTCAGGACCTGTGACCACTAGGACAGGGACAGGTGGGGGCTCCACCTTGAGCAAGGGGCCTGGAGTTCACAGGGCGTGAGTGGGCCAGGGTCCAGAGGGACATCCTGACTGGACCCTCCCACGCCCCATCAGCCATGTTAGGTCAAATTTGGTTCTGGGGAGGGGATGTGTTTAAGTGTGTGAGGGTTTGCATGGATGATGGTGTGGGTCAGAGTGTGGGTGTGAATGTGTGTGACTAGATGAATGTACCCATGTGTGTTTCAGTCTTCATGTGTGTGGCACGGCCAGAGCTTGCGCTTCGGGCTGTGTGTGTGTGTGTGTGTGTGTGTGTGTGTGTGTGTAGATGAACCACTTACTCATTTACTGATGGGCTTGGATGTTGTGGGGGTGGGGAGCAGGGTAGTCACATCTTTAACTCTCAAGCCACAGCAATGACCTAGGGTCCGAGTGGATGCCCTCAGGGTGAAGGTAGCTTCAGGTTGCTTTGTGCCTAGCCTGCCTGGCCTGCGAAAGGCCCAGTAAGTGGGGAATTCACAACTATGTGGAGCCTTCTTCAGCCCTTCTGAGGTCTCAGGTCTGACCCTGACATACTCACCAGTGCCCTGCCCTTCCCATTTTATCAGAAGCTTTATCCTACTGTAATAGGCTGCTCCAAAGACCAGAATTCTGCCCCCTCACCACCACCATGTGTTTCCAAGTGAGGCTTGGCAGGGGACTCATCAACAGAGTCACTTATGATGTGGGTGCAGGACTACGTTGCAAGGCAACTTTTGTCACTTTGGCCTCCATGTCTGGAAGGGCATGGCGCTGACGTTGCTGGTCAGTCACAGGCAGTGTCTCAGAAATACTAGGTGTCTCAGAAATACTGTTTCCTCAGAGAGGAAACAAGGGTAACACAGACATACACTACAAGGTGATACCCCTAGAGGATAAGCATGCCCCTCCCAGACCTGCCCTCCCCAATAAGTGACCCTGATTTCACAGCACTTGCATAGCAAAGGTACTGTGCAGCTTTGAGATAATCTTCACAGAGATCTACTTCCCATAGGATGAGAGACCAGATGATGGCCAGGAGAACAACAGAAAGAGCAAGTACTACACAATGTAGCCACCATCTATCTAGCCCAGGCTGCCTGATCCAGTTCCCACAAGTATCCACTCCCAGTGTCCACAGCGACCTCTGCTGGAAAGAGGTTAAACCAGTCACAATTTGGCAACTAACACTCCCCCATGGTGTAGAGGCTCAGAGTGAGTGTGAGCATTGTCAGGTAAAATCACAAATCTTTCTATTGGGGGGCTCCCTCCTACCTTCAGAGTGTTGAGTTGATGTTCTTGTCTGAAGTTCTTTCAAGCTAGTTCAAGCCATGGAATTGCTGCTGTCTTCACCTCTATGGAAATGTTTAAAGAGGGCTTGAAGGTCTTTGTTCAAGTTTCTGACCAGTGGAAGGTGGGCATCAAACCCATTTATAAGGACAATGCATGGAAAACACTTATCAAGGCCAAAGAGATTTAGGCATCTCCTGTCTCTACCTCTACCTCTACTACTCTTTTCTCCTCTTTCCCTGTTCCACATTTATCCTCTTCTTTCTGTCATTATTAAATTAGTCAATAACATTTTTCAAAGGCAAGCCCTCTTTTCCTCAAAAACAATGTAGCCCAGAAAATGAAGGCTTCTGGAGGCTATTACCAAATGCAAAAAGCTGCAAATACGGCTTTCCAGGCCTAATGACAGAAGTGGGGGAGAGAGATAAGACATGCTCAGTCCTAAATACCCATCTGGTGACATGTGTCTCTTCTCCTGGAGTTACTCTGAAGGAATTTCTTGCAGTCACAAAATCCTAAGAGCTCTGCAGCTCTGCAAAGGAAAGAAGGTATTTTAATACCTGGTATTGTTCTTACTTTGGCATCCATGTGATTTGCATTGAACTATGTGACTCAGTATCATAAAGTAAAAATAGGACTTAATCTCTTCCTTGCCTGTTTGGAAGGTGACTGCATATGGTGTGTTGTATTCTGCATTGGAGAGTGAAAAGCTAAATTGCCTCATAAATTGAACCACCTGCTTATCCTGATTAGAATGGTGCTTAACATCACCTACAGGCAATAACGTTATTTTATGTTTCTTTTAATTTATACCTGTATCTTTGTCTTGTAAAACATTTCCTCATGCTCATACATTATTACTTTCACTTGAAGTTAATCAAGAATGTTTAATCCTTGTACTGAAGCCAAACAAATTAAATATCAGCAGATTCAGGAAGATGTGGGTGGTGTTTCTGTTCTTTTTGGGCTCAAAAAAAATTCTTGGAGTTCATAGAAAAGAAGGAAAAGGCCCTAAGATTTGGTAAATCTTGTGAGCAGTTCTGAGAGGCTCCTTAGAAATTTCCAGAAGGGCTGGTCATGTTGAAGAATCTGAACACGCATGCAAGTGGCAGCATGCATGCTGGAAATGAGACTGCAGCCCTGGTATTCCTAAATCACTGCACTAATGCAGCTTTTCTCGGAAAATTTCCCAAGACCCTCCTGCTCCCTGGGGCAGCCAGCTGGATCACTGTGGAGGAGAGCTGTCCAAGGTTCTGGAGTGCTGGCCTCACCCACCTGGTGGGAAGGGAGGACTTCTGGGTGTGGACCAGAAGCAAGAGCTGAGGGCCATGGCCTCCAAGAGGATTTCCCCAAAGCTGATTACAGAATGGAATAGGAGGAAACAGAGCTGTGGTGGATATTACTGCATTACTTCGAACAAACTCATCAGCAATCCCTGTTTAAAGAATTATGAGCTAATAAGAGGAAACATTTTCTGACTCAGGCTCTTCACATGTAAGAATGTATTTAATCCTCACAGTCCTGTGAGGTAGGTGGTGGCATAATTCCCACTTTCAAGGTGAGGAAACCAAGCTTTGAGGGCTTTCCCAAGGTTACACAGAAGGGGAAGAATTTAGGTTCCATCCTGGATCTCAAACTCTGGAAGTTCCTCCTTACCACTGTTTTTTCCCTATTGCTATTACAGAAATAAAACTGAACTATTGGATTATTCTATGTAAGTTTATAATCAAATGCCAGAGGAATAGGATTGCGGACCCACTAGGATTTAGACACAAATCAGTCTTTCCAAGTTCAGCAAGGATAGTGCCACCTACTTTATATCTTATCCAGCTTTGTTAACTGAACTTGGTTACCAAAGAATGGGGAAAGGGTAGTATAATGACCTTCATGACCAGTAGCCCAGGGGTTTCTTTCCACTGTGGAAAATTTTCACAGGAAGCCAAGCGTAGATGGCAACAAAGTGTTGTCATTGTTTTTCGTTTTTAAGAAAGGAAGGAAAAAAAACATGAGGAAGCTGTTATTTGACAAAGAGTACACATACAGCCAAAGAAATAGAGCTTATCTTTATTTCCTAGCAGCCTATTCCAAAGCTGAAGACACTCAGATATTGTTAAGAGATTCCTTCCACCTATTTGCACTCTCAGATTTTCATAGCAAAGCCTCTAACACCTAAATAAAATTTTCACTGTGTGGGCCTCAGCCAATCTCAGGAAAGCATCACATTCCTGTCCTTATGCCACCCAACCAAAGCTCTACCTCCATATGTGGCTGCAAGACTCCAGAAGGTGGGCAGGTTTGGGGTTTGGTGAATTTCAGACCACAAGTCTTGTCCTCCTAAAGTGGCAGTTCCAACTGCTCCAATCTTGCAACACACACAGGGGCCGGTTTCTGAGAACTCCCCATTCGATTTGGATGTCTAAAGAGGGTAGAAAGGAATGAACTTATGTTTTTTCTCCTCTCCCTGGGCCTCAGTCTGTACAACACTCAGATAAGGGGTTAGACTTTTAAGAAAAATTCTTCATATCAAGCTGAGTCTCCATTCCATTTTGAGTGATTCCTTCCCCTTCCAAGCTGGGGCTTCGCAGAGCTCTGATGAAAGGAGCAAAGGCTGCTACTGCTTTTCCCGAGGGCGCTTGGAAGCCAAGGACCCGGCACCCCATCTGGGTCTGCTCTGACTCATATGACTGCAGACAGATTTGATTGTTTTCTTATTTAGAGTCATTAATTAACTCTCCTCAGCATCAGAACAGCGTGTAATAAGAAGGAGGCCATTTGTGGGGGTCTCTAGGCAGCCACACCTAGGGCTGAGTACCACCTCCTTTGCACACAGGATCAGGAAATGGTTTCTAATCCTGGCTATAACCCTTTAGAAAGCTTAGATTGTTAAGATTTTAGGCCAATATGAGAAAGTGCAATTAATTGCTAAGGCTGTTGTGATCATTCTGGCAAGAACTGGGAGGCCCAGGAGTCCCTCAAAGGAGGACTGGATTTCCATTCATTCAACAGACATTTCTTGTGCCTACAAAAATGTGTCAGCCACAGCGCTGGGCACGGGGAACACAACCACAATGTGGGATAAGTCCTTTCTTATAGAAATCTTGAACGGAACAAGGAAACAGACACAGAAACCCTGAAATAATGTGTGCTGTAAGCAGAAAGAGCTTTAGAAATGGAAAGGATATTAATAATCATAAACCATCATGTCTTTTTAACATGAGGAAAGACAGCGAGGGAAGTTGAGGGCTGCTCTGGCCACAGCCCTGGTTAGTGGTTCTAAGATGGGGCTTAGAACCCAGATTTTTTAATGCCTAAAGCATGTTCTTTCCACTGTCCTAAACTGTTGCTCTGTTCATTTAATTACCCAAAGGATACATTTCCGTTAACATAGGCTTCTTTGATCCAATACCAATGCAAAACCCAAATTTTAAGTTGAAATAGCCCAGGCACGGTTGCTCATGCCTATAATCCCAACACTTTGGGAGGCTGAGGCAGGAGGCTTGCTTGAGGCCAAGAGTTCAAGACTAGCCTGGGTAACATAGTGAGACCCCGTCTCTATAAAAAATAAAAACATTAGCTAGGCATGGTGGTGAATGCCTGTAGTCCCAACTACTTGGGAGGCTGAGATGGGAGGATTGCTCGAGCCCAAGAGTTCAAGGCTGCAATGAGCTATGATTGTACCACCACACCCTAGCCTGGGCAACAGAGCAAGATTCTAAAATTTTTTTTAATTTAAAAAATTTTTAAAATAAAGTTGAAATAGAAACAAATAATAGAAAAAAATAGGAAAAGTAGAATGTCTGTCTATATATCTGTTGTCTAATATGGGGCCATAAGCACTTGAAATATGTCTAGTGGCAATTAAGATGTGCTATAAGTATAAAACATACACTAGCTTTTGAAAAATTAGTATAAAAAATGTAAAATGTTGCATTAGTAATGGTAATATTGATTACAGGTTAAAATAATATTTTAGATATATTAAGTAAAATATATTTAAATTAATTTCACTTGTTTCTTTTTACTTTTATAATGTGGCCACTAGAAAATTTATATTGTATATGTGGCTTGCATTTATAACTCACATTATATTTCTACTGGGCAGTGTTGTTCTAGACTGTTTCCATTTAGGAGGATATTTTCTTTATAAACTGAGGCATTTAGCAAAGTAGGTCTGTAATCAATTAGCCTGGGATTTGAATCCTGGCTCTGCTATTTGGGCTGCATAAACTTGAGCAAGTTGTGCCTTAGTTTCCTCACCTGCAGAATGAGGTGATAATAAAGCCTACCTCCTAGGTTTTGAGCTAAATCACTTAGAACAGTGACTGACAGGTCCAGAGTGAGTGTTCACTTAATATTAACTATTGTTATTACTATTGGAGGAAGCTTATGAAGTGTTACAAGATAAGGGCAACAGGAAGGAGAGCAAGCAGACAATTTTCAGATAAATCAAGCAAAAGATTTATTACTAGTTAAAACATGATTGAAAACACTTGCTAAGTATGCGGCCCCTATTTTCTGGCAGATAATGATGTCGAGGAAAGATTTCAATCCATTTACATAAGCATACAATGAATAAACAAATTAGCTAACTGCATTGTGCACAGGTCTTGACTTCAGCTAATGAGTTGAGGAAGAGGATGATTGTACCAGATGACTCAAGAGCTCTAAGTCTCTTGGACTCCCAGATTCCTCAGGGGAATCAGGGGAATGACAACCTTGTGCTCTGGGAGAAAAATTCTGGACAGGAATCAGACATACCCAAGGTCAAAGCTACTCTGCCACTTATTGGCCTTTGACAAGACACTGAGTCTCAGTTTTCTGTTCTGTAAAATGGAGATAGTACCAACTCTGTTGCAGGTTGTAGTGAGGATTAAATTAGATAATACAAATAAAACATCAGGTACATAGTAGGCACTCAACAAATGACAGCTGTGACTAAATGGGATTTCAGGTATTCTTTAATAGAGAACTTTTTGTTATTTAATATAGAATTTGCAGTTCAGGCCAAGCGCAGTGGCTCACGCCTATAATCCCAGCACTTTGAGAGGTCGAGGCGAGTGGATTTATTTAGTCCAGGAGTTCAAGACCAGCCTGGGCAACATGGTGAAACCCCATCTCTACTAAAAATACAAAATATTTGCCAGGCATGGTGGTGTGCACCTGTAGTCCCAGCTACTCAGGAGGAGGCTGAGGTGGGAGGATCACCTGAGCATGGGAGGTAGAGGCTGCAGTGAGCCAACATTGCACCACTGTACTCCAGCTTGGGCTACTGGAATGAGACCGTCTCAAAAAAACAATGAAAAAAAGAAAGAGAATTTGCTGTTCAGAATCTTCAGTGCCTTTTCTACAACTCTACTGCGTCATTCCCCATCCTTATTCAGTGCCTGAGGAGATTGAAAGGACAGTTTCACCTGATTAAGTGTGTCTACACCAAAACGTAGGATATCAGTAACTTTGGGCACACTCTACACAATCTTTCATGTTCTTCTCTGTCCAATTAACACACATGAGGCTCTTTCCTGGGATAATGAGGCAAGTAGCAAAATGGGCATTGTTCTCCATCATGTTTACCCTGAAGTTCTGACCTCGGTGTTTACAGCACTTTACAAGTAGCTTTGCTTTTAAAAAGAGAGAACGTAAATCTGGAAACCAGAGCCCAGAGCCATTTCTCCTGACTCCTAGGGCAGGCCATGGGTCCATTCACTGCATAGCTCTGAGGGAACACATATTGTTGCTGTTCTCAACCATCACCTTTTTTTCCAAAAGTTTGCCTTCTGGAGGAAGACAGCCAAAGAAATATGTATTAAGCTCAGTGAAGGCTTATGTTAACAGAGCACGTTGAACTGTAAAGAAAATACTCAGATTAGTCCTACAGGAAAAGTGAGGATCACTTCAAATGTTTTAGCAGGAGAGCAACACAGATTTCCTGACTCAAAGCATAGCGGGTGAATTGAGGTGGAAGGAGGCTCACCTCTGGTTCTGTTGGGAGGCCCCTGACTTTCAGGTACCAAGTACCAGTGCTAAGTTATTTGGGGATAGTCTGGTGTTAATATGCACATTTTCCTACTCATTCTTTCTTTTGTTAATTCAACAAATGCCAAATGATGGATAGCTAGAGTGGGGTGTTTTGAGAACCCTTCCCCAGGAGGAGACCAGGGTCTGGCTGGGGAGAGGAGAGATGCTCATATGCAGAGTGAACCAAGGAACGGGGGCTGGAGTAACCACAGGAGTCCTGATTAAGGCAAGTTGGCTATGGCAGTGGAAAAGCTATGGATGCCAACCAAACTTGAGTCTGAATCACATTTTTACCATCAAATGTGTGGCCTTGGGCAAGTGCTTTAACCTTTCCAGACTTCATCTTTCTCCTCTGGGGCAATAAAACTAACTTTTCCCGCCATGGCAATTACATGGCAACATATATGAAAATGCTTAGAGACAATACTAACCCTCGTTCAAGTGTTTACAGTGGGTCAGGCATTGTGCTCAGCAATACATATGTGTAAAAGAATACCATTATTATCCTTACTTTACGGCTGAGGAAAGCAATGCTCAGGGACTTTAAGTAACTTGCTTAAGGTCACGCAGACAGTAAGAGGACCAGGACCCCAACCCAGGCAATCTGACTGCAGAGCCTGTTCTTAACCACTGAGATCACTGCTTCTCTGGTTCAAGATCAGCAAGAACCCAGTAACTATTATTTTGAAGGAGGGAGGGTGATTTGTGGGTCAACTTGTGGAGAAGTCTTATGCTTGGTCTTCAAGCATGGGTACAATATGGATAATCTCTGAGGGGTGAGTGGGATGGGGAAGGAAGGCAAGGGAAAGTTGTGATCAAATGAACAGGGGTAGGAATGACAATGGTATGTTTGGGAGCACTGAAATGGAGAAGAGTTTCCATATGAAATAGATGTTTGGAAAGAAGAGTTGAGAAAGCCTTGAATGTCAGACTAACAAGTGTTAGAGAACCAAAAAAGCTCATAGGCAAAGAAAGGGATATGAAATCTGAGGCCATCAGTTTGAGGCATCTCACTGAATCTGGGTAATTTGTTGCAGTGTTGAGTGTGCTCACCAAGTGTCTCAAAGCCAGAGCTTCTGGAGGGTATTGCCAGGTAGCACCACAGTTGAGCATTCCTACCAGTACTATTTGGTTTTCAAATAAATTACATTATTTCTCTCATTTGGTCTTCACAAAAGCCCTGGGCAGGAGAAGGGTAGCAGGTCTGCCACAAGGATTCCTGCCTGTGTCAAGTCGCAGGCAGTAATGGCTGCCATGAAGCACAGATGCCAAGAACAGCTGCAGTGCCCAAACCCAAGCACAAAGCTTAGGAGAGGCTTTCTCTGTGAGGGAGGAGGCAGAAGATTTGCTCCCTGTGCACTGGGAGGCAGGCAATAGTATCCTTTGGTTCATGATTCCCAGTGACACTCCTGAGCAGCTGCCTCCCAGGGTGGCTGCTGGGAGGGCCTGAGTTGGGGTCATTGCAAATTCCACATCCCTTTTTGGTTGCAGCACCCATCAGTCACCTGCTCCTGTGCAAACAGCTTGTTTTACAAAAGGAGATTTTTTTGGACCTGCCATCTTGAATTCATTCTGCTTATTTCTCTGTAGGCTGCAGGGGCTGAAAACCAAACCCCATCCTCCTTAGGCTGGTTAGAAGGAAAATGTCTTTTCTAATGGCTGCAGTTGCACTCTGCGCCAGATTTCTCTCCATGGCTACGCTTCTAATGACAATGGAAAACAAAGGCAGGAAAGGAGAGGGGCACAGATGCAGCACTTCTTCCAAGAGGCACCTGCAGTTCTGTGGAGGATGCAAGGCAGTGAGGAGGTAACTTTCACAGCTATGAGAGAGTCTCTTGATGAGTAAAGAGTTTTGATGTGCAAGATAATAGAGGATGAAAGAGATCACTGTGTTTTCTTTGAAAAGTCATGCTAGGATTCCAGATGCTCTCCACAGTTCTGGAAGGATGAGTGCAAGGGTGGGCAAGGCCACAACAATTTTGACAAGTTGTCCAGGGATAAGACCTTAGTGATTATAAACATATAACTAATGAGAAATGACAAACACTTGGAAATGAAATGTTAAGGGCTCATCTGGCCATTGACCCCAGTAACAATGTGTGTCAGCACATGCTGAACTCGACAGGGTTGAATGGTGACTTCTGGAAAACAAAATCAAGTTGAGAAATCAGAATGATAACAATAAAGGCACGGATGTTTGGAATGGCTGTGCATCAGAAAGTAGGGCTGTTTGGTTACATCAGAGCAACTTCATCAGCCAGGACCAAGTATTCACGCCCTGCTCACACAACTGGCTCCTACTCTGTGTTGAACCCTGTGCCAGACACTGGAGAGATGGAAGTGAATGAGATACAGTCCCTGTCCTCAGGGAGGTAGTCAATTCTAAAACAGAACAAGAGATGCAGTGTAGAAAATGTGCAAATGCACATGGCCACTTCATGACATTCCCTTCTGGGTGCTTCCTCACGCCTCTGGAATTAATGTAGCCCAACAGGTGAGGCAAGTCGGGATCTTATAAATACTGCCAACCTTATCTCACACCAGGTCTAAGCAGACCTGGTATGTGGAACCTGGGGTAGCAGAGTAGAGGCAAAGGCTGGTGTATTTCAGAAGCTCGTATACAGTCGGTGAGGATGATTTGCCTTTGTATTCCTTATTTGAAAGACAAGCTCTTGAGACCCTTTGCCTGCAATTAGAGCATGCTGCCACAAGGGGCACCATGAATTAGTGTGGTCCAAGCAGCCATGTGTCCGTCCCACAGGCATGGTATGCTGAGCAAAGTACAGTTTTTCCACTGTTAACCTTCAGAAGAATATAATTTTAAATTAATTTATTATAATGGGATTGCACATTTAATAAGGCCAAGCCATAGTGACCTATATGTAGTGAGTGGAGCGTTGTGAATTCATCAACATTCATTTAACAAAATCCATTGTGTGCCTACTACTATGTGCAAAGAAAAGCACAAAGACCCTGCTTGGTACTCAAGTCCTAGAAGGAAGACAGAGATAGATAATTACAGTGCAGTGAGATAAGATAAGTGGTAATATGGAAGGAGGAGCAGAGAGCACTGGAAGCATAATCCTACCAGGGGGAGGAGTGAATAATTCTACCAGGGGGAACACACACCACACACACACATGCACGCTCTTGTGTGTTGGGTCCAGACAGTAGCACCTGGGTCACAGGGTTTATATCAACACACATAGAAGGGGAAAAGCCAATGTATTGGAATACTTTTAGATGCTGTAAGGAATTCAGATTGTTCTATTGCATGAACTTGGATATATCACCTATGTCTCTGGACCTCAGTTTCCTAATCTGGTGCTCTGAGGGTTTGGCAGTGGCTATCTTGACTATGTGGGTGGAGCAGCATGGAGGTTAGAGTAATGACTTTGATCTCCAGTGACCAAGCCTGAGATTGTCCTTGCCCTGAGACCTCCTCGGCACTTGTTTTTTGGGACCCTGGTGATGCTACCACTTGATTCCAGCTGAAATGTTCCAAGGGATCGCAGAGGATTAGCTAAGATTCTGGTTCCAGAGGAACTTGGTGTTTGTGGGGTGCAGACTTTGGTGTAGAGTGGAAATGGTCTAGATCTCCTGAGGTGCCACTGGCTTCACCACCCTCCCCAGTAGCCAGGCTGGCCCTGCCATAGCACTGACCAGTGCACACACTGCCTGCCTCCTTCTCACCAGTGGTCTTCTGACCTGTGGCCTGTCCCTGAGGCCACTGTTGGGAAAGCTTTGTCCGAGTCAGGCAGAGGATCACTGACAGCAGGCCAGTCCCACTCCTGCCCCTCAGGCCCCCCAGAAGATGAGGCCCTTCTTGGCCTGTGTCTCCCTCTGGAGAACTTGGGCCCTGGCAGGATGTCCCTCCCACCCCAGCCAGCCCCCACCGTGCCTTTCCCAGGCCCCAGCCCTTCCTGTCTGTGGCCCTCGGCAGAACTGGCACCTCTGTGTTAGGGGATACGGGGGAGCAACCAACTTGAATAAATGAAAAAAAAAATGCCAGAGTGTTTAATTTTAAACAAACCACTTAAAGCTGCTAATTGCCCTGTAGAGAGTTTTAATATGCAATATATTAGAGCAATACCTGGTTAAGAGAGTAGACAAATGGAGGCACTGAAAAAGCCCTCACTGAAATTCCATTTACAAGTCTTTAAAAGGATTTTTTAAAACAGTTTGTATGCCCAGGAAGTTTCCCAGCTGAGACCAATAGGCCCTGACCCACCTTTCTAGGCAAAGGCCAGCTCAGGTCCCTTTCCCCCAACCTACCCTCACTCTGGTCCCTCAGCCCTAGAACCCTCTCTCTGCAAAGAGTTCATCCCTGCCAGCAGGGACCAGATCTGCTGGGCTGTCTTTCTCAAACAAGGGCCAGTGGAGCCAAAAGGAAGGGCTTCCAAACACAGGTAGTAGTGATGACACTTTCTGCCACGCCTCCCACCCACCATTGCCAAACACACACACCCTGTGGCCTGGACAATCCCTTCATCTTGCAGGAAGCACTGGGGCACCTCCTAGGAGTGGCCTGCCACTCTCCTGCTCCAGGCATGCAGGACTCCCTTCCTGGAGCTAGCAAACAAAGAAAAACCAACATAGGGCCTTTAAAACCACTCTGCAGAGGATGTCGCCTCCACCAAAGGAGATGAGAAGGGCAAGCTGAGATAAGCAGAGCTGCTTAGAAACCGAACACAGAGTCAAATTAAAACATTCATTGGAGGCAATAGAACGCGGATCAGTGGAGTGAGAAACAAGATGTCTCCCTTCCAAATCACTGCAAAAGAGAAAAGAAATCATCAGCTATGGCTCAAAAGTCAGAAAAGAAAGGAAATGCAAAAAACATAAAACAAGATGACAGGGGGCCACCTGGAATGGTTATGACGATAAATGTAAGCATTTAACATTCCCTTGTAAGAAGACAAAGGTTCTAGATTAAATTCATACAGAAGACTCACCTAAAATTAAATGGCTCCAGGGTAGGCAAAGCTATCCCAGGTAAATGCAAACAAAAGAAAAAGCGTGAGTGGCTATATCAGACAAAGCACAATTTAAGGCAATAAGCAGTGTCAAGCAGGATAAAAAGGGTAATTTTATATTCATAGGAGCAATTGTGAAAGCATAACTGTTCTGAACATTTGTACACTCAGTACTTTAGCATCGAAATACATGAGGCAAAATTTGTTACCGTTAGAAATACAAGAAGCTGGCCAAATGACAGTTGTGGGCATAAATTTACATTCTTCTCTCAGTACCTGACCTCAAATAACCAAAACATATATAACAACGGAAAGGAGTAATATAATGAAAATTTAATTAAAAGGTGGGTACTGAACTTTGTACCAGTCTGAATGATGTTTGCCATGTTTTAAAAGCCATAAATTCATGCCTGCAACATGTGTTAAATTTAGTACACATTTATGTATACAATATAATTATAATAGCAGTTTTCAAAATCCTAAACCACTGAAAAGCCACTGAAAGAAAATAGACCAAAATGTTAACATATGGTATGTTTAGAAAGGTTGAAATTTAGGCATTTTTAATTTTTCTTTTTTTCACTTTTTCTTCCCGTGTTCTTTAATGATCAAATAATATTCCATGACCTAAAAAAAAAAAATGAACTAGAAAAAAAAGAGTAAGACTCATTCTCATAGATAGGGTTTAGAATTTCCAAGATTTGAGAACATATATTCATGGGGTTTGGGTAAAAATTAACAAGCAAGGGCAGCAGATAGGAATCCCAGCAGACCCCACACAGCCTGGGCTTCTTCGCTCGTCCAGGTCCTCCTAGCTCATTGCCTACTTGAAATCCTCTGCCCCAGGGCACTGCATTCTCCTAACTCAGCTCCCACTCCTCCTATCTCATCCTTTCCACCCTTCCATACTCCACTGGCAGCTCCAACGTGGTTGTCCCAAGACATAGCCTGGTCTCCTTGCATACCCCATCTGCCATGCCCTGGTGACCTCGCCCACTCTTGTACAGGGATGTAGCTCCCCCTTATGTGCTATGGACTCCTGAATTCATCTCTAGCCCCAAACTCAACACAGAATATCAAAGGTGTACATCAGCCTGCTGACTGGACATCACTCCATATATGTGGGGAAGGAATGACAGATGCAGGTAGATGTGCCTGCAGTCAGACCCTCTGAACACATGAGGGTCGGGCAAATGGATTGAGTGTGAGGCAGGGATGCCACAGAGGCTGGTGATGAGAGCATTTAAATATCCACAGTCAGATGCAGTAGAAGGTTCTTACGAAAGAATCAGAATAAATCATCACCTTGGGTATGGCCTACTCTATGCCATCCAAAAATAAAACCAATGGCTCTCTCTGACTTACATGATTATGAACTGTGTTTATTTCAGTAATCCAGAAAAACAACAGCCGGGCATGGTGGCTCATGCCTGTAATCCCAGCACTTTAGGAGGCCAAGGCAGGAGAGTCATTTGAGCCCAGGAGTTCAAGACCAACCTGGGCAACATAGTGAGACCTCATCTCCACCAGAACCAAAAACATTAGCTGGGCATGCTGGCACACACCTGTAGTCCCAGCTGCTCTGGAGGCTGAGGTGAGAGGATCACTTGAGCCTGGGAGGTTGAGATGTAGTGAGCCATAATCGCACCACTGCACTCCAGCCTGGCTGACCCTGTCTCGGAAAAAGAGAAAAAAGAAAAGAAAAGAAAAACAAAGTCAAATTTTTAAAACCAGACGCAGGCTGCCCTGGCACTTGGAATGCTCACTCTGGACCCCTCAAATTTTCTTCTGCCCACCTCATACATTTAGCTGCCAGACAGACTCTGCACCCCCACTGAGATTTGCTGGTCAGTGGTTTCTGGTCTGGTCTCCTTACTTCTCAGGGCAGAGCAGAAAGTCTGTAAATTTCCTGAAGTTTTTAATCTACCAGTAAAACAAGTAAGGATGAGATGAGGTTCTTAGCCCACTGATGTGGTATGTTAATTTAAAGGCTTTTATAACTACAAGGTACTGTCTCTTTTGAAAAGGACAAAAATAAACTTAAGTACTTTTTATAAACATATATTCTTATCAATTTCAGCTCTAAGTACATACTTTCATTGGAAAGTAAATTACTTTAAGAGAGCTTTCTAAAATTATTACATATAATTTCTCTTATATAAGAATCCTAGGTCTGGATTGCTATCCAGTTACCATTTTATTTTAAAAGGCAAATGTGCATGAGACCACTCTGGAAAGAGTGGCTTTGGAGAAGGAAGAAGTGAGTCCTCTAACAAGTCACGTAACTTTTGTAATTTGCAATCTCCTCTTTTCAAAAGTGAAGAAAATAATACCTACCATAAAGGATTATTGTAAAGAAAATTCTGTTACTTTTTTTTCTTTTCTTTTTTTTTTTTGCGAGACAGAGTCTTGCTGTGCCACCCAGGCTGGAGTGCAGTGGCACAATCTCAGCTCAGTGCACCTCTGCCTTCCTGGTTCAAGTGATTCTCGTGCCTCAGCCTCCCGAGTAGTTGGGATTACAGGCCCGCACCACCACACCCAGCTAATTTTTGGTTTTGGGTTTTTTTGTTTTGTTTTGTTTTGTTTTTTTCAGACAGAGTCTTGCTCTGTTGCCCAGGCTGGAGTGCAGTGGTAGGATCTCAGCTCACTGCAACCTCCACCTGCCGGGTTCAAGTCATTCTCCTGCCCCAGCCTCCCAAGTAGCTGGGATTACAGATGCCCACCACTATGCCTGGCTAATATTTGTATTTTTAGTAGAGACAAGTTTTCATCTTGTTGACCAGGCTGGTCTTGAACTCCTGACCTCAAGTGATCCGCCTGCCTTGGCCTCCCAAAGTGTTGGGATTACAGGCGTGAGCCATGACACCCGGCCGAAATCCTGTTTCGTAAGTAAAGTGTCTAGTACAGTCTTGCAGTACAAGCTCAGTAAACATAGCAGTTATTAGTATTCTCATGTCAAACAGTGGTTTTCAGGCTCCCCACTCCTGCCCCATGCACATTATAAATGGGAGTCCATGTGGGAAAAACTCCCAGGTCTGATACAATCGCCAGCAAGACAGCTTTAACTCCACATCCCTTCTCCTCTCACTCAAGAAACATCAGAAGGCACTGATTCTGACTGCAACTGAAGCTAATACAGAAAAAGTCCCTAGACTCTTTACTTTTATTTTTAAGTAAATTAGTCCCGAACCTTATTGTCTTATCATTAGTAACAAATTAAAGGGCATGCACTAATGTCTACAAGGCAAGTTCCAATTATCTGAGAGGCTGTTTTCTCAGAACCAAGCATGTCATCACTTCCCTGGGAGTCGGCAGCCCCCTTTATTATGTGAGACTTGGTGGCCTGGCTCCTTGCCAGTTACAATCTCAAGTAACTGAAAATCTAAGGCCACATTTTCTTACTCCCTCAATCCCTGTCCTCCCACTGGTATGGTGCCCTGCCTTTAGCTAACAGTTCCTAAATGTTTCATGAAGAAATATATCTGAATTCTGTCCCCACTCCCTGCACAGGGACTGGCAAATATGCATTATGGGCCAAAATCAGGTCAGATGACCTGGCTTCCAGCAACAATGTGCACAGAAGACAAATGATTCAATAGGGCATGTCTATCCACTTGACACGACATTCTGCAGCCACTGGAAATGATGCTCTCGAAGACTCAAAGGCCACATGGAGATGGATCTAACATTAATTGAATAAATAGACCATAAAGAGAGTGTCCCGGTTCAGCCATCACACGCATGGATCCAGGCAGAAGAGGAAGGCCAAACAGTATTTCTTGCTGTGAGAGGGGCGTGATTCTGCATGATGTGTTTCCAAATTCTCTTCCATGTTTTTTGGCTTTTATAATGAACAGTGGGGTGATGGGGCAGGGGGAGGGAGAAGGCCCCAAGACTAGAAATTAGCCCAGTGCTTCTTCATAGGCATGTAGCCAAACTCAGCATGCTGAACTCAGAATGAAGGGTAAGGAGCCAGACCAGGGGAAAGGATGGGTCAGCTAGAGTCCATTTAGGAATGAAATGTGGACTTGACCCAAAATAGCTGTCATGCTCAGCCTCGGAGTCTAAATTAATCCTCCTCTTAGTTTATTGACATCTATGAAATTGATTCTCACCACAGAATCACAACCCATGGCCCTAGCATTGTAGTCGATAAAGCATGACTGGGGAGGAGGTAGGAAGCATCTGCACCCAGTATTCACAGAGGGGCACCGTGGTGGGCTTTTCTAAGGCCTGTGTGTTATCCTATGCATTATTAAGGAGAAAGAGAAACTTTGGTGGAGGGAGGGGGCATAGAGGGAAGAGGGGAGTATGTTAGTGGCTGGGGGAGGGAGGGCAGCTTTTGCTGCTGTCAGGTCAAAGCTGACCTTGGGTACCACCTCCTCTACACTCATGCTGGAAGCCTGGCCCCACTTTAACTGAATGTGCTCCTAACCCCACTCCAACCCCACTCTGCAGATTTGGGGGGTAACAGGTGCAGCGACAGAAGGGCCTGGACGGCTTGCTCCAGAGGGGACTCCTCATCCTAAACTTTCAAAGAGGGGAGTGGGTTTATCCCTTTGTCTTCATACTGTCTTGAGTCTGGACTTCAAAGGGCAGGAGGTAAATAGCAGAACTGGTCTCAGGGAGAACAGGGCTTTCCAGGAAGCCATCCTGGGAATTGTAACATCTAACCCCTTCCTTTCCTTGCTGCTGACCCAGACTTCACTACCCTCTCCTAAGAAAGGACACACTGCTTGGTCCCAGGAAAAGGTCCCTCCCTTTGTCCTCAAGTCCTTCATTTTGAAAAGCACGGAGAAGGGCACAGCCCAAAGGGCTCATACTCATTGCTGACAAGAGTAACTAGGACAGGCCAGTGTCTGCCCTGGGCTACACAACCCCACCCCTCCCCAGCTGGGCTGCAACTGATCACGCAACCCTGCAGGAGTAAGGGCCTGTGGTGCCCACTGCATGCACCCCAAGCTCCTTTTTTCTGCCCTCAAGGTCTTGCTGAGAGCAGAAACAATTATACTCCTGGAATCAATACAGGAGGCTTGAAGCGCTGTGCCCCCAAACCTACCCAGATCCTTCTCAGGAAATCCAGCCCAGCACCAAGGTTTCCATAGCAGTCAGAGTGCCCTTATCACTGGGCACAGAGGCTAACTGAGATTTTCAGAACAACCCTTCTCAAGCACAGAGCACTAACCAGCCCTCATGCAGCATTGACTGGTGCCTGGCTCTGGCAGCCCCTATTACACTGAGCTTTGCAGGATCTGGCAGACAGCTAGACTGGAATGGAGCCCACTGTATCCAGCAAGAAAGCAGACAGGCATTGGCTTTGCCCACAATGGAGATTAGACCACTAGCAATCCAGCCCTGGGGCTTCCATGCACCCCATCTCAGGGTACCTGGTAGGCTGGGGCCAACTCCGAGTCTATAACACTGCAATGGCCTAGCCCATAGCGCATGTCTGCCCTGTCTATGGCACCCAATGTATAGCCAGCAGAGAGGGGTCATCTCCCACAGGGCAGCCAGATATAGTTACATCACTGAGACTGACTTTCCCCTGGCTTGACTAGGCTGACCTGCTCTGACCACAGTCACCATTGTCTGCTGGGATTTTTTATGTGACCATAGTTCCTAGACAGCAGAACCCAACTGGGCCTGGTCTCCTCTGGGCTCTCTGCACACGCTGCTGTGCATGACCATCTGTGTCCAGGTCTGCCTCCCTTCTCTAAGGCAGGGACCAAGTGTGACCTCCTCCAGCCCCTAGTTCAGGTATCGACAGAGGGTTCTGTGATCTGGGGACCTTAGGGACTGCCTCTTGCAAACATCCCAAGCTCACTTTTTCTCTTTCTTTATCAGACATGGAAAATAGGGGGTTAGATGTTCCAGTTCCCAGCATGACTTCCTGGGAAGCCCTTTTCTCTCTGTGACCGGTTCTCCTATTTACCTCTTACGTTTTGAAGTCCAGACTCAAGACAGTATGAGGACAAAGGGATAAACCCACCCTCCCCTTTGAAAATCCAGGATGAGAAGTCCCTTCTGGAGCAAGCTGCCCAGGCCCTTCTGCTGCTGCTCCTGCTCCCTGCAAATCTGCAGAATGGGGCAGGAGCGGGGTGAAGGATGCATTCAATTTGTAAACCAGGGTGGAGTGGCTGTTTGAGGCAGCCTGTGTGGCTCTTCTGTTCAAAGCGTTGCCTCTGGCACACTAGTCAAGGATTTGTCCTACTCTTTCTGATCATACACGGTTTATTGCCCTCTGCTTCCTAATGTCTTTTTACCATGGCCATATCTTCTTGGGAGATGCTCACAGGGCCTTTGAGCTGGAAAATCTTGGGTCATTAGCCTCTCTAAGTGAAGTCAAGTGAGTTTGTCTCCATGATGTTTACTTCCCTGCTCCAAGGATGAGGCCTTGGCTGCTCAGACACTCCAAAGCAAACATAGAAATGGGGTGTGGATGAAGGTGGACATAGCTCATGGGAAGTCTAAGAAGCTGACAGAGGCACAGGAAGATGCTTCCCTGTGGGTAGATCCACTAAGTGGCATGAGACCCTCCCCTCTCTGAAGTCTTCATCTTTCCTTTGCATTTCTGGGTCTCGAGCACAGGGAACAAGGGACTGGATCCTCAGGTGAACCTGTCTTGTACCTGCCCCCGCTTGCCAAGCTCCTCCCGTCCCCTCTGTCCTGCCCACTCCCTTCCTCCTTCCTTTCTCTGATTCGATGTTTCAGCTCCCACATTTGGAGGTGACTGCTCACAATGCATCAGCACCCCCCCCCAGTCATTTTTAACTCCCCATCCCACTCCTGTGACCCAAATGTTAGATGTTACACAGTTCTCAACCCAGAATCATCTTGTTGACTTCTGCCCATAGCACTAGGGTTGTGCTGTCCGGTATGGGAGCCTCTAGCAATGTGTAACTATTTAAATATAAATAAATAAGATTAAATTAAAAATTCAGTTTCTCAGTCACCCAAGCCACATTTCAAGTGCCTGATAACCATGTGTGGCTACAGGCTACCATATTGGACAGTGTCGAAACAAAACATTTCCATCACTGCAGAAAGTTCTGTTGGACAGTTGCTGCCAGAGCCTCCAGATGTCTTAGGGTCCCAATTCTTTCACTAGATGCATTCATTATTCCTCCCAGTTCTTCCTTGCCGTCTGGCAAGTTTGACGATACAGAAAAGTGGTAAGATCATCTCTGAAATCAGATAGACCTTAGTTTAAGGCTGGGCATGGTGGCTCACGCCTTAATCCCAGCACTTTGGGAGGCTGAGGCAGGTGGGTCACATGAGGTCAGGAGTTTGAGACGAGCCTGGCCAACGTGGTGAAACCCTGTCTCTTTTGTATCTGAAAATACAAAAGTTAGCCAGGCATGGTGGCACACTCCTGTAATCCCAGCTACTTGGGAGGCTAAGGCAGGAGAACCGCTCGAACCCCGGAGGTGGAGGTTGCAGTGAGCCGAGATCTCACCACTGCACTCCAGCCTGGGTGACAGAGCAAGACTCTGTCTCAAAAAAAAAAAAAAAAAAAAAAAGATAGACCTGAGTTTAAATCTCTGATTTAAAATAGGCTGCTGAGTGGACCTAGGAAGCCTCAGTCTCCTCATCTGTAAAATGGGAATAACCATATTGACCTACGTGGATTGATGGCAGGATTAAATGAGTAAATTTAAAGTAGCTGGCAGAAAGAAGCACTCCACAAATGAGGTTATTATTATTCTTGTTATTAATAAAAAGTTGAACAGCCCAGTGTGAGGCTGAATCCGTATGAAATATTTACATGTGTACACACAGTCAGGGTTGGAAAATGAGTGCAGTGACAGAAACAGCAATGACGAATGTACATCTATCCCTTGGCCTCTTGAGGATATTTCTATTTTGGGTGCTATTTCCACACCATATTGATTTTAAATCAATTGTTAAGAGCTTTTCATTGTTTCACAGTTTTCAGAAGCATGTCTCTCCTTCAGATATTCAGTAGCTCCCCCTGGCAACTTTCATCAATGAGTCACTTTTATGGAGGCCAAGCAGTAGGGACAAGCTACTAGGTCAGCCAGGAGTCAGCTCCAGGCCACTGTGGGGAGACCCACAGAAGCTTCTTGACATGGTCATGAACTGGTTGTCAGTGTGACCAGGGTGAGCCAGCTCACCACTCTTTGTTTTCTCTTCCTCCAGTCTCCAGTCCCCATAATGACATAATAAATGGGGTTGTCAAAGATCAAATAAGGTTATTGAATCAACATTCATTTCCTTGTGGGTACACCTGTGTCTGACATCCGTGGGGCTTGGTTCTACATTAAGCCTTAGTAGATTCTCCGTTCAAATGTTGACTAGATACCTGATCATGTAAACGTCCTATTTAGAACTATGCTATGCATCTTGCAAAAGTGGAAC
The DNA here is from genome assembly GCF_000001405.40 of Homo sapiens. Lineage (NCBI taxonomy): Eukaryota > Metazoa > Chordata > Mammalia > Primates > Hominidae > Homo > Homo sapiens. Next base: position 68,426,132 of record NC_000016.10, on the reverse strand, counting down.
AGGATTATTGATACTGTAGTAGATAAGATGGCTAAAATAGAGCCTCTATTTTATTTTCACCTTTGTTGTGTCTTAAGTCTGAAGTTTATTTTCCTTGAGGAAAATCTAGCCCATCATCAGCACTAGGGATCCCTGCTTCTTTTTAAGCAAATCCACTCTCAGTGCTCCCTTAGCATCCTCCACATGGAATCCTCTGTGCTGGGGGTACATTGTCACCTCAGAGACACACATGTGATTGACTTCCTCGCGGCATAGTGCAAGGGAGGAGGGCTGACAAACCCAGGTGTTGTTCCTTCTGGGTGGCACACCTCTCCCTCTCTTTCAGCAGGGAGTGCTTGTTCTCCAGATCCCCACCACCCAGCCCCAGCCTGGGCTGGCCCGAGGCCGGATATCTTGCTGAGTATCCCACCACCCTCCCAGCCTGCAGATTCACCCATCCTTATTGCCTCACAGTGCTAACAGCAATCTGAAGAGCTTAGGGTCAGCATTGATGTGTCCCATGGCGCTGCCACCTCCCTGCCCCTGTCATCACAGCCTCCTTGGTTTCTGCCCATCCTTCTTCTGACTCTGGCTCCTTAGGGCCCGCCCCCCCACCCATTGTCCTCATGGCATCCAGTGGAGTTTGCCTCCTGTGGCTGTCACTCTGCAAAAGCCAAAGACCCTCTCCAAGAGATGAGGAAGCTGGGCCCCTTCGCTCCCTCCTACTGATTATTCATGTGAAACCTTGGAACCATCCAGCTGGAGGAGACCCTCTTGGCATGCAGGGCTCTTGCCCCTGCCTTCACCCATCCCAAGCAGTCTATTTCTTTTGAATAGGAAAGATTCTCCCTCACCAGTTCCAGCCTTGACTTCGGTGCACCTCCAGAGACATCCATGAAGTTCTGTTTTGATTTCCCATATACAGAGAATTGACAACCAAAGGTCTAAAGCCAGAGGTTCTAATTCTGGCCCTTGTAAGCCCTACTATCTGATAAGTGGGAGTGAGTGCCATGACTACCAACCCACAGGCACCATCCCATCAGCTGAGGCCCAGGCCTCTCTTCCACATCTTCCTGGGAGGAGGTTTCTGCATCTTTTATTAGGGACTGTTTTCTTAAGAACATTCTTCTGGTTTATAATATAGCCAGGCGCAGTGGCTTATACCAGCAATCGCAGCATTTTGGGAGGCCAAGGTGGGCAGATCACTTGAGACCAGGAGTTCAAGACCAGCCTGAGCAACTTGGTGAAACCCTGTCTCTACCAAAAATACAAAAAATTAGCCAGGCATGGTGATGTGCACCTGTAATCCCAGCTACTCAGGAAGCTAAGGTGGGAGGATCACTTGAGCCCAGGAGGCGGAGGTTGCAGTGAACTGAGATCATGCCACTGCACTCCAGCCTGGGTCACAGAGTGAGACCCCATCTCAAAAAAAAGAGAAAACATTCTTCTGGTTTATAATAGAGTCATGAAGACAGTAACTTTGCAAGAGAATAGAGTCATCAAGACAGTAACTTTGCTGATGCCTGGCGTGGCGCTGAACCATTCTGTGTGGATTCTCCCATTTCATCCCCTCAGCTGTTGTATGATGCAGCTACTATGATTACCTCCATTTTACAGATGTGAGAATTGGGGTTCATAAGTAAAATTACTTTTCCCAGGTCACTGTGGAGTCAGGCCCAACATGACTTGAGGGTCTGACTGTTCGACCATGATCCACAGGCCCTTGCACACAGGACCAAAGCTCTGCAGGCAGTGCCCAGGAGTCACAAGGGTCTCTGCTGATGCTTATTCCCCCTACGGCCCCTGCAGCCCCATTGTGGAGGGGCAAGTGAAGAAGGCAGAAGGCAGACTTAATGCTGGGGCTGGGAGTTCAGGATTCAAAGCTTCAAGATGGTATCTTTAGGATAATTACATCCTGCCATGTATACACAGGAGTAAGGACATGGCAGTACTCCTGGCCAAAGAGAGGATTCAGGAGAAACTGTTGTTCCCACAGCCAGTGACCAGGGCAGGCTTAGCCAGGGGGCCTAGGACCCTCTGGCACCCTAGGACCACCTAGGCCCCCTGGCTAAGACTGCCCTGGCCATTGGCTAACTCCTTGGGCTTTGTGCAGGGAGGGCCTGACTGGGCAGGTGACGTCCCCAGGCCGAGCCCTTGGTCACCTTGGGCCATGTCCACCCTCACTGTGGACTGTTCACCGCCACTGAGGCCTCCAGACCTTCCATCTCCCCAGCACTGCTCTGCTGGGTGACATCACCGCCTCCTCAGCCACTGCTGGGGTCCAGAACCACCCACATCAGCCTCCATAACTTGTTTCACTTGTGCCAGTCTGTTCTTTCATGCTCAGAGTGCCCCACGGGGTCTGGAATAGTGCCAAGCTTAGGAAGTACCTGCTGGTGGGTAAAAAATGAGGTGGTCCTAAGCTCCTTGGCTAAGCCTGAAGCAGAGATCTGGGGTTCAGGAACAAGACCAGTAGGAAGAAAAAGACTCAACCCAGTTTGCTGGTGTCTTAGTTCATTTTCTATTGCTGTAACAGGACACCTGAGACTGGGTAATTTAGAAAGACAAGAAATGTATTTCTTACAGTTCTGGAGGCTGGGAAGTCCAAGATCAAGGGGGTCGCATCTGATGAGGGTCTTCTTTCTGTGTCATAATATGGTAGAAGATGGAGAGAGATAGAGAGTATGCCAGCTCAGATCTCTCTTCCTCTTATAAAGCCGCCAGCCCCATCATGGATCCCCACCCTAACTACCTTAACTAATCCTAATTACCACCCATAGGCCTCACCTCCAAATGCCATCAATATATGAATTTGGAGATTAGGTTTCTAACACAAGAAATTTGGGGGACACATTCAAACCATAGCAGCTAGTAAGTAACTCTCTGAGGAATCCCAGGAAGCATCTTCAGCTACTCAGAGCAAGGTCACAAGAAGGGAATGATCTTTGAGATCCCTTTTGTGCCATAAAGGAGGTGACAAGGAGGCCAGAAAACCTTGGTCAAAATCCTGACTCTGATGCTAACTTGAACCAATTACTTCACCTCTTTGAGCCTTAGTTTCCTCAGCTGTAAAATAAGGTAATACCAGTGCCTGTCTCTTAGGTTGTTGTGAAGATCACTGAGCTAATAACTTTGAAAATGACTGTGAAGCCCCCGCTGAGAACTGTGGAAAGGTTTACCATTACAACTAAAATCCTCTAAATCAGGCTGGGGCTGTATATGTGTTCAATGGTTAAGGAAACTGGTGCTTTTCAAGGAGACTCCAATATTCTAGCTGAAAAGGACCTCAGAGATCCTCACATTAACCTCCTCACTTTAACGAAGGAACCAGTGCAGCCCAGCCCAGAATCTCCCAGCAGCCTACACGCCACCTCTTTCTCTGCAGCAGGTACACCCAGGGGAGGCAGAAACTCGCCCACTATTCCCTGGAGGTTAAAATAAGGAGACTGCATGGGAAGCAATTTGCAGTCATCTCAGATCTGTGGCTAAGGAGAAAATTCCCTCCCCTTTTCTCCAAACCCTCAGCATCATCAAACTAAACAACCCCTCAGTGGGAGGTGGAATTCTTCACCACCAGTTCTCACCTGACTGGAGGCCTCCAAGCAGCTGGGCCTGTACTGTTTTTTATTTCAACAACAGCAAAACCTTCTTTTCCTCCCTCTGAGCACTTTACTATACTCTGTTTCCTGCACATTCTTCCAGCTTCTTGCTCAGGGGCCTTATACGTCTATCTTGTCCAAGCACCTGCCCAGATCACAGCAAAATGAGAACCAGGCCCAACATCCATGGCTTTCCCAGTTCTGGGCAAGGGAAGAGGTTAATTCAGATTCCATGAGGGCCTCTGCAGAATCACAATATTTCCTCACCTAGGATAAATTCCACCTCCTTCTGAGGATTTCTGCTGTAGTTTGGTGATGCTGAGGAATATGTTATCTTACAGTTTTGGAGGTCAGAAACCCAAAATCAATTTCACTGAGCTAAAATCAAAGCATCAGCAGGCTGGTGTTCCTTCGGGAAGCTCTAGGGGAGAATCTGTTTCCTTCTAACTTCTAGAGCCTGCCTATATTCCTTGGCTCCTTGCTCCTTCCTCCATTTTCAAAGCTTCAGCCTCTGCTTCCTTGTCATCCTCTTCTTCCACCTTCAGCGGTCTTGCTTCCCTCTCAAAAGGATCCTTGTCGTTACGTTGGGCCTATCTGGATAATCCAGGCTTCTCTCCCCATCTCAAGATGCTTGACTTAATCACATCTGCAAAGTTCCTTTTGCCACATAGAGTAGCATATTCACCAGTTCTGGAGATTAGGATATGGACATCTTTCAGGGGCTACTACCAAGTCTAATAGGCAGGCCACTGGACCCCTAAGCCTTGGTTTCATCAAGCAAGTAGGGAAGAAAAACAATGCCCACCCCTAGACTCTTTAATGGGTCGAACTCAATGGTGCCCTGGAATGTCAATGGCTAGGAATGGAGGCCGAGCTATGAGTATCAGGCCTCATTCCCTAGCCAAGTCAAAGAGATGTGTCTGGGAGGTGGTAGAGTGAGGGAGTGGGGCTTGGACTTAATTGTTTTACTGGACATGGCTTCTTCAGGTGTACTGGGGGAGTGGTTTGCACAAACACTGCCAGGTTGGTCATAAGTCTGTCCCCCTGGCTCATTGCCATGCTGGCTTTGGCTCCATTGCCTCTGGTCTCTTCATCCCCCACCCCACATACCTATCTTCCTGTGCTGTCATTCCAAAGCACACATATAACCACGTCTCTCCCTTTTGTGGCTCCCCCTCATCCTTGGGTGGAGGTTCAAGCTCTTTACCTTGAGTTACACAGTCTCTGCCATTCCCCACAAGCGCCAGACAGAGCCACAGAAAGCAGGTGGCAGATGTGCGAGGGCAGAGCTGGGAATGGGGGTGAAGCAGATGAGGGAGGATGGGGATACTGTGCAGATGGTGTTGCAGGGACGGGCCTGACTCCAGGGGCCCCTGTGTACAGAGGCAGTTGGTGCCGACATGCTGGTGGTCTCTGGCTGTGAACCCAGGTGGGCCAGTGAATGAGCATCAGGTAGAACCCAGCCCATCAGAGCTGTTGGCCTGGTCCTGACTCAAATGGGAGTGGCTTCTGGGTGCTGGTTATTGTTCTGAAGTCTGGAAGGACAAGAGGGGAAGTCTTTTCTCCACAAATGATTTTGGCCAAACCCCAGGGATGGAGAATGCCCACTAGGACCTGGATGAGCTGAAGGCCATAGCTTGCTGAGGGAGCGATTTGGTCTCTCTCTGCATTAGCTGAAGACATGTTGAAGTGGGTTCAGGGCCCCCACCTACCTGAGTCACCATCATGAAGCTTAATTAATGCTTACAAAGTGCTCTGAGGCCTTGACTGAGAGGCCTCATGTGAACACAGAATATCCTTATTAATCACTGTGACAGCACCAAGTGAGGTGGCCTATGGGGCAGCTGCCTCCACACACAGAACAATGGATGCAGCCCAGCAGTTAAATTGCGATTTTGAAGAGTAGTCCTGATCAGCTGGTTCAAAAGCAGCTTAGCTGGAGGAGGCAGGCCTGCCTAGGAGCCACTTAACTCACCTGGCCCTTATCTCCCATGCATTAAGTTGAGGCAATAAAACGCCCCTCCCTGCTGGGCAGGGATAATGGGAGGACTGTCAGGTAATGGTGAAGCATCCCTTTTAAGCCTGGGTAACCAGGCTATTAGCCTAGCCAGAGGGAGCCAACTGGAAGATCATATAGGCTCCGTACCAGGCTGAGTGTCTTTGGACAAGTCCCTCAACTTCTCTGAACCTCAATTTCCTCATCTGCAAAGTGGGACAATAACAATTGTACCTTTTTCCTTATAGGATTGCGAAGTTCAAATGAAATGGATATGAAAGGTGCCTATAGTAATGATATTAGTAATAAGAATAATGGCCGGGCATGGTGGCTCACACGTATAATCCCAGCACTTTGGGAGGCTGAGGCAGATGGATCACCTGAGGTCAGGAGTTCGGTACCAGCCTGGCCAACATGGCAAAACCTGTGCATGCCTGTGGTCTCAGCTACTTGGGAGACAGGTGGGAGGATTGCTTGAGCCTAGGAGGTTGAGGCTGCAGTGAGCCAAGATCACACCACTGCACTCCAGGCCATGTGACAAGAAAGACACTATCTCTTAAAAAAAAAAAAAAAAAAGCAATAGCTATTCGGGATACTACATGTTCCAATAATCAGCTACTCTGATCCCCACTTTACAGATGAGGGAGCCCAAGAACAAAGTGACCTCCAAGTTCCCACAATTAGTGATAGGTGGAGCTGGAACTCAGGCAGTCTGGCTTCAAAGTCTGTTCTCTCCCCCACTCTCTGATGCTGCCTTTATCATTAGTGTCATTATACTCATTTTAGGAGTAAGGCTTCATTATGGTTGTCATCTTCATCATCATCATTACATGGGGTTCATGGAAGCTGGGCCCTGGGGCATCTGTGCTATGTTGGAGGTGAGGAGGGTTCTCTCTATCTTCCATAGGAAGGGAGGAAAGTTATTGTTGTCAAGATAGAGGTGAAGTACATGGTTTTTCTCTTACCAAAACTCTGGAGATGCAAGGAAATGTGTAACAGGATTTGAGGAAAGACAGTCAACAGATGTTGGATGCTGCATCCCCATCCTGCCCCATCCCTCTGGCTAGGCGTTGAGGGGGACATTGTCCCCACATGTGATATACAATGAGCTGCCTGTGGGTGATAGGGCAGTAGATTCCTGGCCACCCAGCCATCACCTGTTTCTCCCGCACTGGCTGATCCCCCAAAGGAAGGTTCCAGAGACCTGACACAAAATCCTCAGTCTTGTTAATGTGCTCAATGCATGTTCCAGAACTTCAGCCAGTCCCTGCAGTGGGACCCTGGCTCAAGCGCCATCAACCTTGACTTCTTCCTGTCTCATTGGTGGCCATAGCTGCTCTGGGCAGCTTCCTCCAAGACCCCCCGACCCTCCTAAACCAGCCTTAGAGGGTATGGTCCAGCATCCCTTACCCCTCCAGGACTAGACAGCCCAGCCAGATACTAGCTGTGGCCCCTAGCCACTACTTCTTCATCCCTCTCACCTCTCCTGAGGCCTATTTCTACAAATAGACCATACTGGGGCCTGCCCTGTACCCAGCTTTGCCCTCATGCCACACTCTCTCCATCCTGTCCTTGACCCCTTCCTCAGCATCCTGCACTCACACCATCCCTTTCTCCCCTCTAGGAGGATACATCTAGCAGACCCATTCTAGACCCAGCATACAGAAGGTTCCCTGCTCTGGCCTTCTCATCACCCAAAAGGACAAGAAAGTCCAGACCCATCTTTAGACAAGCTCAAGACTATGGTTCAGGCCCACCTGACATTTACAAGGAGACAGAGCCAGGGGCAGGCTTACTTTAGAAATGAACAAAAGAGTTTCCCAAGCTACCTCCCCTTTGAAATGGGCATCCCTGTTCTCATATGGGATCCAAACTGGTTTGCAAGGTAACGTGTGGTATATGGGGTGCTAGTGTAGACTATAAAATGCATTGAATCCTCCTCTGCTGCCTGCAGGGGGATGTGATGTCAACATGGATGTTGTTCTTTGCCTTCCCCATTTGCCTTTTGGGGAATATGTCCCTATCAGGAAAGTGAGTCTCTCACCCTAGGAAAGCTCTCTACTTTAAAAAATTTAGTGCAATTCTTTTTATATCAGATGGTTATATTTAAAGTATTCAAAGGCCTAGATTTGCATCGTCTTGGTTAAATTACTCATCACCCATCTCTCATCTACAACCTTTTTTTTTTTTTCATTTTATGAAGGCTTCATTTACATAAAGAGTCTTAGTTTTCCTCCAGCCAAGTAGGTGCTCATTTCTCTTGTGGGTATTTGAGTCATGTATCTACCTGCCTGGATGAACTCGGTGGGCATCTACACGGGACCTTCTGCTGCGGCACACCGTCTGCTGTGAGCTGCAGGTGCCTGGGTAGGCATCTTTCTCCCATGAGAAAGTGAAACCCAACAAGCCAGAAATGCACCTTGGCTGACAGCCCGCACACAACAGGAAGGGAGTGGGGGCAGATCCGGCAACATGATAGGGCACTTTCTTGAGAGCACAGGATTTTATAAAAAGTTGTTATGAATGTGTACCATTTATTGAGCACTTGATATGTACCAGGCATGTGCTTGTTGTATTTTTCTTCAGAATAATTATGTGATGCAGGCATCAGGCCCACTCCTTGGCTGAATAAACTAGGGCTTAGAGAAGTTGTAACTTGGCAAATGTCCCAGAGCTGGTAACCGGCAGACAGGTCTGTCTGACACCACACCCCCATGGCTGTATGTATGTGTTTACTCATTTATACCCTACTTCATTCCACGCAGGGTTTGAGGCAGCTCAGACGGAGCTGTGTGATATAGCAAAACGACACAAAGAACAATAGCAAGGAAAGCACGTTAAGGGAACTCTGAAGGTACCAGCATCTTTGTCTAGTAGCGTGTAGGTCTAGGACTGGTCTCCAAGCTTCCTAGCAGCCAAAGCAAAGAAAGCCCAATCTCTTCCCCAGTTGTTTGTGTTTGTATCATAAACACAATCCAAACACAGACCAAAGGCCAAAAGAAGCACAATATTTCCTAAGTCCAAGTTCAAAAATAAACAAATGTCTCTCAAGTGGCTCCTTAGGGAGGCTTGAATGCAATAAAAGAGTAACAGTAGAACAATTGAGGGGGCTTTGTCAGCAGCCCCAGCATAGCAGGGCCAGAGTGGCTCTGGAGTGGGGTAAGAGGCTATCAATCAACCCAGCCCCTCTTAGCTGAGTCGGGATAGCTGTCATAGCCTGGGTTCCCTGAGTGTGTGCGAATTTGTTGATGAGTTCAGGGAAGTGAAGAAGGCAGGATCAGGCAGATGGAGAAACAGACCCAGACTGTGGGTGCAAATGAGACCTCAGCAGTTCTACAGGGAACTCAGGAGCTGAGATAGCTCCTCAGAGTTGTCCCAGATGGGGGCCAAGGGACCTGGCCTTGGTACCCCCTCCCCATCTGCCAATCATTCAGAAAGGGCTTAATTTTGAGTGAGGCAGTTTGCCTCAGCTGAGGGCAATGCCTAGGGAGGGACACAGCTGTGAGATGTCCCCAGTACCCAGGGGATGGGTGCACCAGCCCTGAAGACAGGGTCTAAGTGGAAACCACGGCAGCCACCCCAAAGAGCCCTTGGGTACAGCTTTTGTGACTGAGTGCCCTGGCAATCAGGAAGCAGCTTTCCAGCCACAGAGCTCTCCTGGGACTGAGGCATCTTCCAGCGACACGGGCCTCCCACCTAGACCTGACAGGCCTCAGGACCAGCCAAGTTGCCCCTGGAATATAGCATGGCCTATGCTCTGACACACCTGTGCTCTGACCCACCGGACAGATAGGGCTTGAAGCCCCAGTGGCTGCATGGGTGACAACAACTTCAGCCTGGAAACTATTAAACACTCACCTAAGGCACACCTACCTACATTCACACAGCTTCAGAAATAAAAGCGCCACAAAGCACCTGGCTTTAGCAGTATTGTTACTTCCTGGTGAACCTGCCAAGGTAAACTGTTTGCTGAGCATACAAGGACGAGGCAGAATAAGGGAACAAGTTTGATGTTGCTGTTAAGAGGGAAACTGCTAGGGTTAGAAGACAACAACGGCCTTAGATTGTGTAAGGTTTGCCGGTAACATTCTGGACAGGAGGGTAGGAGGGATTAGGGAGAAACCCAGCTGGGCGGTGGCAATGATTTGTGGAGGGAAGAGTGGGACGGGAAGTAGAAGCCTGGGACAACTCAGGGTCGGAGGCCCCAGAGAGAGGGAGATGGGAAGGGGCTCACAGGGAACAATGGGGAGACCAGGGAAGAGGGCGAGGCCTAGAGCAGGGGAAAGGGTCGGGCTCTGAGCTATGACCCATGTCAGTTTTCATTCACAGGAGTTCTCCCTGGCCTGGGCCCAGCAGGAAGCGCTGGCACACACCTGATTACGGGCACAGTGGCAGCAGCAACCTGTTACTGTCCTTCATAGAGGTCTGGTCTCAGAGTCTTGCAGGAGGCAGAATCCACAGTTCCATCCAGGTTTCCATTTGGTTCTGCCTGGCTCTTCCAGCAGCCCTTGCAGCGCAGATGTTGTCGGTTTGAATCTGATGTGATGAACTCTTTAAATAGCTACCCTAATGGATAATCAATCATTTCAGAGCTTTAATACTAAATCAGGCCGTTGGACACATCTGGGGGCAAAGCTGTTTGTAAAGGAGCCAAAAACTGCCCTTTCTCTTTTACTTTGTGAGGCAGAATATGTCACATTAAATACCTAAGGGTCTAGGACAAGTCTCTTGTAACCTAAAAAAAAAAAAAAAAAGCTGAAGAGGTAGACTCTTCAAGAGTCTGCAAATTACATATGAAATTTGTAGATCTTTTTAAATTAGATTCTTCATCTGAAGAGTATAATGAATAGTAAAATAGAACCTCATGTTAACATTTAAAATAAGCATCCGCTATATATATTTTTGCTATATTTTTAAAAGTCAATATTAAAATAATACAAACACAGTAGTCATGGTTACACTTTTCAGGTTACCTAAATTTAAAAGGTACTGGAAGAAAGAAATTTTAAGCCGTAGGTTAACGTTTCCGTAGACAGATCTCCTGAAAATGCCTGGGAAGCCTGCTTTGAACCTTCTGTCCAGGAAAACAAACCATCTGCAAAACTGCAGAGTTGGCTCAAACTGCAGCTAGACCCTCAGCATTGCTGAACGGGCAGAATTCCCCACAGTTTGACCCAGTGATGAGCCCGGCCTCTCAGGCATCCCCTTACTGCCTGACCCCCAAGGACTCTTGCCTCAGGGACCCACTCCACGCTCTCTAGCCACCTCTCTGCCCACTCCTTGGGTTTCTCCACAAACCCAAATGTCAGGGACTCCAGGAGCTTCTTCCTGGCCCTCTTTGGGTCTCACTCTGAACTCTCCCCATGGGATTTTATCCACTCTCTGGGCGTTACCTGTAGGATGCCCTTGCCTACCTTTCAGTCTCTGGCTTGAGTTTCTCCCTAATGGCACAGTTTATGGCCCATGTTCTCATGGATCCACCTGGATGTCCGCCAGCCACCTTAGTTGTCACCTGCGCATCTCTGACTCATCATAGATGCCCAAACCCACAGCACCCATTCCGTCTCAGATGAGGCCTCAGCATCCACCCAATGCATAGGTCAGAGGCCTGAAAGACCCCCTGCTAGGCCCACTCCCTCTCACTGTCACTGTCACACCAGCCATTGGTCCGTCAGTCTTCCAGATTCATCATCTCCTGCCTTCTGTCACCATGTCCCTGGGTGACCAAGGCCACCTCCTACCTGGCCCTGCTGCCTCTGAGCCTTCCCCTCCCGGCAGCCCATGTGGCCTTTGTAGAACACAAATCAGGGCATGCCACTCAATCTGATGTCTGCAGGATCTGGCTGCTGCCAGCCTTCCTCATCTCATGCCATGCCCTGTTGGCCAGAGCCAAGAGCCAGCACTTTCCCCTACAAGTCTTTGTGCATGCCATTCCTTCTGTTCCTGCTTGGACACAAACCAGGACATGAAGACTGGCTCCTACCTGTGGGGCTTAGAGGCCTCCCAGGCCCAGAGTCTCCCACCAGGAAATCTGACTGCCAGACCTAGCATTAGGACTGACTCCATCTCCCAAACCCCCTCCTCTATCCTCCAGTGGGTGGCCCAGTGTGGGAGAGACCAGGCTGAGCCTACCCCACAGGTGGGACTGCACATAATTGAGCCCGGGTCAAGCCTTGCTAAAGAAGGGTCACAGACATTTCTTACATTCCGAAAGATACTTTCACAGATTTCCTCCAAGTTCTGAATTAATAAAGAGGAAAGTGAGGCTTTTACTCTCTAGGCTGTTTTCAAAATATCCTATTGTCCTCCCTTCTCTTGCTCAGCTTCACAAAAGCAGTGAAATTCCAAGTGCCCTTTTAAAATGTCGAAATAGCCATCTTGAAGTTATTTATCTTCCAGCTGGAAGGACTTCACAGGTCACCCAAGCCTATACTCAGCCTAGCCCTGTTAGACTATGGGAACAGAGTTGGGTGGCTGAGGTGGGGACAGAGACCAGAGCAGGGAATCTGTCTCTACCATAGTCTGGCAGCGCCATCCTCAGACTCTGTATAGCCAGCGGGCCAACCTTCATCTGTCCACACCTCAGGTGGAAAGTCACAGCTAGGATGGTGAGAAGGTTCTGAGTGTCCACCCACCCAGACCTTGACAGGAGGTGCCCCAGGCCCTTCAGGAGAGCACCAGAACAGCACCAGAGCATGCCAGGTTTTATATTTGGTGTGTAGCAGCTGGTCAGGGATTCTGATCCAGGACTCCTGCTCTGTACAGCCCATGCTCTACCCATTAAAATCACTGATTTCATGTCCTTGAACCTACAAACAGGAATTTAACACACAGAGGGGAGAGTGGAGAGGGGATTATTATGAGCTGTTTCCAGAGGAGGATTAGACCATTTTTTGGATCCATTTCAATGCACTGCCACGTTTTCATGACTAGCCTGGAGTTCTGAGTCCATATATCTTTTTATAGTTTGACCTTTACACAGGAAAAAACCTCAATGATTTTCCACTATTTTGAATAAGCTGAATGATTTTCTATGTTTTCTGAATGATTAAGGAATGAAAAAACAGAGCCTCTCATCATCAAAGGCCTTGAGGGATAATTTTCTCTGGAGGACAGGGTTCACAAAACTATCTTCCAGGTGAGCCAGTCCCTTCCTCATGATGGAGACCTCCTGTTGGATAGACCAGCTATCTTGCAGCTATCTTCCAGCTGCAAGGCTTCACAGCTCATGCTTTCCCATGTGGAAAGGGGAGCTTTATCCTGGAGCAGAGGCAGAAGAAGGGCCTTCGCCTCTCAGAGTGGCCAAAGCTATGGAGGCCAGGGCAGAAAATCGGTCCCCACAGTGAGCTGATGGGACAGTGACAGCCATCACCACCACCCTGGAAAACATCACCGAAACTCAGGCCCTGTGCATCCAGCAAAGCCTCATTCACCTGGTGTCAAAGAGCAGGCATTCCACATAGGCCCCAGGCCAAGGACTTGAGCCACGCCAAGGGTGAAAAGAAAAAAGCATTAGCGGCATGAGCTGGGATACATCACTTCAGCTCTCTAAGTCTGTTTTCTTTTCTATAAAATGACATAGATAATAGTTACTTGTAGGATTGTTAGGAGGTTAACATGTTTAAGATGGTGTGTATGTAGCAGGTACTCAAAAAATGTTCTTCCATCCCCTCTTCAAATGCCCAACTTTTAAAAGCACAGCATATTCCTCTAACATCTACCATACACTACCCTGCCTTCCTAAGCAATGAAGATGGAATATTATTTTACAATGTCTTGATAACTTGGGGAGCCTCATTATGAAAATATGGGAATCACAGAATGTCTATCTTGAGTGGGAATTGGCAGGCTTTCCAGGCTGATTCCTCACTGTGATGATCTCGCACATTCAAGATTTGCAGAGCCTTAGAGTTTTTCTTTTGGGCTTGATTTTCTTTGTAATTGAAACCAGGTACCAATGTCTATCAGAACTGTGTGTTAAATGAAGCAGGTAGGCTCTGAGTGAGGGCCTCTGCCTACAGGTGAGCAGGCAGGGACTGGGGGTGCTGTGGCCACCATTTTGACTCTTCAGAGCTGCTTTCTACTTACTCCTGGATTCACCAGCTATGTTTTGGGAGATAGGTGTGGCTGGAAATCTGTTGGATTTCCTGATCTGGACCCTTTACATGTTTGATGTTAGGTGGTTTGGTCACTTGTGGGTCTTGGGGGCTATCACCCTGGCTGTGGGTTTCCTCCCCGCCCACTCCCAAGGGTTGTATCTGGCAACCAGGAATGGCAGTGCGTGTTGGCACAGGGCTTGGGCTGCTGTGGGCGTACCTTGACAGGCAGTGAGATTTTCTTCTGAGTCCCCACCAACTGCTCATTCCTCATCATCTTCATGCCCTCCCCTCCTTAGGCTTTTCCTAGGAAGTTGCCCCAGGCCTTCCCCAGCCTCCTCTGGCCTCCCGGGCACAGCTCCGCCTAGCAACTGCCTCTGCCTCCCTGGCCCCGTGCACTGCACTTTCCCAGAGCACCTCCTGCCTCCTTCTTCCTTCCCCCATGCCCTCATTTCTGTTCCAGGCATGCTGGCCTCCCAGCCACCATGTCTCAAAAGCTCCCCCACCCCAGCCTCTCCCCTCTGGCCCAGAGGGTGGCCAGGTGCTGATCCAGACTCCTGGATTTCTCCTGTCTATCATTTTCATTCCTGCCCCCAATTCTGAGCTTCCTCCCAGTCTTCAGCACTTTTTGATGCTGTCCCACTGCCCTAGGATCCCCAAGGTGTCACAGCCACTTCCTCTGGCTGCTACCAGGGTGAGGCAGAGAAGGCATTAGGAGCTCCACTTTACAGAATAAAACATCAAGGTTAATGCATGGGGCTTGCTTGAGTGATCCAGCTTGTTCTACAAGGATGCTCTACGTGGCTGCTGTTCCCCCACTGCTGGGTGTAGGCCTCATCTTTGATCGTTATCCATTATCACTTCCACCTGCCCAGTCTCAAGTCCTGTGGGCAGCCCTGCTGGCCATCAGCTCATGCTCAGTCTCTCCTCCCTCCATCACCCTCCCATCCCTCACTCACCAGCCTCCACCCATGCCTGCAGTGGGAGGGTGGGAGAGGCCCTAAGCAGGAATCAAGATGGGTAGGTGCTCATTTGGGCCCCACAAGACCAGGTCTCTAGCCTGAACTATAGTGGTGACCTTGTAGAGGATGGTGGTTGTCCTCAGACACCAGCTCTGGCCAGGCAGTGTGGCCGCCACACCTGGAGCTCCCCACCCCAACACTGCAACAGCACCCAAGTGCCAAGTGCCCAAGGAGTTTGTGCCCCTCTGTGATCACTGGACTGAGGTGGTCCTGGCAGGAGAACAGGCCTGGGCCTGAGGTTGGGGGAGGGCACTGTGCTGACACTCCCCAAAGATCTCTCCTGACCCCGGCCTGCTTTGCCTGGAGGCTGCCCTCCCTCATGCCCACAGGGACATTCTGGTCATAGAGGAGTGCAGCCACATGGCCTCTTCCTGCTGGCTCCTTAAACTCTGGCCTTCTCTGTCATCAAGGTGTGATCACCCCCACACTCCAACACTGGCAGCTGATGATGCCCGCCCATTCCCTGCTTAGGCAGAACTCACTGGCATCTGCCGTGAAGTCTGAGTGATTCCTGACCTCACTGTGCAGGTGCCATGGCCCGTCATTAGGAGTCTTCACTCTGCCGGAATTCACAGATGCAAGGTGCCTCGATGCTGCAGGTGTTCCTGTTACTCTTTATTTTACCTAAATTACTTGTAACAGGAACATTGTGCCCTTCAGTTGGCCTACGATTTAAGTCCTTCTCTGTGTCTGGGAAACTTTTGAATTAAAAACAAACAAACCAAAAAACTCGGGATGCTGGAGTATTTCCATCCGTGATGGTGGAGAAACAGATAAAATGACTCTCAGTCAAACTCTGCAAGAAAGCGAGGATTTATAGTCAGGAAGGCTCTGCACTTACAGCTTTTTAATGAGCCTTAGGTGTCCAAAGTTGGGCTGATTTAAATCCAGTAGTATCTACTATGATTTTTAACACCTTGGGTTGCCAGATTTAGCACATAGAAATAGAGGACACTCCTAGCCCCACTGCCCAAATAGCCTGAGGCTGGGGGTGACAGTGCTGATGCCTGGAGAAATGGGGAGGAGATTCATGTGTGTTTGTGCCTGGACCTCAGACTGGCATCCAAGATGACAACACCAACAATGTTCATGTTGGTGGGGCCACCCCTGGTCTGTGGATGGCATGGCCCATCGCCTCTGCCCTCACCTCCTCCCTCCCCTGGGAGCATCTGGAGCCTGAGCCCTGTGCTTCCTGACACCTGTGGAGTAACCACAGTTTGTGACACCAGCCCCAGCACCCACGGGGCATTCGTGTGTGCCGGGTACTGGCTGCAGGTCCTCTGAGTACTGTCTTCAGTCCTCTTGCGGTGGAGCTGGAGACAAGGAACTGCCCCACCAGGGCCTGCATGTGATTCTTACAGCCCTCGGGACAGGCAGGTCTTATCTCTGCCTCGTTAGGGTCAGAGAGGCCCTGGGGCTTGCCCACATGGGTGACTAACCTCAGCCTCCTCTCCCATGAGGTGTGAAACCTCTTGTCAGGTAGGTGACGGTCTGAGGGAAGGAGCTGGTGGCTCTTCTCATCCCCAGGACAGGATAATAACCAATCATTGGCTGGGCGCGGTGGCTCACGCCTGTAATCCCAGCACTTTGGGAAGCTGAGGCGGGCAGATCACGAGGTCAGGAGTCGAGACCATCCCGGCTAAAACAGTGAAACCCCGTCTCTACTAAAAATACAAAAAATTAGCCGGGCGTGGTGGCGGGCGCCTATAGTCCCAGCTACTCGGGAGGCTGAGGCAGGAGAATGGCGTGAACCCAGGAGGCGGAGCTTGTAGAGAGCCGAGATCGCGCCACTGCACTCCAGCCTGGGGAACAGAGTGAAACTCCGTCTCAAAAAAAACCAATCATGATGACCATGCACCAAGTGCATCTGAGTCGGGCACTGGGACAGGATTTTGTGTGCAGTTTACCCTCATGACACCTTCACCTCGTGTTATTTAGGTACTGTTAAAATGCCCACTTCAGAGATGGAAAAACGGAATCCCAGAGAGGAAACCTGACTTACCCAAATCCCAACTCTGGCAGGCATTAGAGCTGCTGCCCACAACACAGACCCAGCCCGAGTCAGGCGTGTAAGACTCACACTGCTCTGCCATGACCACAGGTGTGTCCTGCTTACAGATATGCCTCTCCCCTCACTGCACCCCCTCCCCACATCCCTCACCTCTCAGGAAAGGCACTCTCTGCTGGGGCCAAAGTGAGCCCTCCGGGCAAGGTTTCGAGCAAGATGATGAAACACAAAAGAGCTTTAGAGCTGCAAAGGAATGAGCTCGGAGTAACTGAGTACAAAAGCTGGGAAAATGCAGTGCCTGCTGGAATTCCACCCTTAAAGCCTGCTGGGAGAATAGATAGAGACAGGTCAGCATTGTCAGCGAGGGTCCTCTCCCTACACACACACCCCAGTCACCTGCAGTGCAGGGCCCTTGTGAGACCTCAGCGACCTAGGTGGAGCCTCTTGGTGTGCACTCCATAGCGGTGGGGAGTGGGGGTGCACAACAGATCCTTCTAAAGCAAAGCCCACTTCAGGATTGTGCCCACTCATCCAACACTTCATAACTGCCCACCTTTCCTGTTTTTAGTTTGTGAGCTATTATCGTCCAACACTGGCAGTAGTGGTATCAGCTGCCAGTACCAGGCAGAAACCTCAGGGATGCTGGGAATGTGTTTTTGCCCTCCTGGAGTTCTCAACCCAGGAGAGACAGAACCATGGTTGAGTTATTTATGTGCAAAATGTACCAGGCACTGTCTGGGCAGACCAGAGAAATAGAACACAGCCTCTACCTAAGGACAGGCGAGACACTGCCAAATGCCTAGGTCCAGGTCCCTGGCCTTGACCTGAAATGATTCATTCAGCAATATGCTGATTGAATGGGAGCCATCCCAGAGTCACCCAGATCTTAGTGGGCATGTCTGTCAGCATTGCCCAGGCTTTACTTCTCACCAAAAAAATTTCTAAATCAATCTTTTCTTTTCTAAATATTCTTAAAATATCTCCCCCATTTTCCCAGAAGTTACCCCTGACTCTCTTGTATAAATTCACAAATAATTAAATACCCATATGGGCAGAATATTCCTCATAGCTCAAAGGTAACAGTAGTCACATTAATTCCATAGGCAGCTTTATGTGTGGCTACAATGAATTTAACTAGCTTTTTCATTGTCTTTCCATGAAATGAGGTTGAGAAAATAATTTTCCCTTTGCAGATTGAAGTTTTATTTATGCAATTATCTTTTATTTAATAATAATAATGTTTTAAAAATCCATGAATTGGCATACTTTGTTCATTTTAGTAGCTGGGGCTATGTAATTAATTATGTTTCCCTTTTTTCCTTGGATTCTAGGAAGCTCAAAGATAAATTTGGAGCTTGGTCACAGAAGTAAGATTAGCCATTGGTGGTTAGAAAATTTGTATTCTTTTCTGCCTGGGTTCCAATTTCCTATTTCTATCTTAATAAACTCTCTGTTATATCTTTTGTTATAAGCTTCACCAATTCTTTTTTGGTAAAAGGGAAATAAATGAAGTTGATTTTTAAAAGAAAGTACTTTTTTAAACACTTATTTTTCCTCTGCCAGTAGAAACTTTTATTTTCACTGTTTTTTATAAGTAGGCAAACACGTATTACAATATTATCAATACCAGAACTTCACACTCAGCAAGTTAAGAGTTCGCACACCAGCCCAAACAATAAGGCATAAGAAGCATTTAAGATCACAGGTTAAAAATACAACAATATGCTACACATTCTAAGAGGTGATAATAAAGATTTTAGAATAAAAATTAAAAACAATTTTTAAAAAATACAACAATAGGCTCCTGTAGTAGCTCACACCTGTAATCCCATCACTTTGGGAGGCTGAGACGGGAGGATCCTTTGAGGCTTGAAGTTTGAGATCAGCTTGGCCAACATAGCAAAGACTCCATCTCTTAAAAAAAATTAAAAATTAAAAATACAACAATAGACTCAAAAGTCAAACATTAAAGTTGAATGTCATTTTGAATACCTACCAATCAGGAATTTTAAATTACATAAAACAAAAAAATACTCTTAAAATAGTTTTTCAAAAGAGGTTACTGATCATTTAAATTATTCTTTTCCAGGAAGGATAGCTTTAATTTATGCCTAAGAGCAGGGTTGTCTGCCCTTCCATGATGCTGTCTCAGACATGAATGTTATAAATTGATGGAGACAGTTCTCCTCGCCTACGTTTGGTTTTCCCTAAATGCCCTTAGCAACCTATGTATAAATCCATGCATCTTGCCAAGCTACACTTATGGTTAAGCAGTAATTACAGTGTGCCTGGACACAGCCCTCAAATGTTCACCTCAAGCAAGACGAGTCTCCCTTCAATATTCTCCTGATCAAGCTTCTGCCCTATTTCTGGCCCCACGTCCCAATCTTACTGAGCAGGAATCTAAAGACCACATTAATGAGCAAACAGCCCAGAACAGCCATCCGATTTTACAAGATTCCCCCAGGCAAGCATTAAATCCTCAGTCTCTACTGCCCTACCCCCATGCCCCGATGTGCTGCTGAGAGCGGATTTTTCATTCCTGCCAGCTGACTGTGTTCAGCAAATGTTTGTAAATGTCTGTGGCCGTGTCTCCTCCACGCTACGGTGAGCTTCCGCCCCCTGAAACTGTGTTTTCTGAGTCTTTTGTGTCTCCTAATGGTGCCTGGAACATTTTGCACATGATAAAGAACTCAAATAAAATGAACAATAAGCGTCCCCAACCAGCTAGAGCTTTTACGAGGCTCTCAGTGAAAACTCTGAACCACATCGGCGTCTGATAAAGGCAAACATCTGGAGATGCCAGTGGCAGATGCCCAATTATGCTGAGTCTGATGAATGGACACGGAGCTATTTGGGGCTCAGCAGCAATCCTCAGCTGGACCTGCCGCTACCGAGGGCGACAGGCTTCCCTCTTTCCAGGCACCATCCTGGCCTTCAGAGGGCTGGACACTTCTGCTCATCCACCACTAGCCCCAGCCATCCCAACCAGCCACTGCCACAAGATCTGCTGCCCCATCCCCAAGGAAGAGGAGGGCCAGGTTAAATTGATTTTCTCATTCACTTTTTTATTTCACAGAAATATCATATTTTCTATAAGAAAGTGTTAATTATACCACAGACACCATCAAATGGTACTAAGTGATAACTAAATGTTCAGAAGGTTGACGTGTATATTATTTCAAGTAGCTTCGTGATTTATTGTCTAATTTAGATAAATGGCAAATAGTGATATCATGATAGCCCCCTTTTATTCTGGTTTACGCCTCATTGTTTCTGGGTATAGAATAAAATGAATCATCAAACAGCCCCACGGGAAAGACTGGCAGACTGGTTAAGGGCATAGGCTGTAGCATCAGACCATTGGGGGTTCAACTGCCCGCCCTGCTGTTGACCAAGGGCAAAAGCAGGGAGGGCTAAGGGTGCCTCAGAGGGGACAAGGCTGATGATCAAGTGAGATAAACCGCTTGACAATGTTCAGCATCAGGAATGTGCTCCACCTGTGTTAGCTGGTACTAAGTCTGGGGTTAAGGGCGGACGACAGCTCTGGATTTCCACTCCAGGGATCAGGCTCAGCTGAGAGGTGCATGCACCCACATCAGTCTCTGAATTGTACCCAGTGAGGAGGGGGCTTCACTGTGAAGGGGCAGTGACTGTGGCATGCCATCCTGTGGCCAGGCGGGCATTTCTTCAGGGCCTAAGCTGTGTTAACTTACATTTCTGAAAGAGGAAAAGGACTTTCAGGCTGAGACTTTTACACCGAGAAGTCACTATTTTCATCTGAGTATAGTGAGGCCCATGATGGGGGCAGAACACAAGGCCTCCCAGACAAAATTATTCTCTTTTTGTATTTTCTTTTCTTTTCTTTTTTTTTTTTTTTTTTTTTTGAGACAGGGTCTTGCTCTGTCACCCAGGCTGAAGTGTGCAGGGGCACTATCATGGCTTCCTGCAGCCTCAACCCCTAGGGCTCAACCCCTACCTCAGCCTCCCAAGTAGCTGGGACCACGGGTGTGTGCCACCACGTGGGCTAATTTTTGTATTTTTTGTAGAGATGGGGTTTTGCCATGTTGCCCAGGCTGGTCTCGAACTCCTGAGCTCAAGAGATCTGATTGCTTCAGCCTCCCAAAGTGCTGGGATTACAGGTGTGAGCAACCACGTCCGGCCTGTGCATCTCTCTTAATGAAACCTGCCAAGGAATCTGGCAAAGTCATGGAACCGTGTGGTCCAGGCCAGCAGGATGGAAGATACAGAGCAGCCATGAGTCCCGAGGCTGTGACCCAAGCCCTCATCAAAACACCTGCCTTGGGGGAAAAAACTCTGCTAGTAGAATAGGTGTCTACCAGCAGTCCCAAAAGCTATAGGTCCTAGAGGGCAGATGCCACAAATGATAAGGCCCCAAAGGTAAAAACAAAAGCAGCAGAAGAGGAAAAGTCCATTTTCCTCGAGTTACCAAATGCCCGGATAAGAGCCAGGTCCTACATCCGCTTGGCCCACAGGGCCTGGCAAGTCTGCACACATGTGCCTGGGGTTACAGAGAGAAAGTTCAGAGCCGCCCCATTTCTACTGCTGCCAAGGACAAGTCTCCCACACAGTGTTCCAAGTCACTGGAGTAGATCTGTCAAGTACCAGGGCCTTTTCATTTCCAATTTGGATGGAAAGACTTATTTTCTATGCTGTACTCCTGGAAACAGTGTTTCAGGCTGTCCTGATGCCCCCAGCATCTATACAAAGATAACAGCCTCTGGGGGCTAGCACCTCAATGGCAGGTGGGCTGGGGGCACAGGTGACCCCTATTTCCTACCTGGGGAACCCCTGACAAGTCCCTTCAGACCTGCTTCTAAAGGTTGCTTGCCAGCCCCTCCTCACACCCCACCTCCTGCATACCCACCCTCACAATTGCTAAGCTGAGGCCCATGGAGATTCCAGGATAAAACAGAGAAAACAGCTGGGCATGGTGGCTCATGCCTGGGAGGCCAAGGCAAGCGAATCCCTTGAGCCCAGGAGTTCAGGACCAGCCTGGGCAACACGATGAAACCCTGTCATGGTGGCTCACGCCTGTAATCTCAGCAATTTGGGAGGCTGAGGCGGGCAGATCACCTGAGGTCGGGAGTTCGAGACCAGCCTGACCGACATGGAGAAACCCCATCTCTACTAAAAATACAAAATTAGCCAGGCATGGTAGCACATGCCTGTAATGTCCAGCCTGGGCAACAAGAGCGAAACTCCATCTCAAAAAAAAAAAAAAAAAATTAGCTGGGCGTGGTGGTGTGCACTGAGTAGTCCCAGCTACTCGGGAGGCTGAGGTGGGAGGATCTCTTGAGCCCGAGAGGCAGAGGCTGCAGTGAGCCATGATGGCACCACTGCACAGAATGAGACCCTGTCAAAGAATAAAGAAAGAAAGAAAAAAAGAAAACAGAGAAACAATGGCAGGGTTGTCATCCTGCCCACCATCCCAGCTGCACCTCAGCCTCCCTGGGACCTGGCGTTCCTGCAAAAGAATGTGCATGGGCTTTCTGACAGCTGGCCCCTCTGACTCCTGTGTGTGTGGTCACCCCTCTAGTCACAGGCACTCAGTAAGTGCTGTCACGCAAGAGTGGGGAACTGTTCCCCTTCATTACAGAATATTTGTCAGGGTATTCTTCAACGCATGAGGCCCAGCCCTGGTTTTGAAATGAGCTGGGGTAAAATTATTGTGCAAACAATCAAACCTCAGCAAATCCATTCTAATTCATTTCATTTAAAACTTTTGTTTTCCATAAAGGATTAGGCTAGGAAAGAATTTAATCACATCAAATCCACTTCTAAAATGGTTACAGATCCCAGGATCAAGAGTAATGATTACAAAAAAAGAATAAAAATCCCTGGATATTGAGAACTCATGTTTGGTACTGAATTAGTCAAACCAGCCTTCCTGACATCAAGAAGTAGCCTTCTTCCAGGACTAGGAAAACTGTATTTGTTGTTTTCAGGCATGAATGAAGGCAGAAATAGAGGTGAGGCCAGGCCAGGTCACTTGTCTTTATGCAGAGGTCAGTTCTGACCTGTAGCAAATTTGTATTGGCATCTACTCTGAGCCTGGCACTGTTCTTGGTGTCACAGATCCAACAGTGAACACAACAGACAGAATCCCTGTCCTCAGGGTGCTCGTGTTTCAGTGGAAGAAGAAAGAAAACATAGAAATGCATAATGAGTTAAGTGGTGATGTTTTGGAAAGAAAAATGAAGCAGGGAAGGGAATAGAGGGTGACAGGAGGCATTATTTGTACGGGATGGTCAGGGAAAGCTATCCCAAGGGGGTGATATTTGAAACAGGGACCTGAACAAAGTGAAGGAGGGAGCCACATCACATCTAAAATCAGAGCGTTACTGTAGGAACAAAGGCCCTGGGGCCAGAGGGAGCATGACACTCTGTGCTGCACCCTGACACAGTGTACAAATCCACTCTCCATACAAGACTAGCTCATCATCATTATAGAAGCGAAGCTTCCCCTCCAGCAAGTCAGCAGGCACATCTCAGGCCCAACAAGCCCTTCTCAGCGTCTTCCTGGAAGTCTCCTAATTCAGCATACACTGGTTTTCCAGGGAAGTGACATTCCAGTTGGAGGTTGCATTCCTAAGAATTCCTAACTATTGAATGCATTCCAGCATCCAATCAGGAAAGGCACTGACCTGCCGTCACCTTGAACCTTGATTCTGTAGAACCTTGATTCCGTAGAACCTTGTTGCCTCTTTGTGGCTACCGCCTCTCTGAGTTTCCAGAGAATTGTCTGGTGTGGGCCTGGGGTCGCTGTTGGTCATCGGGGCTGGCAGTCAGGAAGGAGTGCTGAACATAAAGCCATGACAAATGAGGATAAACTTGAACATTCAGGCACAGCGCCTACCATGCTATATAACAAATCACTACCAAACAGACCACTGGAAGGAGTCACCACGCCTTCCACCACCAGCATAAATGTACCCACTGACCTCATGTGGGCCCTGCTCTGTGGGACTCCTACAGCTTGTGCAAGATGAAAAGCCACACTGAGTTGAGTCATGACTCTGGCTTATTGCTTGTCCTCAGATTATGACAAATATGCACACAGAATCAATCCCTGCCTCCTGGCCCTCAGCACCCAGATGCAGCCCCCTTCCTAGGGCAGTATGTCACATACCTTCCCCATTTTATAGAGGAGAGAAATGGAGGCCTGCAGAGGTGAGGTGCTGTATCACTCAGGGTTCAATCAGGGAGGCAGAATACTACAAGTATAATGGAATCAGAAATTTATTCTAAGAATTAGACCTTATTAATTGTAGGAAGAGCCAGGGAAATGACAGTCTAAAAGGGAGAGAGATGTGACTCAGAGGAAGGTCACTAGCCAGCCGTGGCGTGGGTGAAGGAGAGTCGGAGCTTGCAGGGAGGTCCTGCTAAGGAAGCCTGGGTAGGATTCCGTAGAACCTTGTTGCCTCTTTGTGGCTACCGCCTCTGTGAGTTTTCAGAGAATTGTCTGGTGTGGGCCTGGGGTCGCTGTTGGTCATCTGGGCTGGCAGTCGGGAAGGAGAGCTGAACATAAAGCCATGACAAGTGAGGATAAACTGGAAGCTGCTGTCCTCTTAGCCATTTGGCATGTTTGCCTTGCTGGGATTCTAAAGATCTGCGACGAAGGCATTTATATGGTCCTAGGTGCTTTAAGAAGGCTTCCAGAAAACCTGGTATGACAGCCTGCCTTGTACCTATGAAATTCTCCTGTTCTGGCCAGCACAGTGCCCTGAAACTTCCCCTTGCAATAAGAAGATTGAAGTTCCTGGAACCAGGCTATTGGTGTGGGGATCTCAGATAATTACCTTTTAGGCAAGGCCAGGATTCAGGGAGATTCTTGGACATGCCCTGTCCCACCTCCACCCTGACTCTAAAGCATGCTCCAAAGACAGGGCCCTGTCTTCAAACTCACCCCCTGTAACATCCCACTTACGCCCCAGCCCCTGCTGCCTCCTATACCCCTATCACCCCCAATTCCACTTCCAACCCCAACCGCCCAAACTCAAGTCTTGCATTTTCTACTCCCTACTGGGCATCACCACTGAGCTGGGTGGCAAAAACCTAAAAAATTGGCTCAGAAAACCTCCAGTGCCAGTGACATCAAGTCCAAATGCGTCAGCTACATGTTGAAGTGCTCCCTGCAACAGGATATGGCATGCCCCTCCCCTCAGCCACTGTGTTTCCCTCAGGTGGACTGGGGCAGAAAAGGGGTGAGACGCAGGGATGCTGTGGAAAGTGCCCAGACTTTGGAGCATGACAAATCGGAGCTCAAGTCCCAGTTCTGACACTCACGGATGCTGGCCTGGGTGGTTCATTCAAGACTCTGTACTTCTGTTTCACTATCTGAGCTCTGAGGCCAGCACCTCACAGAGGGTGGCACTGGCAGTGCTCTGAAGGTGAGGGGTGGGGGTCAGGAGAAAAAAGTTCAATCCAGTGCAAAACTAGCAGATCCAATCACAAGCATCCAATAATCTGATTATTGTTTGGCCTCTGTGATCCCACAAACCACCACTTAGAAGAGAAATCCTCTCTCACTCAGAGCTGGCCAGAAGTTGCCATGTACCTGAACCCAGTTACAGTCGTCAGCCACAGAAGGGGCTGGTATGACTGGCCCTGCCCACTGGGTGATTGCTCAGGTTTGGTTTTGAACAGAGCAGTGTTCCAGGTGTCTAGGCACCTTTGTCGGGGCTGGAGAGGCACAACCATGGCAGATCAAGGCTGCAGGGACACATGGCCAGTCTGAAACATGCCCCCATCTGTGTGTGGGACATACAAGTGTGTGTACTTGTAGCATATGGTACTAAAAAAGTTCATCTCTTCCACTTAATTTTTATAAAACTGTCAGAAAGTGCAAGTTGAGGATTCTTGTCTGAATCTAATCCAACCACTACTGTAGTCTAACCCATGGGCCAGCTTCTGTCCCTTGATAAATGTGACTTAGAACAACCATATTGAATTAGGAGCTGATTATATCTGATTTGCCCTGTAACAGGGTTAGGTCCATTTCCTGGGATATAGCAGAAGGGCCTGATGGTCACCAAGCTAATCCATAATTATCGTTTAAAATTACAGCCCAAATGGGTCATGCTGGCAAGGTCAGGGGGACACCCTGGCAGAGCTGGGCTGGACTCAACAAGAAACCTCACAGCTTCCAGCACCTCCACAAAGCCCTTAACCCTTACCCAGGACCACATCACCCCCGACACGTATTTGAGGGTGGTTCCTTCTAGAGGCCACTTGGCAGAGGCAGGAAGTGGGACTAGGAGGCTCTGTGGCAGGATGGATTGAGAACAGCACTGGTTTTAGAGTCAGACAGACCTGGGTTCAAATCCCAGCTCCTCCACTGTGATCTTGGTAGCATGCTTTACCCCTCTGGGCCTCAGTTTCCTCATCTGTAAAATGGTGACTACAATAGTAGCTGCCCTGCTATGGAGTAGAGTGGAGAGGTGTGGTGACATCCACACTGGTGCCTGGGGAGGCATGAGGCTACGGAGAGAAGCTGGGCCCAGGCCAACTTGGCCTTAGCCCTGAGACAAGGCAGGGCTTTGGGTTTATCGTGGATGTCACTGATGTACTGTGTTTATAGCAAGGGGCTCCTCTCTGGACATGATCACTACTGAAGCAAAGTCCATACCTGGCCACTGCTGCAGTCTTCCAAATGATGAGGACGAGGCAACCTGGCAGTCCAGGCGAGCAGCAGCTGATTGGGTTCCAAGTCATCCAGGAAGAATGGCCAGTGGGGGGTCTGACCATCATTCTTCCTTCCTCCCCACCCACTTGCCCCTACATTGCATCAGCTGCCTCTAGGGAGCCTGGGCCTCAAGGCTCCTTCTTTGTGGGTGTCCACAAGATGGGATGGATGGCACTTGGCTCTTGAAGGGGACCCCACAGGCCTAGAAGGGGTCCCTACTTCCCTCCATTCCAGGCAGCAGATGTACTGGGGGCGTGGGGACAGCAGAGTTGTTCTCTTTACATCCAAGGCCTGTGGGACCAGGGGCTGACATTCATAAACGAAGCACAGTGGTGAGTGGACATGCTATGGGGCACCAGACCATGGGGCAGTGGGGGTAAGAAGGTGGCTCCTCCTTCTCACCTCCTGACCTTCACCTTGAACCCAGAGCAGGAGCCAGGTAATAGGAGAAGCCAGAAGTCCCCATGTGGGGAAAATGGGACCTCACTGCACAGCCTAGCCAGTCCTGATTTTGAATCCTGAAGTGACCTCCCCCCAAGCCCACCCACAGGGACATTTTCTGGCTTCAGCATTTGAATGAGAGTCTGAGAACCCAGAGGTGTAGGCAGAGGCTGGGCGGGCCTGAGGAGGCCGGGAGGATTTGCTCTCTTTGTTCAGAGCCAACAACTACAGGCTCAGTGTTTTTAAATGTTTGAATCAACAGAGGGACTGTTTATCACTATTTTAAATAAGAAACGTAATTAAAGGTTAGTGAGTCCCCAGAGCTCCTGGCCACGATGTCAAAGGCTTCCTTGACCTGGAGCGGGGAACAGAATGAAAAGTGACCACAGACACACTCCACTTCGGTGTGCTCTGCCACAGATCCCGCCTGATGGGTGCTCCCACCAAGGCCCACAAAAGATTCTGTGGCTAATGGAATGGCATTTCACATAGGTCCACGTTTTTCTCATTCCTAGGTGGCTTTTCTTTCTAAACTTGGGAACATGGAGATTCTATTTTAAGAGCATGAATTACTGTCCAATTTTAATGTAACTAATGCAAACCAAAAACCAACTTTGAACTGAGGAAAGGAAACAAAAGCAATTTATGGGATAATTTTGTGTTCACATCCCTCAAGATTACTTGAGAACACTTGTCTGATGCATTTATTTCTGGTCAAGAAAAGTGAATCGCCAGCTTTTTGGTGGTTTCTGGAGAACAAGGTGAAGGTTGGCCACATCAGCCTGGAAGACTCCAGCTCGGCCACCTCAGGCCAGGATCCTCCTCGGGGCTCAAAGAGGTAGTGTCAGGAAGGTAAAAATAGTGTGAGGGATTCGGCACCAGCTTTCTGACACATGGTTTTCTCATCCCGGGGACTGCCACGTAGGGCCCTCCTTTTCCAGCTATTCTAAGTGAAAAAGGAAAAAGTAAGGTTATTTGAGAACTACATAAAAACAGCGCTATATTTCAAGCACCTTTTCTGTGAACTTCCTCCCTTCCCAAGTGCTCTTTTTGGCTCTTCTTTCCTCACCAAGCCAAAAATGGGATAAGCCCCAAGCTTCTGTCCTTGACCCCCTTTTTCCCTCTGCCTGTTCTCCCTGAGAACATCCACAGCTGCAGCTCCAGCAGGGGCCCAGGTGGCCACAGCCCTAGCACATTCCAGACGCCCACCCACCTCTTGGACTCCCTCCCTCCCTCCCTCCCTGACGAAGCCCCAACATCCCAGAACCAGATTCTGCATCTCCCTCTGGAAGGCTGCCTTTGGGGCATATTCCTCCCTGTGGTTGTCATCCCCTGGCCTTGCCTGTCTGCAGGTGGCCAAGACTGTTTGACATGTGACCCAGGTCCCAGACCCTCTAGAGGCCACCTCTGGGGTGGTGCCAGGAGCAATAGAGGCTCACTGTAGGAGGCCCTAAGACGAAGCACTGCCACCAGGGGAGGGGGGAAGGCTTCCTGAAGAGACCACCCCCCGCCCCCGCAAAAGGCCAGAAGATGAGGAGGAGCTGACCAAGCAAGGCGTGGAATTCCAGGCTAGGGAAAGGCCCTCCCGGAGAGAGAACGGGACCAAGAAGGAAAGAGGAGAGCTCTAAGGACAGGATTGGCAAGAAGTGCGACAGGAGAGGAGGCAGATGTGGGGCATGGATTTTATCCTGGGGGCCATGAAAGAGTTCTCAGCGGGGAGGGTACCCAGGTGTGTACCTAGAAAGATCACTCTGGCTTCTGTATGGAGAACAAATGGAGGGCGCAAGGCTGAAGGACACCAGGGAGAGACAATGGGCTTGACCGGGGTGTTCCCCATCATCCCTCAGCCCCACAGCAGAACTCTACCTGGTTCCTGCTGGGTTTATACCTCCCAATCCCCACCAGCTCTCTGACCATTCAGATATCCAGGACAACAGTTGATGGATGAATTCACACTCCAGTGTTAAGAACAAATCATGGCAGCATCCACCTTGAATCCCTCTGGGACAGAGGAGGAGGCAGGTAAGAGGGAAGGGTGGTGGCTAGCAAGACTTCCCAACCCCTGGGGTGTTCCTCCCTTACCTATGGGTGCCTCCTGTGTATTAGAGAGCCCCATCGGTCAAAATGCTAACCAGGATGGGGCTGCAGATAAGTCTTGCTCACAGAATCTGTGCCACCCTCTGCTGTGTGACTGAGCAAGTCACTTATGCCCCTCCAAGCCTCAGTTTTCATCTCTGAGTACGGGATCAATAATACCTACCCTCCCCAGGCTGCTTAGGGGATGAAACAAGACGTTGTGCAGGGAATGCTCTGAACACAGTGCCTGGCACACAGTGGGTACCCCAAAACATTTTTTATATAATCATGTTGATGAAGATGATGATTCCAGTAAGCTATAGGCACTCACAACACACACGTGAGTTCACACAGCTTTTAAATTTCAAGTCTCCATCTTGCATTTTCGTTTTGTTTTCTTTTGTTTTACCACAAAGTAGCCTCATTGAGGCAATAATTCAAACAATTGGGAGCAGTTTCTCACAGCTCCTGCTGTGCCCCCTGGTGTGTACAAAGGGAATCGAACCTTCTGGTGATGGACATGCCCGCCTGGCTAGAAATCACTTTATTGATTCCACCGAGGTTCCTGGAATGCCTGTCAGGGACTGGGCCCTGTGCTTGGAGCTCAGGGGGCTCTACGCTGCCAGTACAAAGCCCCAGGGTGTGAGACTGAGGGGAGGGGGTTGGAAGCTTTAGAGCTGAGCCTTGGAGGAGGGGTGTCAGGTGGACCACCAGGGTGTTCCAGACACAGGGTACAGCATGTGCAAAGGCATGGAGGCGTGAAAGAGCATGGTATGTCCCAGGAACAGTGAAAGCTAGAGGTCGGGGCCATCACATCAAATCAGTGGGAGAAAGAGGGGCAGAAACGAGACTGAGGAGGGCAGGGCCTGGTCACTGGGGTCCTCAAGCCAGGCCAGGTAGAAGGATCGATCCTGGGGGTAGAGGGAGATCTGGAGATGCTGGACAAGGGCAGAATGAGCTCAGAGCTGCTGCTGGTGGGGATCACAGGCTTCAGCCCAATTAGGAGGGAAGGGGCTCAAAGCAGGCAAGACAGGAGGAGGCCCTGGTGGCGGTGACAGCCACGGAGGGGTTGGGAGTAGGGACTAGAAATGGACTCAAGAACTAGGAGTAATTGGCCTTGACTCTGGACAGGACACTTGGGGCTAAGGGAGGGGCCAAGGACAGAGTAGACAACTAGGGGCTACACCCGCTGAGGCTGGAAGGGCAGGGCTGGGCCGCCCAGGCCAGGCACACTGAGTTGAGGCACCCCTGGGACAGGACTCTGCTCCCTGCCTTCCCTCAACAACTTTCAGTCTGTTTTTCTCTCTTCTTTAACTGCCACAATAGGAAACCAAGATCTTTTTTATTGTTTGATATATTCCTCATTTTTAATTTAAAAAAAAGAGTAAGTGAAATGTTTTCTATTTCCTTCTCAAACAGAAAAGCAACATTACCTATACACATAGTCTCTCATGTATAGGAATGTCTAGATTTTACTTTTCCCTTGATGTATTTTTTTAAGACAGTTTAGGCACCGGGATGAAATTTAGAGCTGTCTGTCACCTTGGTGCTCAGCTAGCTGCCACTCAGGGTCACCCCTTAAGTGGGCCCAGGCTAGGGCGGCCACAGGCCTGAGCTCACCTGCCCCGTCTCAGGCTCATTGCTCAATGGCTTGAGGTGAACTGGGACATGACGGCTATGGGACTGAGATCTTCCCTCAAAGCCAGAGGGCACGCTTTAAACCCTGGAGATGATGACGTTTTGATAAAGTTTAAAAAAACTATTTCACTCTGCAAGACAAACAGCTAATAAAATAGAATCTTTTTTGGTAACCACCCATACACCAATCAATCTGTCACTCGAAAAACTAGTTCCCAAGAAGTGTGAAATGAGGCCACTCTGGAGTTCTGTGGGAACAGAGAGCCCCTGAAAAGCCTTCCTCTCGACCAGATTACAGTTGCCACCCAACAAAGGGAAAATCTCTGATTCTGAGCACAGGAAATACACAGCTAATTAGTTGCTCAATCAATACTGACTTTTGGAAGGTGAGCCATGAGGCTGGGGGTCACTGTTACACTGTTTATGTGCCCCCAGTCCACACTATCACCTATAATCCTGCCTCTTTTTTTTTTTTTTCCAATTCCAGCCCCCTTAGGAAAGATATATATATATGTAAGCATTTCCCACCCAGGGGGGCTAGCCAAGGGAGTGATGCCACAGGGGCCTCTTCTGCACTGCAGCCATTCAAGCAACAATTTAAAACAAAGGGTCATTCAACACCACCAACAAAAATCAATAGGACAAGCCTCAGTCATAAAACACATCTCTGTGCCCACCTGAGGCCACCATTGGAATGAGATTTCACCTCACTCACTGTCTCTGTATCTCCAGCTCTGCCTGATGGCCTCTTGTTTTTTCTATTTTCCCTTAGCTCTAATTCCCTATTTAAACAAACAAGCAAAAAAAGTCTCATATTGTACATAGGATACAGTTTAAGTTATCTTAAATCTTTTGGGGAACAAGAGAAAATAAATGATAAATAATCAGAACCTGCCCAAAGCAGCTGTGACTGAAGAATTCTGAATCCTGCTGCACTAAACTTAGAAGGAAAGCAGACAGCTACAAGTGCTAAATGATGAGCAGCAGTGTCTGCATGCAGTAGGCGCCTAATAAATGTCAATTAATTTGTTTTTTAAATGATGGAATCTGAAGGAACAAATAAGAGGAACTGGATAATAACTACTTTGAAAGAAATAAATGACAACAACAACAAAATACTGACAGAAACAGATCAGAAAAAATAATAGCTGTAATTCCACGGTGAAAATTATAAAAGAATTAGAAAACACCTGGAAGTAGTAATTGGCATTAACAGAAACAAATACAACAAAGAAATTAGTGATGTTGAGGATAAGGTAAGACATGAAACCTAAAATGTAGACAAAGAAAACAGAGGAGAAAATAACTGATTTGGAAAATGGAAAATGGTATCACAGCCCTAAAGTAGGCCTAGAAGAGAGAGACGAATGGATGAGGAACACATAAAGGAGACATCAGGAAAGAAATAATATAAGAAAAGTTTCCAGAAATGAAAAAACAGCTCAGCCTAGAACTAAAGAAAACACACTGTGCCTTTCAAATTCAACTCTGTGGGAAAGACATAAGCATTTCCTAGTGTAAATTTTGAATTATAAATTATCCAACAAGCTGAAGTGAAGGGAGATATGTTCTTCTGAAATTGGTAAGAATGACAAGAGAACTGACATCACAAATATTAAAGACAAAATGAGCCTCAAAAAACTGTGCAATTCTGACTGCACAAGTAGATTCTAACCACATCAGTTATGCTCCTAAACAAGACTTGTTCTCTGCAAGTAGGGGAAAGCAAAGTCTTCTAAAAATTGGGGGAAAGTTGTGCACAATTGTACTTTTTTAAAGCAAAGGAGAGTATCTGATTTTTACAAAAATATAAAAGACAAAAGCTATCTTATATAACAAGAAATTAGAATTAGAATGGACCAATTGAAGAAGAAAGAAAGAATAAGTGATCTGACAAAATGTAGTCACTCCCAAGAGTCCGCCTACACTCTAATATTCTCAAACCTGCTCCAATCCAGACCTCAACTCTGAGTTCTGGGTCTGAAGATCCAAATTCTGTCTGGACATGTCTATGCAAATGTCCCCCAACACCACAAACTCTGCCTTCACCCATTCACCCACCCCCACTGCCAGTGAGCAACTTCACTAGCCATACAGTTACCTGAACCAGGAGACCTCTGAATAAATTCCTGGTCCATTTTCCTTTTTGTTTTTTTTGTTTTTGAGACAGAATCTCGTGCTCTATCGCCCAGGCTGGAGTACAGTGGTGCTATCTCAGCTCACTGCAACATTGACCTCCTGGGTTCAAGCGATTCCCTGGCTTAGCCTCCTAAGTAGCTGGGACTACAGACTCACACCACCACACCCAGCTAATTTTTGTGTTTTTACTAGAGATGGGGTTTTACCATGTTGGCCATGCTGGTCTTGAACTCCTGACCTCAAGAGATCTGCCTGCCTCGGCCTCCCAAAGTTCTGGGATTACAGGCATGAGCCACCATGCCCAGCCTCCTGGTCCATTTTCATGTTACCCAGGTACCCCTTGGTCCCCATCCATTTGTATAAGTCTGTTTGGGCTACCATAACAAAATACCATAGACTGGGTGGCTTAAACAACCGAAATTTAGTTTCTTACAGGTTAGAGGCTAGAAGTCTGAGATCAATGTTCTGGCTGATTCAGTTTCTGGTAAGGGCTCTCTTCCGGGCTTGTAGACAGCCACCTTCTCACTAAGTCCGCATATGGCTTTTCCTTGGTATGTGTGAGCACTTTGGCATCTTTTTTTTTTTTTTTTTTTTCCCAGACAGCGTCTCATTCTGTCACGCAATCTCAGCTCACTGCAACCTCCGCCTCCTGGGCTCAAGTGTGCCTCAGCCTCCTGAGTAACTGGGACTACAGGCGCACATCACCATACCCGGCTAATTTTTGTCTTTTTAGTAGAAACAGAGTTTCGCGTGTTGGCCAGGCTGGTCTCTAACTCTTGGCCTCAGGTGATCCTCCTACCTTGGCCTCCCAAAGTGCTAGGATTACAGGCGTGAGCCACTGCACCTGGCCTGGCATCTCTTCTTATAAGAACGCTAATGTTATCAGATCAGGGGCCCATCCTTATGACCACCTTTAAACTTGATTACAAATGCTCCTCAACTTATCAGGGTTACATCCCTATATGCCCATTCTATGTTGAAAATACAGTTCCTTGAAAATGCATTTAATACACCTAAACTAGCAAACATTATAGCTTAACCTAGCCTACATTAAACATGTTCAAAACACTCACATTAGCTTACAGTTGGGCAAAATCATCTAACAAAGTCTGTTTTATAATAACTACTAACATTTTATAATAAAAAATTAAAATAATAAAAAGAAAAGGTCAAAATTCAAAGTACAATTTCTATGGAATGTCTATTACTTTTGCACCATTGAAAAGTTGAAAAATCTTGGCCAGGCACAGTGGCTTATGCTTGTAATCCCAGCACTCTGGAAGGCCAAGGCGGGCAGATCACCTGAGGTCAGAATTTCGAGGCCGGCCTGGCCCACGTGGTGAAACCCTGTCTCTACTAAAAATACAACAATTAGCTGGACATGATGGTGGGCACCTGTAATCCCACCTACTCGGGAGGCTGAGGCACGAGAACCACTTGAACCTGGGAGGTGGAGGTTGCAGTGAGCCAAGATGGCACCACTGCACTCCAGTATGGGTAACAGAGTGAGACTTTGTCTCAAAAAAGAAAAAAAGAAAAGTTGAAAATTCTTAAGTCGCACCATCGTAAGTCAGAGACCATCTATACTTCCTTAGAGCCTCCATCTGCAAATGCAGCCACACAGTGGGTTTAGGGCTTCAACATATAAATTTGTTGGGGACACAAACATTCGGTTCATAACACCATTCTACCCTCTTAGATGTCCCCCAGATATGTGACCCTTCTCTCTTCCCACTGCCTTGGCCCTGCCATCTCCCTGCTTTGCCTACTGCACTGGCCTTCCTGCTTGTCTCCCCTCCTGCCCACCCCATGCTCCCTGTAGAATTATCTTTCCAAATGGATAACTGATCACTGAATACCTACAAAGAGTTGTCACCAATATCATCTCATCTAATTCTCCCAACAGCCTTGCAAAGTAGTAGAAACCCAATGCTCAGAGAGACTAAGTGAAGGCCCAGTGTTGCCCAGGGCCAGATTTGAACCTAGATTGGACTCTGAAGTGCACAGTCTTTCCAAGTGTGTCTCCCACCTTTGTAGTCCAAACTTCTGAAAGGATGTCAGGTCCACAATATACACAACAATTAATGACTGGCAGATGAATGGGCTTCATATGTAATCATATCTTCAACTTCATCTTCTTCAGTATCTACAGTCAAGTTGATCTCCCTTCTGAGTCCAACTAACAGAGATCCAGGCCCTCTGTTTTGCTGCTTCTTTGGGGGAAATGAGGAATTAACATTTTGTTAATCAAAATCAAAATGTGTACTTTCCTGTTAAAGACAACTCCCTCATGTGACTTCAATTATTTACTAGCAGAGTTACTTGCACTTTTAAGGGCAGAATTTTTTCAAGCATAAAATGACGAACTACAGCTTTGTCTTAATTCCCCATTAGCTTATGTCCTAATCTTTGTTCACTGAGGTGGGGGCACTGTCCACCTCACTGGAAGATCAAGTTGAACCAACCACTCACCACCCTGTAGTGTTACTTGGAGATCTAGGAGGTTTGAAGGGTAGCTCCTCTCACCAGCCATCCCTAGCAGCTACTCTGGGATACTTCTGCACCTCTCCCCCAGGGTCTCACCCAAATGCAGACAGGCTGCCTGACCATGCCTGTCCAACCATGGCACCCTCCTTGCCTTGGTGGTGTTGTCAGAGGTGTTTGAACCGGGCAACTCCATCTTGAATAGGTGCTGGGTAAAATGAGGCTGAGACGTGCTGGGCTGCATTCCCAGAAGGTTAGGAATTCTTATTCTTTGTTTGTTTATTTTGAGACAGGTCTCACTTTGTCACCCAAGCTGGAGTGCAGTGGCGCCATCACAGCTCACTGCAGCCTTGAACTCCTGGGCTCCAGCGATCTTCCCACTTCAGCAGCGCAAGTAGCTGGGACTACAGGCATGCACCACCACACTCAGCTAGTTTTTGTATATTTTTTAGAGACAGGGTTTCACCATGTTACCCAGGCTGGTTTCAAATTCCTGAGCTCAAGAGATCTGCCTGCCTAAGCCTCCAAAGTGCTGGGATTACAGGCGTCAGCCACCACATCCAGCCTAGGTTAGGCATTCTTAGTCACAGGATGAGATAGGAGGTCAGCACAAGATACAGGTCACAAAGACTCCGCTGATGAAAATAGGATGCAGTAAAGAAGCTAGCCAAAACCTGCCAAAAGCAAGATGGTGAACAAAACAACCCTGGTTGTCCTCACTGCTCATTATATGCTAATTATAATGCATTGGCATGCCAAAAGACACTCCCACCAGCGCCGTGACAGTTTACAAATGCCAGGGCAATGTTCCAGAAGTCACCCTTGGTTTTATATGGTCTAAAAAGGAGAGGAACCCTCAGTTTCAGGAATTGCCCACCCCCTTCCTGGAAAACGCATAAATAATCCACCCCTCGTTTAGCACACGATCAAGAAATAACCATAAAAATAGCCAACCAGCACCCTCTGGGCTGCTCTGTCAATGAGGTAGCCATCCTTCTGTTTCTTCTCTAATGAACTTGCTTTCACTTTACTGTGTGGACTCACCCTGAACTCTTTCCTGTGCAAGGTCCCAGAACCCTTTCTTGAGGTCTGGATCAGGACCCCTTTCCCATAACACTGGGGACTTAAAGGTAACCCCTTCACTAGGGTTCAGTCAAGATTTTTCCCCAAGGTGAGCAGCTGCTCTTCACTCTCACTCACCCCAAACTTCAACTGTAGCATGAGGCTGGGAGGCCCCAGGTCTGCATGAGGTCTGACACTGACAGTCAGATGGAAGGCTGTGTGACTTTGGGTACATTACTAAACCTCTAGGCTCCAGCCTCATCGAAGGTACCTGGCCCCAGTATCACCATGTGGGTAAATAAATCAACCTCCTAGGTGCCCTTTGCAAACATTATTTCTGGACCTGTGAAGTCAGTGTTATCCTCATTTTAAGAAGGCAGCAACTGAGGCTTGGAGAGAGGCCCCAGGGAACAGGTCCATCCATCTCCACAGCTGGTTCTGCTACAAAGGAAAGGTGGAGGTATCCAGGAAACTGACCAAGCTCAGTGCATCTAGGGACATCTCCCGTGGAGCTGCACATCCATCAGGGGTCACCCCAGGTACTGGTCTGTGGTCTTGGGGCCTGTGGGATTGAGGCCTCCTGGTGGACAGGCAGGCAGGCAGGAGCGTGCTTGGGACCACTGCTGGCTCCAGACACTGCCTTGCTGTGCTAGGTAAACGGCCCACTTTCCACACCCGCCCCCCAGGCCCTCCCTGCTCTGCTCCTACTGCCTATTTAAGCCAGAGGCCTGACTCGGCCCAGGCACAAGCCAGCTGCCAGAGCCAGGAGAGCAGCATTGCAGGCCCTGCTCAGCCGGGATGAAAGGTTCTTCTGTTTCACCATTTCCTACCGGTGCGTTTTGAATGATGATGCTGAGCAGGGTTGGAGGCAGGAGCTGATTCTGCTTGCCTGGGAGTATATTGAGATGGGTAGCTGGCAGAGGGAGGCTCTGATTGAATTTTTCCCATTTCTAATCCCTGACTTGATGTGATCTTATTCTCAAAGAGGGAAAAAGTCTGTGGTTCGTGAAAGGATAGGGGGACAGCATATTTCAAAACAAGGCCTGGCTCAGAATATCAATGATCTGACATGTTTCTTTTTTCTTTGAGAAAAGAGAAGGGCCTATAATTTCAAGGTTGTCGAGATTCCATTTCCCCTCAGGAACCCCTCCCTAAATAGTCAGTTCTTGTCATTTAATTCTATTTTGAAAAAAACATGCAGGGATTTTTCAGAAGAGTTGGTGGGGCATGGGAGTGGGGTGGAGAGTGGGGAGGGGGCTGTGCAGCTGGTGGGGGACAGTTTGGGAAATGTCAGAGGCCAAAGATCCTGCTTGACAAACTTCTCACTCAGGGATGAGAGGTGAGCTCCTCCCCACTTAGAGAGAGGGCAGTGGGGGCTGGGAGTCACACAGGCCCAAATGGCTCAGGAGTGGCCTGCCTCCTTTATGTCTAATGCCAGATGCTTGTGAGCCTGTGGCCTGGGTCAGGTCAGCCCAGCAAGAGGGTGAAGGACAGAGGTGCATGCAGGTTGTCAGCCAACTGTGGGTGAAGAGGCAGGAGTCCCAGGGACAGAGGACAGGCCGGGACAGCAGGTCACCCTCTGCTTCCCGGCAGGCTGGACTCCCCAGGCTATGGGTGGGGAGGGATCCTGCCAGGTACTTGGCTCTGAGGGCAAAAGCCAGGGTGTCCACATGAACATAAGGGCTCCTGGGGAAGCCAGGTCACCACGTGCAGAGCATAGACCTGGGGGGCTCTGGCTTCCTTCTTCCCACTCTGATCTGGCAATATCAAGTGCCGGTGCTCATTTGGTCCTGGCCGTGGCCATCCAGGATCTTGTAGTGGCCCCTAATGTTACAGAGGAGGGAGCCTCTGAGGCTCAGAAGTTAAATGACTTGCCCAAGACCGATGGCCTAGACCAGAACCGGGTCTCATTAGAGCCCAAGCCTTTTCTGTGCAAATTCCTAGTGAGAAGGGAGCCAATTGTTTGCCGCAGAGGAGGCGCTCCTGCCAGCACTGCTGCTACATCTTCAGTTAGGGGACAGAGAATGGACGGGGCCTTGGCTTTCAGATTCTTCTGAAACACTTAGTTTGGGTGATTTGCAAAATAAGTGTACCTAAGGGATGCGGTGTGAAGAGTGATAGGTCACCCTACTCTGAATGGAGGGGTGGTAAGAGGGCTTTGGGCCGGGCCATGGGACGGGCTTAAGAAGGTGGAGCATGCAAGGACAGCCCTGGCTGTGCTGGGCATTGGGCAGGGGGCTGCTGAACTTGAAAGCAGAGACTGGGCCTGAGACAGGGGGCGGGCCCCGGAGCCAAGGATTCGGCAGATTAGTAGGGACAAGGCCTGGGACTGGGCCAACGGGCTCAGAGAGCTGCCTGGGGCCAGGGATCAGGGGCGGGGCCAGCACCTAAGGCCAGGGGCGGGACTAGTGGGCAAGGGCGGGGACTACAAACTGGGACTGGGGCCCAAGTGTGGAGGGCAGTGTCCCCAGAGCATAGTGCCAGGATCCCTCACCTCAGTCAGCAAGGGGAGCCAGTGACATCGTGTCCAAAGGCCTAGGTTCACATGAGTTCCCTCCCAGCTGTCTCCTCCAAAGACCCCGCTGGGTTCACAAAGTGTCCCACTGAGCCTCCCTTCCACTGACCTGCTCCCCCTTAGATAAGGGGGGAGCCACCAAATCCCTTTGGTTCCTCTCAATGTTGCTCTTCCTCCCCTAATCCACCCCATCCTGGTGGCCACTGTCCCTCTTCCCTGGCCTGGGTTCAGCTCTCCCCTACCCTCAGTATCTTAGGGAAGCAGAGATTGCACAAAGCTCCCAAAGCTCTGATTGTTCTGGTTCTAACTATCAGATTAAACCTGGGCCCTGCAGCTGGAGCTTTTGAATTCACCTCTTCCCCACCCTCCACCTTCACCCCGCACCCCCTGCGCCTGGCCTGGGTCCCAGTGTCGACGTGGAGGGCTCATCCATCCCACCCTCAGAGTCCTCTCCTCTTGGCAACCCTCCTCCTTGAAAATCTGTCACACAAACCTCGGGCCCCACCCACTGGGACTGCACTTCGTCCACTGGAACTGCCGGGCACACACCCTCGCCCTGGCGACGTGGAGGGTGTGGCAGTGCCTCTGGCCGCAGGTGAGGCCCCTTGGTCTTTGTACCTGGCTCACCTGTTCTGGGCTGCTCGGTGGCTGTCAGGTGAGCTCTGGAGATTGTTCCGGGCACCCCTGTGAACTGCTCATCTCCTTTCAGGTCTGCGGTGACAGCTCTTCTTCAGAGAGAAGGACAACAAGGTCCCAGTGGCCCCTCCTCAGGTAAAACCAAGGCTTCTGGAACCAGAGGGGTGGGGTGGGGGTGGGGAAGGGAGCGCTCCAAGCCTTTCCTCATGGGCTACTTGTTAGTATTTTTATAAAGAGATGCTGTGTGAGATTAGGAAAAGGCTCTCCCGCCTGTTAAAATGTTTGAAAACCACAGCTCTGGGGTAAGCAATTTGGAGCTGGCCATCTGGGTCCCATCCTGAACCTGACTCAAGCGGAGTGCAATACACCCAATCTATGGAGAAAACAATAACTCCCTCAATATATGGGAAAAGGATTTGAAGCAGCACTTCATAAAAGGAATCCAAATTAAGCATCCTGAAAAATGTAACCAGATACCACTGCCCACTAAACTATCAAAAACTTTTTTTTTTTTTTTTGAGACCCGTCTGTCTCTGGGGCTGGAGTGCAGTGGTGCAATCTCAGCTCACTGCAATCTCTACTTCCCGGGCTCAAGTGTTCCTCTCACCTCAGCCTCCTGAGTAGCTGGAACTACAAGTACACACCACCACGCCTGGCTAATTTTTGTGTTTTCTGCAGAGCCTGGTGTCGCCATGTTGCCTTAGCTGGTCTCCAACTCCTGGGCTCAAGCGATCTGCCCGCCTTGGCCTCCCAATGTGCTAGGACTACAGGCACAAGCCACTGTGCCCAGCCAAAAATCACATTTTTTAATGTTAAAACCCAGAGTTGGTAAGGATGTTGTGAAACACATATTCTCAAACAATCAGTAAATTGACAGAACCTTGGTAGAAAGCAGTTTGGCAATATGTATCAGAAGCGTTAAAGTTTACTGAGTAATTCTACTCTTGAATCCATCCCAAAGAAGTAATTCAGACTACTGGCCCATTCTCAGGAACAAAAGCAGAAACTAGTGACCCCTGACAGTCAGGAACCTCAGACTAGGAGCGAAAACAAGACTACTGTAAGAGCCCACTCCTTCTCAAATATTGACAAATTAAGCGTTGTCAGGGTTGCCAGGGTGGTCACCAGGCTGGGGGCAGGGAGATTTGGGGATCCAAGGTGGTGGTGACTGGATGGAAGAAAAAAAGGGGAAATAGATGAGACCAGCAGCTCGCAGGGAGGGAGGAAGAAGATCGTTGGAGTTTTCACCAATGGCTCAGTGGGGGTGGGTGACAAATGTAACCTTCAGGGGACTGAAAAAAGAGGCAAAGGTCTTGTTTTGTGGGAATCGAGGGGGATCGACAAGAAGGACAGTGTAGGGAATGTTACTCTTCCCCCAGAACGTGTCCTGGAAGTAAGGGTGGTGCTGGATGCTGCTCATTTACATATTTCTGGATATGTTTGCATATCACTTATATCAGCCTTGGCAAGAAAAGTAGAGAGAAAAAGGAAATTGGAGTCAGGTGACTTGGCTGCACCTCTCAGGGACTGCCATTTACTTCTCTGAGTCTCCGTCTCCTCATCTGTAAGTGGGGCCAGCTGTACCCATTTGGGGTAGTTGTGCAGTATAAATGCACCCCCAGTGTGAAAAGCATATTCTCTGAGGTGCTGGGTGACGCCTTCTCTGATATCCCCAAGAGGCGGCTGTTACTTCTGCAATTCTGATGCTCATGTCCAATCTCCCTCTTGTCTTTGCCATGGACTGGCTCATAGCTGTGTCCCCGCTTCAGGAGGGAAAGAGAAAGGAAGGAAGGGAGGGAATGAGTTTGAGGTCCCAAGCAGGCCGCAGGTGGCCTCAGATGAGGCCATTCTGGCTGCAGCTCCAGGTCAGCAGGGGGCAGGGCTGCCACTTGTTCTCAGTCGGCAGGGGTTCCTATTACCTTCCTACTCTACACACAGCTAGGGTCAGGTGATGGAATAAAATACTGAGTGCTTGCGGGGGGAGTGGGGGGCACAAGCTTTGTTCTCTTCATCTGGCCTCAGAGTTAGAAAACAGAACCCTCATTCCCTGGGACTGGAAGTTGGGATGGTGGGGGAGCACCTTACCCCCCAACCCCAGGGCTCCACATGGGCAGGGTCCCTGGTCCTGCAGAGACAACCCACAGAGTCACACACACAAGGCCGTCCCTCCTTCTGCTTTGAAGGATGGAATTTGCTGACATAGCTTGAGCCTCCTGTCTCTCAGTTCTGTTTTTAGCTTGATAGATCTGAAGGTGTCAGATCTATCAGGGGCTGGTTACCTCCCTTTCTAGTATGCAGACTGCAAGCTTGTGCAATACATGCACAGAAACACTCAGCTATCAAGAGAGAAAGGGCCTGTTTGGCCTCAGCCTAAGGTCCTCTAGTTATCCCAGGGGCCATGGGTGGACTGGCTGAGTTTTGATGAAGGGATCTTCTCTGTGAATCTTGAACCCTGAGTTCCTCTGCTGAGGCCATGTTCCTTCACACAGATGACGGCTGTCAGGGAACAGCCCCAACAGAAGTGTGGAGGCCTGGAAGGGCACAGTGGGGGACTGCTCGGGTCAGGGCCCCTGGAGCTCCAGGAGCAAGAGGAGACAGAGGAATCAGGCCACCAGATATAGCCTGCCCTTCCCTGCCTAGGTGCCTGGGCAACCTCCTGGAGTCCGCAGGCACTACTGAAGGGCCATAGGGGAGCAGTGTGGTATGATGTGTAGTTTAGAAAGACCCCACCAGCTGCCAGGTGGGCCAGAGGAGGGAGACAAGGTGGAATCTGTTACAGTGTCTAGGTTGGAGAGGGCGAGGCCTGAACTGGGATATGGCTGTGGGAATGGATCCAGGGGACTAGGGGGCAGAATTGTGAGCTGGGAAGAGGAGACAGGGTATGGAAGAGGTCCAGGGCCCAGAACTATTTGGGAGACAGAATTGTATGTGGGGAAGTGGGGGGAGGAGGAGTAATAAACTTCTAGAGGAAGATGTAGAGTTGTCAATCAAATACATGTGGTCAGAGATCAGGAGATACCTGGGCTGGCTGTCACCTGGAAACAGGTAACCCACAAGGGATCAGCCGAGAAGGGAGGGAAGAGGCAAGAGAAAGTCCAGCCCCTAGGAAGTGGGCAGGGAAGGGGCTCTGAGGGATCCTCCAAGGGCCCTGAGAAGGAGCAGTCCCATGGTGCGGGGAGCAAGAGGATGGCGCCAGGACCAAGGGGCAGCAAGTGGAGAACAGATGAGGAATGAGCCTCTTACACCTCCGGTTGGGCCTATTTCCTAAGGCCAATCTGGTTGAAACTGCATGGACTGTTTTCTCAGAGGTGCTGACCTCTGTTCTGGACGTTTTCTTTCCAAAACTTTACCAAGAAAGTCTAGTGAGACACTCTGTCTTCCTTTTCTCTTGTGGTGTGCGGGGGAGGGCAGGCAGCCTCAGGTGGGTTGCCATCCAGACCCCCAACCAGCCAGAGGGCCACTCAGCCCTCCTGGAGTTCAGGACAGATGCAGCCAGCATGCTCTGAGCAGAAGGGATGACTTGAGCCAGCTTGCTCTGCACAGTGTAGGTGGGATGCTATCCGGACAGGCTAAGCATTTAAGTTAAACAAACCTGGCTGGGCGCAGTGGCTCAAGCCTGTAATCCCAGCACTTTGGGAGGCTGAGGCGGGTGGATCACCTGGGGTCAGGAATTCGAGACCAGCCTGGCCAACATGGTGGAACCCGATCTCTACTAAAAATACAAAAAAAATTAGCTGGCACATGCCTGTAATCCCAGATACTCGGGAGGCCGAGGCAGGAGAATCGCTTGAGCCCAGTGGGGGGTGGAGGTTGCAGTGAGCAGAGATTGCACCATTGCACTCCAGCCTGGGCGACAGAGCGAGACTCCATCTCCAAAACAAAAAACAAAACAAAACAAAACAAACAAAAAAACTAACTGGGGGCAAACTAAGTGAATGCAGGGGATCCTCCCCTCAGGCCCGTGTTCCCCAGCTGCCCCTCCTGGAGGATGCCTCCTTGTCTGCAGTCAGTGATCTGGTAGTCATTATGGTCCTCAAAGGCATGGCCCTGGCAAGGCAGGATTCCCTAAGTGGCTCCACCTCCCTGAGTCCACTCTCAGTTCCCTTTCTGTCCCACCACCACACCTGTTCCTCCCTTGCTCACGGCTTGCTCCACCCAATACCCACCACCTTCCTATCTCCACACCCTCCCTCGGGGACACCCCACCCTTAACTATACACAACTAGGAGGCAAAGTCTCTGCTGCCAGAAACCCTAGGCCCTTGCCGTGCAATACCCTGAGCAGCCACTATGCTGCATCTGACTCGCCCAGTGCCCCCAGCCTCCCTGCTTAACAGCTGCTGCCCAGCCTGCCCCTGCCAGCCCTGGGTGCACTGTCAGCTAGCCACACCTGGCAGTGTCTCGCCAAGCTGGGCCTCTGGGCTTTGTCTCTATCTGAGCCCACCTTAAAGGATCCCCAGTGTTGCCTCCTGCCCCTCCCCTACAGGGCTCACTTGGACCCTGTGACCAACCCATACCCTGACCCCTGGCAGAGGTTTCCGGTGGATTTACTTCTCCACGTCTACGGATTTACTGTGCTACCTGTGTCACCAAAGCAACCGCTTCTCTGAGCAGAAAGTTTCTACTACAAATTAAAAGATTAAGACTCAGCTCCCCTGATGCTTCATGGTGCTAGAAGAACTTGGACAGGTAGGAATGGACTTTTTTAGGCCACACTGAGGAGGTGAGGAGTGAGCCTACCGCCTGGCCTGGATTCAGGACAAAGGAACATCATTATTGTTTCATTATCCTTGAGAGCAGGAAGAGTTGGATTGGATTGGAGGGTAGATCTGGCTGTATTCTTGAGAAACTGCAAGCTGTCCGTAATGAGGCTTGTTTTCAGCATCAAGTAAGTGGACTAATTACACAGCCAATCAGAAGCTGTCCTCTATTGGTCAGGATGGGATGGGTCATGCGGTGGTTATAATCAAAGGTTTTCTTCTTGCCCACACTACATGTGGGTTAGCTGGGGCCCTGCTCCATGTCTCTTCACCCTGGACTGAGGCTGACGGAGCAGCCACCATCTCCAACACTGCAGGTCAATGTGGCAGAGGGAGAGAGCTCTGGAAGGTTCCACATCTACCGTTTAAGTACTTAAGCGCAGCAATACCCGAGATCACTTTCACTCACAGCTCATTGGTCAGAACTCATCACGTGATCCCACCCAACCGCCAGAGGACCAGGAAGTGCAGTCCTACCTCTTGGCTGGACATCAGGTTCCAGGTGCTCCAGGGGCCAGAGGAAGTGAGGCAAGAGTCCTGTCTCGGGCTTGGAAGCAGAGGTAAACTAAAGGGAAAAGAGCTCTG
Source organism: Homo sapiens (assembly GCF_000001405.40). Lineage (NCBI taxonomy): Eukaryota > Metazoa > Chordata > Mammalia > Primates > Hominidae > Homo > Homo sapiens. Next base: position 68,381,388 of record NC_000016.10, on the reverse strand, counting down.
GTCTCCCCTTATCAGATGTACAGCAGCCCTTGGTTGGGCCTGAGCTGGGGCATCCTCTCTCAAAGGGGAGGGTGTTCTGGCTGGTTCTCTTGGATCCAAGGGCTTTCATGGTGCCGTGTGCAGAGGGATGGTCTTTCATGGTGCCATGTGTAGAGCAGTGGCCTGGGGTTAGAGGTCTCCAAAAGGGTCCAGGACGGGGCCTCAACCCTCAGCAGTGAGGCCTTGCCCCAGTCCAAAAAGCCCAGCCGCCTGGGAGGGTGAGTGAAATGCTGACACCTGATTTTATTTACTCATTCTCACTCACTTGCTTCTTAAGGTCTGCATAAATTTTCCTCTAGGACTCAGTTTGTTAAATGTTCTTTGCATAGAAAACTTTAGACTGAATGTGAAATGATTCCCTTCCGAAGAATGTTAGCCCGTCTGTTCTGTTTTAGGAAGGTTTGTCGTCTTAATCTGTGTTCTCTGGTGCCTTGAAATGCCTACACATCGTGTAGTCGGCCAATCCGTTCCAGAAGGAAATGCTGTACTTGAAATGCAGCCGACACAGGGTCTGCCTAAATCCTAACATTTGTGTGGACTTGTGTTTAAAATTCTACTCCCACAGACAGTATGCTGTCATCCCCTCTTAAGTAAAGCATATTCCAAGCCTTGTTAGGCTCATGAACCATTAACATCAGCCTTCATGTCAGGGAAGTAGGGACTTGGCTGGGACAGAAATCTCAACAGCAGAACCTGAGAGAAGCAAGGCCCTCCTGGTCTCCTTCCTATGAAGGGCAGAGGTGGTGCTGAGGGCAGAGGGCCTCCTGAGGATGCAGGTGGCGCTGGTCAGCCGGGAGCAGGTGACGTGACCTGCTTTGGTGTTCCAGGATCCCTTGCTTTGGTGACTTGCAAGGCCCAGCCCAGGCACAGGCCTCAGCACCCAGGCAGGCTCAGAGCACTTGAGGTTGGAGGCCTTGCCTGGCTAGATGCTCAGCTGTGGCCTGTGATTGCTCCAGTTCGGCCCCGGAGCTGCCTCAGGTGGAGGAGGTTCCCCATCTTCATCCTGAAGCAAGACTTTGCCCCTGGCCTCCTCTCTGTCTTGGGCTCAGCCTCCATGAGGGCATAGGACTGGCGGGAGCCCTGCGGGCTTCTGCCCTTGCAAACTCTGGCAGATAAGTCTGGTTGTCAGGCTGGTTTGTGAGCAGAACACAGGAATGAGAGGAGGTGCTGCCTGGTGTGGCTCAGACGTGGGTCTAGGTGCCAGCCTCCATCCAGCCTTCTCCTTGCTGGCACCCTTTGTGGTCACTAATAGATGACTTTGGAGTGACAGGTGGTAGAGAGTGGGCAGTCAGGTCTTCAAACTCAGCTGTCCCCCTAGGATGGGGCCCATGCCTCCAGGGCAACTGCCCATGTCACCGTGGCACAAGGGCCTGGACCCAGGGGTCCTGCTGTTTGAAACATCACGTTGGCTCTTGCACCTCTAGGACGTGCACCACTCACCTGGCTTGAGATTTGCTTTCCAGTCACGCCCGAGTTGGCTTCATCTGGGCTTTCTGACTTCGCCAGGGAAATGCCGAGGCTGGCTGGTTGAAGGAGTGCCCCAGAGCTGCTCACAGCCTGTTCCTATTCTCAGAAATCACACGGTGCAGTAATACCTCCTGTGAAAAGTTTCTTTTTGAAAATTGTATGGCCCCTTTGCCTGCACCTGGCTTCTGCAGAAGCCTGTGCCTTGGGCTCGCACAAGCAGCCCACAACAGATGGCTCTGATAACCTCCTGCGAGGAGACGGAGGCCCTGACGTCGTCCCCTGCACTGTCCTCGCCATGCACCTGGGAGAGCAGAGAACCCTCTTTGTAAGGCAAACCAGCCTCAAGAGGAGGAGACTTTGAAGGCTCCGGCTGTATCTTCAGGACTTTGCAGCAAGGGAATTAACAGTGATAGCAAAATGATAAAAATAAGCGTCCTAGAGATGAGGCAGGCACCACACTCGGTGCTGCACGTGCACCATCTGCAACTACCCTGAGAGACGGTTATTACCAAGGCTTAACATGTGAGGAAACTAAGGCACAGTCAGTTGAGCAGCCTGTCCAATATCCAGCAGGTCGACCTGGCCCTGCATGTCCAACACCAGAGTTTGTGCTCCCAGCATCTGCTCCACTGTGGTCTCCCAAGGGATGCCGATAAGGCACAGGCCAGAGGCACCAGGTTCTGCAGGGCCTCCCAGGACTCAGGGGAGCCTCCACTTTTCCCAGTGGGACGTCAACGGGGAGCCACAGGAGGTTTGCACAGGAGAGGACCTGATAGAATCGCATTTTAGAAAGATCACATAGCTGTATCTGAGACAGGATCCATTTGGTGGCAAATGCCAGAAACCAACTCAAAGGGACTAGAGCAAGGAAAAGGGGAACTGCTGAATCATTAATTGGAAAGTCTGTGGGTTGTGCTGGCTTTGGGTGCGGGGAGATCAGAGCTCAACGATGTCTCTAGGACTTGGTCTCTTTCCTTCCAGCCCTAAGGTCTGTTTTCCTCTGAATTGGATTCATTCTCAAAGAAGGTTCCAGAAGCTTCAGGTTCCTAACCTTCCATCTCAGATAAAATGCAGGCCTCTTTCCTAAAGGGCCCAGTAAGGGTTCCAGGGAGAGCTTAGGGTAGTCTAGCTGGGTTGTGTGACCTTCCAGGTCAGGAGGGCTGGTGCTGAGTGGCCTGGGTGGCTCACTGCCCTCCCTGTGGAGTGCAGCAGGGTGGGCTTCAGGCTTGTGGTGGTGCCGAGACTTGGAGCTCCATCCAGGACGTGCAAACAGACACGTGCCTGATTAGAGTGACAGACTGAGGGGGTGGGGGGGTGTGCAGGTCAGGGAGGACTGCAGGGAGAAGGAGGCAGGTGCTTTGGATCTAGATGGATGAACAGGCATTTACCTGGCACACCTGTGTCTGTAGGAGCCGCTGCCACAGCACACATGTTCTTGCCAGACCCCAGACCCCAATTCTACCTGGGATGTGGCTTTCGGGAATTAGCGTGGATGTGTCCAACCTGCATCACTCAGAAAGGCATCCGCTTCTGTCTTTCTGTCCTCCCAGCCACGAGTTGACTTAAGTTTCAGCAGCTCAGAGCTCATGTTGCCATGCCAACTCCTCTGCAGCATGCATCCAGGCAGAAATGGCCCGGCCTGAGCTCAGTGCCACAGGCGGATGCAGGCACCTTGGGTAATTGGATTGGAGCAATCCACGTGGCTTTTCCTGCGGAAACCAGGGGCTTGGCATAGCTCCTGTTTAGACATGAGCTTGTGGACACGGCAGGGACTCAGAGGAGGCCTCTCTGCTCTGGGACTCCCAGCCCTGCTGCCGGGAAGAGCAGTGTCAGCAAGCACATGAGCCAGAGGAAAGGGCAGTGGAGGGGAGACAGGCCTCATCCTAGCGCCAAAGTGGGGCAACTCCCAAACCTACTCAATTTTCCAGAAGCTCCCCCGGGCTCAGAGATCCCTAGAAAATGCTGTAGGCTTCCTCACAGGGGCCAGGGCTTGCCTTACCAGCAGAACTGGTCTGGCTTGTTCACTTTCCCACCACCAGAGAAATTCAAATTCAAAGCCAGGATCCACCTAGGACCCTTTGCACCACTGTGCAAGCAGAGCCAGTGTGCCATTACACCTGCATGTCTATTGCCAGGGAGTTGGGAAATGGGATGACTGTCTTGGTGCTGGTGGTATTTGACGTCCAGTAGCAGAGGTCCTGGCCACCATGGCTTGTCCAGACAGGACCAGCCTGGCTAGGCCTTATTCCTGGGATCACCCTCCGCTGGTGATGGCAGATCAGCTGCCCCCTGAGCCCTCAGGCCAGTGTCTAGGGAGGGGGGCTCTGGCTCAGTGCAGGCCTCTGAGCAGCCATAGTCTCCCACTGTCCGTGCCGTGATGCCTCAGGTCATATGTCAGCAACAGGGGTCTCATGGCTGCAGATTGACTACAAATTATCAGTCACTCGCAGGAGCAGCCGCAGTCTGGGGCTGCCGGCTGTCAATGCCACACACCCACCAGGAGCGGCTGGGGCTGTGGCCACCTGGGTCCTGCCCAGGACTTGTTCACTTCTTCCCCTCATCCCCTCACAGCTGGACTTGGGGTTTTCTGGGCTCCCAAAGTCCCAGGGCAAGTTCTCCTCCTGCTTGGGTCAACCTGCAAACCATGGAGCTCTCTGCTCCCTGCAGCCCAGTCCCCACTGCAGGGAACAGCCACAAGCTAGTGAAGTCCAGCAGCTCCAGCCTAGGCAGTGTGGCTGATGTCTCTGAGGCTCCTGAAGGCGCTCTGGGACAGTCAGGATCCTGGGACTTCTGTGGGTGGGCTCCAGTGACCCCCAGAACCGTGCCCAGGACACCAGGCTGGGGAGAGCAAACAGGGCACACAAGGGCTGACCCTCAGGGGAGGAGTGGTCGGGAGGTCCTACCAGGAGCGGGTAGGGAAGGAAGCAGGGCCTGGCCAGGTCTCTAGCCTGGTTCCTTTCTGTCCTTATGATCATCCTGGGAGGTAGAAAGTCCTGACTAGTGCAGGGTTGCACTCAGGTCACCCTGAGTCCCAAGCCCAAGCTAAGCAGTGGCCGGTGAAGCCGAGGGCCAGGGGCAGGTCTAAAGTCTCCTTTTCTAGGTCGGGGCTGACTCCCAGGAGCCCAGCCTTGGGGTACTGTGTGGCCTCCCACACTGACCCCAGGGCTCAGGAGTGACCATGGGGCCTGCCAGGACCTATGACGACCTGGAGACAACGGGACTCCAACTCAGGTCTGGAGAGCATGGTGTTGGGGGATGTCATTCTGGGCAACCTCAGAAGCTACATACCAGGATTCGCAAAGGGGACAAATCCATGGATAACTGTGGACTTCAAAATAAGGAGCCCTGGGGGAACAATGCAGTCTGAGGTTGAGCTGCAAAAACTCAGCCCTCAAGGCCTTTGGGGGTCCTGCCAGTCCCCTCAGAGGGGCCCACAGTGGACTCTACTTGGCAAACTTGCCAGTCCAGGGACATGGAAGCAGAGAGCGGGGGCATGGAGTCCCCCACCTGGAGACAGACTCTGGCCTGGGCCCACTCAATGGCCCAACTAGGCCAAAGGAGCGCAGGCAACAGGAAGGGGACAGGCACCAGTGCGGCTGAGCACCACCACGCAGCAGGCCCGGGCCAGGGAGCATGTCCTGCCTTGGCCACCTCTCTGAGGACTTGGGGGTTTCTCTGAAAAGTTACCAGCCTCTAATGTTTAACTGTAGTTCTCCTCTTTCATGGGAAAGTGTAGATCAGACTAATTAATGTGTTGTTGCTTATTTACCCTCCTTTCATTTCCCTGAGACAAGATAATTAACCACAGAGCCTTAGAAACTAGCTCCATGGTTTCTCCATGGGTGGCAATCCCTTTTGTGTCTCCTGCGCCAGCGGCTTCTATGCAGAGGCAGGGGCCGCACACAGGAGCAGGGCAGGGGGCAGCAGCTGGGAAGCTGGCGAGGGGCTATGGACGGGGGACCTGGAGTCACTAGGAGGGGCCTGGAAGGGCAGCGGGAAGGGCTGGCATGCTTGGCTCTGCCACTTCCTAGAGGAGTGATCTTGGGCCACTCCTGCCCACCAGCTGCCAGTCACCTCAAATCCCATCAATTCCTGAATAAGGACCAAAGACAGTCCTCTGGCCAGCCCAGGAGAAGTGTAAAGATCAGGACTGGCCACTCACTACCATTGCTGGCAGGGCCATGGGAAGCTGGCCCACAGGGTTTCTGGGATCACAGCAGGAGAAAGGGGGGCCCAGGGCAGCTGAGGAGAGAGTCTCTCTCCTCTACACCCTCCATAGCCCCATCTCAGCCAATAGCAGATCCCAGCCCTGATGGGCCAGTGTCAGGGATGCGCCACACGGGAGAGCAGTTTTGCAGAATTCCCTTAGGAACCCTTTGATGAAGTGAGTCTCCACCCTCCTCTGACCCATGAGGGAGCTGTGGCCACACTGTGGAATAGCAGCCAGTTCTGCCAGGACGGCAGCATGGTGCAGACAGGATAGACCTTCTCCTCCCGAATCCTTCTGCCAAAGTGTCCTCACGCCAGGGCTCAGCCTGCACAGCCCTTCCTGCTGGTGGAGCCCAGGGTGGGGGTGGATGAGGGAAAAGCTGGTGGAGGCAGAAGCACAAAGGGCCCCTAGATACAGACTGGGAGACTGGACTTTGTCCCCCAAGACAGTGAGACCACCAAAGGGAGAGAGAGAATCGGCTGTGTCTGGGAGGACCCGCTGCACACTGGTGGTGGGCTTGGGGCTGTGGCTGAGGCTGAGGGCAACAGGGCAGTGCCGGGGTGAGGCAGGAGCTCAGGTGAGGATGGTGCTGGCCAGGCTGGGCTGGTGACCTCAGGCCACAGAGATGAGGGTGACTCAGGAATGGGCCTGCTTCATGACATTGGGGTGACGTCCAGGTGGCCCCAAGAATCTGGCCTGGACCTTTAACCTGAGGCCTTAGTGCCAACTGCAGGGACTATTGGTGGCTGGAGAGCCTTGAGAGACCCCCATCCCGCCCCCATTGTCCCCACAGGGACAGGACCTGCAAGCTCTCCCTCTGGCCCCAGCTGGTCCACCAGAGACAGGTGCCTGTGGGTGACTCTGTGTCCCCTCCTGTGGATGTCAGTCCAGCCAGTGTGAAGACAGCCGGCTCCACACAATGAGGGCTGCAGGTTTGCTGGGGGGGAACCCTCCAGCCTGGGAGGGAGAGTGAGTGGGCTGTCGCTCCCTCTGCAGGTTTGATTCATCTTGCAGCAATTGCTGGGATTTTAGAGAAAGAATGAGGGAGTACGTCCTGGAGTCTCCCAAGCCAGATGGCAGGCGGGGGTGGACCTGGACACCCACCAGTCCCGCTGAGCACTGAGCCACGAGCACTGGCCGCAGAGTGAGATGCCCATGTCCCAGATTTCACTGAGGCCCAGCACAGAGCTGCTTTCCCATGGCTCCAGGTTGCCCCGCTGTGGTCTGCACAGATACACATGCTGCTCCAAACTGCACCCGTCCAGTGTTGGCTTCAAAGGCATTTCCCCTGAGGAGAGTGACAGCCTTGTGAAGCTGCTTATCAGAACCAGATACAGCCCCAGCTCAAGTTCACCTTTAGACGCTAAGCCCTGGAGATGGTGACTGCAGACTTGCCCTGGGGCCTCTGACATGCCCCACAGAAACCCCCTCCGCACACCTCGGGTTGGTGGGAAAACAGCTGCCCCCTCTCTGGCTGGAGGCATCCAGGTGAACCTCCCCTCATCCCCCATGTCCTGCATACCTGCTGGTGCAAGCCTGGGACTCTAGGGCGCCCCTGTGCAGCCTATTCTTTCCTGAAGCTTGCGGTCTGCTGGGCAGGTGGCCATATCCCAGAGCATTTGTGATACAGAACTGCAGAGACCAGGCCACACGTGGCGGGGATGAGAGCCACCGGTGGAGACACCTAAGCCACCGGGGCAAGGGGTCCAAAAGTCTTCTAAGGAGGGAATTTCTAAGTTGAGTCTTAGAAAGGGTGAGCGAGGCGAGGGGCAGAGGATGGGGAATGGCAGGCAGGGACGGGACACAAGTGAGAGGCGGGCGTCCAGGGGAGGGGGCTGCAGAGACCCGCAGGCCTGACAGAGGGGCTGAGCTCCCCACTAAGGGCTGAGGGAGTTCCAGTAGGTGTGAGGCAGCTGTGACACAGCGGACTACATAGAGAGCATCCCTGCAGCCCTTGTGGAGGCTGATAAAGTTGGGGAACCGTGATGCAGTCCCAGGCCGGTGCAGGGGGTCCAGCAGGAGTGGCAGGGACTGATGGGGACTGAGGAAAGGCAGAGTCCAGTGACACCTAGGTCCCTGGCTTGGGTGACCAGGGATTCAGGAGGAGGAGAGGGTGTGGGGCCAGGATGGATGGCACCGTGGGCTCAGACCCCCCAAAGTGCCAGGGCAGGAGCTGGGCTGAGTCAGCAAGACAGTGGGTGGGAAAAGAGTGGCCCAACTGCTCCAGTCATGGAAAGTCTGGGTTACGCTTCTATAGGCTCCCCGACGGGGTGATCACACGTGGGTCCCCGGAGACTGGGCAAACACTCCAGAAGCTTGTCTTTATTGATTTTACATTCAGCACAATAGATGCACCTGGCAGCCTTGCCTAGGTGGAGCTCTGAGTCTGCTCTGAGACCCACTTGTGGCTCCCACAGGGGACCCAGGGTGGGCTTATTCAGATGGCTGTGGGTCTCGACTGGGCTGCATCTTGGAGTACATGAGGGACAGCGGTTAAAGCTTGGGCCAGACCCACACAGCCCCAGGGAGCTTCTCCAAAAGTCACAGGGACTGTCAGGGGAACTCTGATGGTTCTGGAAGTTGGTAAGACGCAGGCTGCGCTTGGATCCTCATTGCTGGGGGGTTTCTCCCGCGGTCAGTGGAGTGGAAGCACCAGGCTTGGTGTGATCCTGCAGGCTGGGGCCACAGTGACAGCCCGGTTGTGCATGGAGGGGGACCGCCCTCCCCTGCGGCCCTGCTGGCCACACTGCCCTCTGCTCCAGGAGTCTCTGGCCCCTTTGCTCTGCTGTTTTTTCCTGCTCTGTCCTTAGCTGGCAGGCACTCCATGACAAGTGGCCATGTTTGTGGCTCCTCTGACCCAGGGTCACCTGCCCTCTCATTCTAAAAACTGCCCTGGCTCCTGATGGGCTTCCGGCGGCCCCCGGTCAGGGTGGGCCCAGGCATCCTCTAGGATGCCCTGCCTGCTCCCTTTGCACCCACAAATCTGTAAGTCTCTGAAAACCAGGACCATTTTTCAAGCAATTGGGTTACAAGGTCAAGATGGTTAGTTAGGGGCAGTCATATCACCAAGCTATTCGCTCCAAGAGAACAGCATACATGGAGGAAGCGGTGTGCGGGGGCTGTCTCCCAGCCACCTGCTGAGCCTGCCAGCTCCAGCCTGGTTCTCAGAACTGTCCCACTCACACCAGGGGAAGCAGGAGTGGGATGAGCTGGGGCAAAGGCCCCATATCTGACCCACTCCCCTGAAGATCACTAAAAACAGTCCCCCTACTTTTGTCTCTGCAGGGTCTGCAGTAGGCCTCCGCATGGCCCACCGAGGTGAACCATGACCGGCTGGCCAACATTCGCCATTGACCAGCCGGAGTTGCATCTCGCCAGGAGGTGACCCCTCCTCCAGCTGCCCCCAACTCGCCCACCCTCGCCCAGGAAAGTGCCCGCAGCTGCCACGGACACCATGTAGTAGGGCCGGCTGCGGCGCCCAGTGAGCTGCGATGGTTTTGTACACGACCCCCTTTCCTAACAGCTGTCTGTCCGCCCTGCACTGTGTGTCCTGGGCCCTTATCTTTCCATGCTACTGGCTGGTGGACCGGCTCGCTGCCTCCTTCATACCCACCACCTACGAGAAGCGCCAGCGGGCAGACGACCCGTGCTGCCTGCAGCTGCTCTGCACTGCCCTCTTCACGCCCATCTACCTGGCCCTCCTGGTGGCCTCGCTGCCCTTTGCGTTTCTCGGCTTTCTCTTCTGGTCCCCACTGCAGTCGGCCCGCCGGCCCTACATCTATTCACGGCTGGAAGACAAGGGCCTGGCCGGTGGGGCAGCCCTGCTCAGTGAATGGAAGGGCACGGGGCCTGGCAAAAGCTTCTGCTTTGCCACTGCCAACGTCTGCCTCCTGCCCGACTCACTCGCCAGGGTCAACAACCTTTTTAACACCCAAGCGCGGGCCAAGGAGATCGGGCAGAGAATCCGCAATGGGGCCGCCCGGCCCCAGATCAAAATTTACATCGACTCCCCCACCAATACCTCCATCAGCGCCGCTAGCTTCAGCAGCCTGGTGTCACCACAGGGCGGCGATGGGGTGGCCCGGGCCGTCCCCGGGAGCATTAAGAGGACAGCCTCTGTGGAGTACAAGGGTGACGGTGGGCGGCACCCCGGTGACGAGGCTGCCAACGGCCCAGCCTCTGGGGACCCTGTCGACAGCAGCAGCCCGGAGGATGCCTGCATCGTGCGCATCGGTGGCGAGGAGGGCGGCCGGCCACCTGAAGCTGACGACCCTGTGCCTGGGGGCCAGGCCAGGAACGGAGCTGGCGGGGGCCCAAGGGGCCAGACGCCCAACCATAATCAGCAGGACGGGGATTCAGGGAGCCTGGGCAGCCCCTCGGCCTCCCGGGAGTCCCTGGTGAAGGGGCGAGCTGGGCCAGACACCAGTGCCAGCGGGGAGCCAGGTGCCAACAGCAAGCTCCTGTACAAGGCCTCGGTGGTGAAGAAGGCGGCTGCACGCAGGAGGCGGCACCCCGACGAGGCCTTCGACCATGAGGTCTCCGCCTTCTTCCCCGCCAACCTGGACTTCCTGTGCCTGCAGGAGGTGTTTGACAAGCGAGCAGCCACCAAATTGAAAGAGCAGCTGCACGGCTACTTCGAGTACATCCTGTACGACGTCGGGGTCTACGGCTGCCAGGGCTGCTGCAGCTTCAAGTGTCTCAACAGCGGCCTCCTCTTTGCCAGCCGCTACCCCATCATGGACGTGGCCTATCACTGTTACCCCAACAAGTGTAACGACGATGCCCTGGCCTCTAAGGGAGCTCTGTTTCTCAAGGTAGGAGACCTCGGCCCAGCCTGAGGACCACGTGCCAGCTGGTCCTAGAGCCATGTAGGCAGGGGGGCTGCAGCGGGGAGTCCTCATCGTCATGGGGGCTGGAGTGGGAGGTTGGAGTGGGAGGCAGACGCGGTCTTTCCTGGAGCCAAACAGCAGGGCCCTGGCTCGGGGACAGGGTCAAGACCAATGCAGGGATGAGCACCGAGGCTCTGGGCTCAGACAGACCCATCTGGGTGATCTGGGCCCGTTCCTCAGATCTCTGAGCCACCATTTCCCCAACTGTAAAGTGGAGAGAGGGTGGGAGTGGAACAGAGCAGTAAGGCCTGGGAAGGGTTCCGAGCTGGCGCAAGAGTGGCGGTGGTAGCCGTGGAGATGGTGGCAGTGATAAAGTGAGGAAGAACAGGAGGTAGGGGCCCTGTCGGTTCATAACGAGGCAGAGAGACCAGCCCAGACCAAGCGCATCAGGCAAGCAGACGGGACCCTCAGGTCTCCAGGCCGTGACACCGCCTGGCTCACTGAGGCCACTAGCTTCCCTGGCCTGGACACCCCTCCCTCCTGGCTGTCGTGCAGCTGCCCTGCCAGGCTGTCTGCCCACCAGCCATGGTTTCGCTTCCATAGTCACTAATTAAAGTGAATCATAATTATTTCTGCTAATTTGGATTCGATTGGAGGAGTTTTTAGGCTGTGGTAATTTGGTCATTACACATTATCTTCTACTGCGCCTGAGATGCTCAGAGTGTCGACTTTTGTTCTCTATCCAAAAGCCGCTCATGGTGCTTCCACGGTTTTCTGAAGTGTCATTTGGCCAGTGGATGCAGCACAGGGCTTTCTGCCCTGAGAGGCAGCAGCTGTTTCAGATGTGGGTTCTGTCCCTTTAGGGTGAGACATGAAAAAGTGGTGGCTTTGCAGGGAGGGCTGCGGTTCAGAGGCCTGCCTAGGGCAGGTTTCCTCACTTCCCAGTTCGCCTTCAGAAGCAACCACACTCCGCCTGCCCAGGGAAACACTGGTGCGCAACCTGGCGCCTGCCATGAGTGGCAGAGCTTGTCTTCAAGCCCTATGGGAGCCAGGGCAGGCAGCAAGGGCCCTGGCCCCCACTTCTGGTTCGTCCATGGCTCTTGTGTGGCTCTGCCAGGCCCAGAGTTTGGGTCCTCTGCTCTTCATTCACAGCAAGGGATGCTGAAATTGAAGCAACTCCTGACAGATAGATCCAACCTTCCCATTTTGGCATATGGTCCGTTGGTGTTCTGTTCCCTGGATATATTTTTGTCTCGACAGCTAGAGTGACTTTCTGGGGAGGAAGGGGATGTGTTGCCAGGTCCAGGGTGGGAGGATGTGCCCCTTACTCCCACCCCTCACTCCCACCCTACTACAGGTGGCTCAGAGGCCGGGCCCTCCCCCGCCCCCTACCCCAGCCCACTTCTGCACAGATCAATCCACACATCCTGTCCCCACCTCCCTCCTCTGTGGGGCACCCTCACTGTTCCCACTGAGCTCAACAGTGTCTGCCTGGGACAGCCCCTCCTCCCAGGTTCTGTCCTGAAAGTTCTTTTCATCTTCCTCTACCTCCTGGGTCTCAAACTGTAACCTGATCTATGACATTCAAAAATTTTTTGTATTGACCAATTTTTTTTTTTTTTTTTTGAGACGGAGTTTCACTCTTGTTGTCCAGGCTGGAGTGCAGTGGCACGATCTCGGCTCACCACAACCTCTGCCTCCCGGGTTCAAGCAATTCTCCTGCCATGGCCTCCCAAGTAGCTGGGATTACAGACATGCACCACCACGCCTGGCTAATTTTTTATTTTTAGTAGAGACGGAGTTTCACCGTGTTGGTCAGGGTGATCTCAAACTCCCGACCTCAGGTGATCTGCCCACCTCGGCCTCCCAAAGTGCTGGAATTACAGGCGTGAGCCACCATACCCAGCCTTGACCAATATGTTAAAATCAAGATATTTCACAGAAAACCCGGTTTGCAGGTTCTCTCAGCAGCCCCAGGCCTGCCACATTCCGTACCCCACGCGGCTGCAGTGAGCTGGAGCCGTGGTTGGCTGCCCCGCAGTGGGGTTTCCCAGCAACCATCATGACACCTGCCTGGGAGTGAGACTCTGCAGCTTCCATTTCTGCCCTTTCTGAGGCCCCTCTGCTTTGTCCTGGCCCAGACCTCTCCCCCCAGCCCTACATCTGGCTGCCTCCAGGACACATCCCCATTCACTCGCAAACCAGACTCAGCCTCTGCCCCGGGCTGCTCCTCTTCTGTGTTCTGCCATCCTGAAGCCAGAAGGACCACCTTGGCTGCTCTGTCCTGTGCCCGACCCATCCATTCCAGGCCCCTAGCTCACTTTCCAGATGGCCCTGGGTGCACCCCACATCTCCAGCTCCCTTGGCCCAGGCCCCCTCCTCTGCATCAGCCCTGCTGTGGTTTCAGCCACCCTCCTCGTCTGAGGCCAGGTGTGACTCCTCTTATGCCCTCCACTGCCTCAGGAAGTCTGAACGTCACCTTGTACCACCTCCCGCCCCCCTGCCCCCGCCACCCTTAGCTCCAGCTCTGCCCCAGCCACAACCCCGATGAGGGGCTCCTGTACCCCTGGCCCCTGCTTGTCTTGGTCCCACACTGGGTGTGGCCACACCACCTCATGGAGCTCCCTCAGCGGCCAGCCACACAATCCTCTCTTCCCTTCATGGGCTCCTCTGCCCTCGTGCCCAGGGTCTTGTCTGTCCATCAGACAGAGCACCAGGACAGCAGAGCTGTGGTGTGCCCAGCACACGCGGATCCCAGCGCGGAGAAGTGAAGTACGTGGGGCTGCCTTGGGGACAGGCCCAGCCGGAGAGGGGCCGGGACGCTGGAGGGACTCGCTGCAGAAATCAGCGGTCCCCTCCTTCCCGGAAGGCCCTCATGGTTTCCCGTATGGGACTTCAGAGCCTTCAGGGAAATGTGGCTCTGTGAAGGAAGGGACTGGAATCCCTTTTTCCTCACCTACAATAGAGCCTTATTCTGGACACCTCTTCCGTTGACAGTCTTTGCCCGCCAGGACTCAAAGGCACAGCCTTTCGTGTGATTGCTTGTTTTTGCAAGAGAAACACAAGGCTCTGCGGCTCCCAAGGCCACGAGCCAGGAATCAATGAGGCCCAGCAAATAATCAAGTGGATCTTGGTGAGATCACACGGCAGATGAGGAGGGAGAAGCGGGGCGGGAGGGAGCAGGACCTCGTCACTCCTCCGGCCAGTGGGTTCTTGTCGTGCAGGGCCCAGTCTGAGGCCTCCCTGCGAGTGTCCAACCCTGTCCGGGACACAGCGCGGGGCAGGTGACACCAAGTGTTGGATGAGTGAGAGGCTGACGCCTTAAGACCAACAAACAGGCGGCCGGGGAGAAACCGCAAAGACACCAGCCCCTCAGAAAGCAGCGCAGAGCAGCGCACAGCAGCGCACGACAAACAGATCCGACTGGAAGCTGCCTCTTAGACCATGTGAGCCTGTGACCCCGGCCCACAACTCAACTTCTGGCCTCAGTGTGTTCAACGGTAAAAGCAGCATCACTTTATCATGTGCCTGAGCCGTTGTAAGGACCCAGAAAAGTAATGTCCATGCGTCGCCACCCCACCCCAGCACGAGCCCACTGGGCCTGAGATGATCCTCATGGAGGAGGAGCAGTTGTTGCCTGAAGACGGCGCCCCCGTGTGGTCTTTTATTTATTTTGAGACAGTCTCATTCTGTCGCCCAGGCCAGAGTGGTGCAATGGGGCGATCTTGGCTCACTGCAACCTCCGCCCCCCAGGTCCAAGGGATTCTCCTGCCTCAGCCTCCTGAATAGCTGGGGTTACAGGCATGCACACCCAGCTAATTTTTTTTTTTTTTTTTGAGACAGAGTCTCACTCTGTTGCCTAGGCTGGAGTGCAGTGGCATGATCTTGGCTCACTGTGACCTCCGCCTCCAAGGTTCAAGCGATTCTCCTGCCTCACCCTCCTGAATAGCTGGGATTACAGGCACATACCACCACGCCCGGCTAATTTTTGTATTTTTAGTAGAGACAGCGTTTCACCATGTTGGTCAGGCTGGTCTCAAACTCCTGACCTTGTGATCTGCCTGCCTCAACCTCCCAAAATGCTGGGATTACAGGTGTGAGCCACTGTGCCCAGCACACCCGGCTAATTTTTGTATTCTTAGTCGAGATGGGGTTTCATCATGTTGGCCAGGCTGGTCTCGAACTCCTGAACTCAGGTGATCCACTTGCCTCGGCCTCCCAAAGTACTGGGATTACAGGCGTGAGCCACCGTGCTCAGCCTCATGTGGCCTTTTGAGCATGGCGGCTTCATCAGTGTTTTGTTTTTGCAGCAGAACCATCAATGCTGCGTGATCTCACAGAGCCATTCGGGGGGCGGGGATGCTGTTAGGCTAAGGTTTGGGTCTGTCTGTGGGCAAGAAGTGAATGGTGAACCTGTGGGGCTGAACAGCCAGACGTTCGTACCCCCAGGTGCTGGGGAAGGAAGGCTGTGCATTAGGGCTGGGAAGGGGATGAAGAGCTGTAGAAAGCCAGGGGCACCTGCTGCTGAGGACGTCCAGATGGAGGAGATAATACCAGCCTGACCGACTGCAGCAGTGAAGGAAGGACGGAGCCTGCCGAGGCTGTTGGAGCAGATGGGCTGTGACGTTTGGGCTGCTGTGAGCTCCACAGATGTGGGGCACCCACCCTGCGGCCCTCTGCCCTCAGCCAACAACTGGGAGAGGCAGTGTGTCCTGCCCAGCCACCTCCCTGGAGTGCTTTTTGGGTCTGGGGTCTCCTCATCTTGGGAAACTCAGTCTGGAATGGATTTGCATGGCTTGGGGAGGGTACAGAGGCACAGGAGGGAAGGAATCCCAGGGGCAGGGGATGAGGAGCTGGTAAGCGGCCTCTCTGTGCAGGGCATCTCTGTGGCCATCCCTCACCTCTCCTGGGCTGAGCACTGACAAGGGCTCCATCTTGCCCCCACCTGGGGTAGGGCAGTTATGAATTGCCTGCAGGGTACAGTGGAGATGCTAATTTGTATTAAGCCAGCCTTTGGGATCCTGCCAGGGTCACCTGCTCCGTCTTGGGTAAAGGAGGTAAGCAGGAGGTCGGGGCAGAGGGGAGACCTGAAGAGGATGCTGCCACAGTGGGCTCAGGATGGAGCCAGGGGTGTGCAGGGGCCAGCCTAGGACACAGGTCAGGGAGCTCTCATCCAAGACGGGTGACAACGGGACCACGGCCTATAAAGCAGATGACTCACCATGCAGCCAGAAGGCGACGAGGCCAGGAGGGGCAGGGTCTGGGCCTCTTGCTGTGTGGGGTGGGCTCTGAGGCCACGCCATGGCACAGGGGCAACCCCCTGAGATTTCAGGGGGAGAAAGCACCAGGGTGTGACCAGGTCTAGGGTGTAACTGAGGGAGGGAGGAAAGAGCCACAGACAGGACTGGACAAGGAACTGAGAGCCGTGGCCACGCTGGTCACTGGGAGATGGCAGGGCCTGGGCCTCCGGGGAGCCTTGCTGCGGTTCGGCACTTCCCCCATGCTTTGCACAGATGGCCGCCAGCACTCCCCACGCCACAGGCCAATAGTTTCTTTCAGCACCCGCCTCTGGCCCAGATCCGTAAGTCCCTAGAAGCAGGACACATCCTGTCCCTACTCGGACCCCAGAATCCAGCCAGGAGCCAGGCTTGTGAGGGTCTGACCTCATGGGTGGGTGGGCACTGCCAGTGTCCTGTGCTCTCAGGGCCACAGTGACTGGCAGGTGGCAGCACTGACCCCCTCCTCCCCCAGGTGCAGGTGGGAAGCACACCTCAGGACCAAAGAATCGTCGGGTACATCGCCTGCACACACCTGCATGCCCCGCAAGGTAGGGTTGCCGCCCACCTGTGTTTTTTCTAGGCATGGGATCAGTGCCTGGGGCCTAGCTGGGGTCTGGGGCGAACTTCATCATCCAGTCTCTGTACTTCTGCCCTGCAGAGGACAGCGCCATCCGGTGTGGGCAGCTGGACCTGCTTCAGGACTGGCTGGCTGATTTCCGAAAATCTACCTCCTCGTCCAGCGCAGCCAACCCCGAGGAGCTGGTGGCATTTGACGTCGTCTGTGGAGATTTCAACTTTGATAACTGCTCCTCTGGTGAGGCCGGGCTCCTCCCCACTCAGGTCTCCAGCTCTGGGGAGGCTGTGGGCTCAGTCACAGCTAGACAGACTTCGTTAGGCAGCTCAAAGAATTCCTGCTCCTCGAGAGCATGTGGGCGGGGTATTTAGCAAGACTGATTTCTCTGCCCCCTAGAAATCCTAGAACAGGAAGAGCCCACGCTCTGCCTAGAAAGCTGGAGACAGAGATGCCCTAAAAACGAACCTCTGACAAGGAAGGCTGGGGGCCTCTGAAGCAGACAAAGGACGAGTCCACTAGTAACACCCATCAACGGGGCGCCGCGCTCTTGCTTCGAGCCAGCTGCCATTCTATCGCTGTTTCACTTAAGTGTCTTAACAACCCTGAGAGGGAAGCATTGCATGTCTCCACGTGGTGTGGTGGAGGAAGCTGAGACTCAGAGAGGCTGGAGAACCAGCCCAAGGTCACATAGCCAGGCAGTGATTGCACTGGGATCTGAACCCTGGGAATTGCACCTTAAACCATTAGGGTGAAAGACTACAAGCTCGTCATCAGTGAAACAGCAAACACTTGCTGTAAATAACTGATCTGTGGATCCGATGACCACATGGACCTTGTGGGGACCTTCCTTCCTCTGTCCGAGGACCGTGGTCACTGTCACTGTCCTCAGAGGGAATGCTGAAGATCAGGGCGTGTGCTGGGGGAGGTGTTCTCAAGGACACAGAAAAGCAGCGACAAATGAAGCACGGGGCACCTGAATGGGACTGAGATCCCACCCAGGGGCAGTGGCCTAAGGGATGGGGGCCTGGCAGCACATGGGGAGTAACTGATGGGAAGCAGGGGCACAGGCCGTGTGGGACAGCAAAGCCCCCTGGTGCCTCAGCGTTTCCTCCCTCCCCGCACAGACGACAAGCTGGAGCAGCAACACTCCCTGTTCACCCACTACAGGGACCCCTGCCGCCTGGGGCCTGGTGAGGAGAAGCCGTGGGCCATCGGTGAGCTGGGGCTGGGGGAGGAGGATGGGAGCTGGGCTCCCCACAGACTTCCCTCAAAGATCACCAGGACCTACCCCACAAGACCCCACTGCTGGGGAAGGGCCCCATTCAGCTGCCCCTGGCTAGCAGAAGCCCGTGTCCACCCACAGAGGCCACCCCCTAGAGGCTGCCTGGGCCCTGCCTGCAGCGACCACTGTCACCCCCTCGTCCCCCCCAGGTACTCTGCTGGACACGAACGGCCTGTACGATGAGGATGTGTGCACCCCCGACAACCTGCAGAAGTAAGCACTGCGCTCCCAGGCCAGGGACGAGGCACACCCTGACTAAGGTGGAGACAGGGACTGGGCAGGACCCACATGGGAGAGCTCAGCTCGGGCTCATGAGGGCTTTTATTTGGCAGAAACCTGTCCCTCATCTCACCTTTGAGAGCTTTTGAGAGCTGGGAGCTGGGCCAGGCAGGTAGACCTCACGCCCTCACGCCCAGGGGTACTGGCCTTGCTAAATCTCTAGGGGTATTTCCCAAACCTGTTTTCAGGAGCTAGCCCTGCCCCGAGCCCCTGCCTGCTGGGTACAGGAAAGGGCCTGGAATTTCCCCCGGGCCAGGCCACAGGTCGACCCCCATGAAAGAGCTGCTGGGTACGGCGCCTGCTGAAGGCAGCCTGGCAGCTTGCAGCACCAATCAGGCAAATACAGACACCAGCTGCAATAACACAGCCGACCATTTTCAAAGTAGAGACAGTTCCATCCCAGCCAAAATTCATTCTTGAGCCCAGTAAGATGTCCATAAAGAACACATCTGAGAGGCCAACAGCAGAACCAATTTATAATTCACAGCCCGAGACTGCAGTCACAGCGATGGTTCCTTGCAGCTAATTTGAGCCAATTAATTAGATTATAGACTAAATTTGAAACATCATCCTATGCTGAGAAAATTCTTTTTATGAGATGATGATTTAAAAATGACTACCAGTAGCTCTCAGATCATTGATGCTGGAATTAATTATCAAGGGCAAAGGACAGTGATGGATTCCATTTCTGAGCTGTAACAATGTCCTGAATGTCATTAGTGTATTTATCTTAAGGCTGATGAAAACCTTGTGGAAGCCCATGTTTGCAGGCCCTGCCTCGCCGGGTGCCCCTTTTGCATCCGTCCAGGCACTCACAGACCTGGCGGCCTTTGCAGGGTCTCTCACCACTGCACTTGCCATCCCAGGCCCTGGCCCCAGCCTGCCCTCTGCAATGGGGGCTCCCAGGAGGGGGTCCTAAGCCTCTGGCCCAGTGGTGCTGAGGCCCCAGGGGACAGGCTGGCAGGAAGCAGACGGGCATACTGCTTGTCTCAGGGCAACAGTGCCAGAAAGGGATTCCAGATGTCACATCCCCCTGCTCCAGCGCCCTGCCCTCCCTGTGGATCCCCTAGCACCATCATGGGTTTCCTCACTCAGAAGCGGGATGACAGCCTGTTCCCTGAAGCGTCTTGGGGCCCACAGCAACCATTCTTGTTTCAGAGGAGGAAACAGAGGCTTGGAGGCTTGGTAACATAAGCAGAGTCACACAGCCACGTAGGGACAGCCCCATTTGAGACTCCTCAGAGGTGCTCTCCTGGCTCCCTCAGCTCCTGTCAACCTGGGAACAGTCACAAGGGTCCCCGAGACTCATGGCAAAGACCAAGCTCCTCAAAACAGGCCCCTGTTGGCTCAGGGCAGAAGCCCATTCTGGGGAACGGGTGGGATCAGTTCTGTCCGAGTTCAGAAAGGGAAAGTGAGTGCTGGCCAGGCTGGGGCGGACAGAACACTTCGACGGGCTCCGGAGCCCAGATTCAGCCAGGAACCCACAGGCAACTCGGCCTACCCCCAGCTGAGGCCCTTTTTGGACCCGCAGGGGAGAGATCTTAAACCCAGCGCTTTGGTCCCACCCACCCGCTCCCACACTGGGAGGAGACCATGGCTCCACACACAGCCCCTGCCAGGCCCACAGGGGCGGGCATGGGGGCCCACCTGCCTCCTGCATGTGTGGACAGGGTCCTGGAGAGTGAGGAGGGCCGCAGGGAGTACCTGGCGTTTCCCACCAGCAAGAGCTCGGGCCAGAAGGGGCGGAAGGAGCTGCTGAAGGGCAACGGCCGGCGCATCGACTACATGCTGCATGCAGAGGAGGGGCTGTGCCCAGACTGGAAGGCCGTGAGTCAGGAGGGCCCAGCAGCCAGGGCCATGCAAAGAGAGAGCAGGGCCCGGGCCCTGCAGCTCTCGACAGCCGCTCCCTGAAACCCCACGCCCCAGGCCACTCTTACAATGATACCCATCACTCCCTCAGACCCTTAGGGCCCCAGGTCCTCCAGGCCCCATCCCTCTGACTGCAGGAAGGTCCCAGCCCACCCCAGCCCCGGGGCCTCACTTTGGGGATCCCCAGGCCGCTCCCTGCAAGATGCCCTTGGAATCTGACCAGGCTGTTTCTCCCCTCTCCCACTCACCCCAGGAGGTGGAAGAATTCAGTTTTATCACCCAGCTGTCCGGCCTGACGGACCACCTGCCAGTAGCCATGCGACTGATGGTGTCTTCGGGGGAGGAGGAGGCATAGACCGTCCGGAGCAGCGGGGCCTCTGCCAGCCCTTGCAGCTGCAGCCCATCCCTGGGCCATGTCCCCTCCATCGAGTGCCCGGTGCTTGGGGGAGGAGGGCAGGGACAGGGAGGGAGCCACAGTCAGTGCCCGGGAACCTGGAAGCTGCGCTGCTCTGCGCCTCTGGGCCTCACTGTGGACAGAGGAGTCAGGCCCGCCCCAGGAGCCTCCAGCTGCCTAACCAGTGCCATTCTTTCACAACACGATTTTCTACAAATCTACAGCACAACCGAGTTTGTAACCCGTGGGTTAGTATGAGGACCGGGTTCGTGTACTCTCTGTATCTCCTCTTAAGCTTCGTCCAGGGTTCTTTATTTTTGTCTGCTGCCAATGTCGTCTCGCATGCCTGCACCCTCGCATGCACGCTGCCCGCATGCCACGTGCCACGCTGTAGCCACAGACCCCTTGCTCGGGCCTCACCCAAGGCCAAACTCCAAACACAATCAGAACCAGCCAAAGAAGCACTTCCTGGGCACGGCCACCAGCTCTCCCGCCTCCAGTGTGGGCCGGCTCCTGCAGGGTCCGAGGGCTGCATCTCTACCAGCCAGCCCAGGGCTCTTCCCAGGGTCTCGCATTCAAGGGCAATTACATTTTAAAAAGAAAAACAGAAAAAGGTTAATCACAAAACCAACCCTCACTTCACAGGGTCTGTAAGTCACTCATAGAACTTTGCTCTTCCCGAGACAGGGTCCCTTCCCCAGCTCAGGCACAACAGAGTCTGGCAGGCTCTGGCACCCTGGGCCTCCTCCGGGAGCCTCCCATCTGGGCAGTGGAGCCATAAACGGGGATCCGAGAAGAGAGTATCCACTTTTTTTTTTACAGGAAGAAGGGACTCACAGCATAAACGGGGGTGGGGGGGATCCTGATTTTGAAAATAATCTATTTGTAGCTTCTCTTCTATCAAAACCAACACATCCTCTTCTTTCTGCCAATCCTCTCCCCCACGGGACACCTCTCTGGTTCGGGACCAATCCCTCCCTGGGGACGTGCCCCACCTGCGTGCCGGCTGAGCTCAGGAACCCCTGCCTGCCCCCCGGGTGGGGCTGCGGCTCTGGCCTCCCAGGCCCATCCTCAACAGCTACCCCAGCCAACACCAAGGCCACAAGGGGACCCCGGCCTAGGAGGCAGGAAGCCAAGGTGCAGAGAGCAGCCTGGCCCTCACCAGTGCGCAAGCTGGGGCAGCAAGGCTGACAGTTGCTGCATGCCCAGGGCAGGGTGTGGTACTGGCACCCAAGTTCAGCATGGCAGAGCTGGCCAACAGCTTGTGGTCCCCGATCTGCCTCCAGCCCCAAGATGCCTACAGCCCCCAGGCCCCTTCGGCAGCACTGCCTCTGCCCACCTGCCTTTAAGAGACTCCAGGGCTGCTCCTGTCATGCAGCGAAGGTTTTGTCTGTTTCAAAGTTCGAGACTCAACTTGAGGGACTGTTTTTGACAATCCCCGCTGACCTCCGCTCCTCGTGGCGCCCTGGCCCTACACCCAGCCTGGCCCAGGGCCGGCTTTGCCTGGTGAGGCTGGAGGGAGCACCAGGACCTGCTGTCTGCTGTCAGCCCCTCCTGGTGCTGGTGCCCTGATGCTGTGCCTTGTCACCCATTGAGCTGCAAGAGGGACCAAGAGGGGGCCACGCAGCCAGCCAGATGCCTGGCCCTGTGCTGGGGCAGACAACGCTGCAGAGCCCAGGGAGCCTGGCGCTAGGACGTGCGTCCTTGTGACACTGGCCTGTCTGAACTCACCTGGCCTGGGAAGCACCGTCTGCCCGGGCCCAAGCCCTGCCCCTCCAGAGTCCAGAGCCAGGAAGGGGCTGCTGAGGGCGAGCATCCTGCTGGGCTCTCTGCCCGGCCCACCCCTCCAAGGGGCTGGCCTGTGAGCCTTGACTGGGATTCATGATGTGGAGGCCCCCAACTTCCAGAAGCAGCTGGTACTCTGCTCACACAAGCGACTGGGCCGGCCGGCCCTGGACCCCTAGACCCCGAGCCGCCTGCCGACTGCCTGCACAGGGAGAGCAGTTGAGGCCCGGGCAGGGCCCCCACACCAGACCCCAACATAGCTTCCCCACCCAGGCACCCCCTCCCGGGGCAGCAGGCGTGGGAGTCAGGGCTGCATGCTCCTCCCCTCCCACCTCACAGGCGGCCTTAGGCAAGTCATTTTCTGTCATCACAAGGTCGCCTCTGCCTAGTCAGGTCCTGGGGTCCAGAGTAAGGATGTGCGGCCCCCAGGCCCCCGCACACCTCCCTCAGCACCAAGACCGGGACCCCCCCACCCACGTGTCTCATTGTGGCTGCCTATGGACTCCCGGGCCTTGTGTGCAGGCCAGGCCCTTCCACTGATTTTTTAAAGTGAACCATTGCTGGATCTCAGATTCTGTGGCATCTAAGGCCTAGCAGGGGTGGGCACACGGGTCACCCGAGGCCCATACCAAGACTCTGTTCCTGCCCTAGGCCCAGTCTCAAAGGAAGCCACAAGGCGCGGGGGCCACTGAGGAAGGAAATGTTCATTTTCATTTGTCCAAAACCACCTTAAGTTTTAAGTATATTAATCTTGATGCTTTTTAACTATTGCTTTTTAACTTGCTGAGATTTAGAAATACTGTTATAAAAACTTTTTTAATTTCTGTATTTTTTTCTGTATTGTATCTTCATGGGACATTAGGGGTTTTCTATGGTAAGCACACCTATGGTTTTGGTAAAAACATTATCAAATATATATCCAGACGGTTCTTCCCTAGAAGAAAAACAAGTCTTTACACCTGATAAAATATTTTGCGAAGAGAGGTGTTCTTTTTCCTTACTGGTGCTGAAAGGAAGGATGGATAACGAGGAGAAAATAAAACTGTGAGGCTCAAGGCTGGTGTTCTCCACTTATTTCAGCGACAAGCTGGGGCCAGGCCTCAGGGGCACGCCTGGGGGCAGGGGAGGGAGTTCCTGCCCCCAACTGCAGGACAGGCACTGCCCAAGTCTGCCCTGAATCCGAGGACACCGGAACTCTGCTCATACAGGCGGCTCGGCTGGCCTGGCACAAGCCTCACCTTCTAAGCTGCGAGCCAGAGGCCACTGGGTTCTCTCACGTGGTGTCTGCTGTTACCTCTGAGAGCTGGGACATAACCAAAGGGGGGTTAGTGTGTGAGAGAAGCAAGGCCACGGCACCTACTGACCTTCCTGGTGAAGCGGCGCTGGGCAGGGGCTGCTCCCTGCCATACCCCACCTGCAGGAGGGGCTTTCCAATCTGAGGGAGGTGCAGGGAACAGGGCTGCCTCCCAGCTCCCCTGACAGCCACTTTCCTGGGCCTGCATCTCAGGAACTGCTCTGGGACAGCTGCCTTGTGTCCAGTCTCAGGTCCTGGCAGGCCACCAGCTGGTGCAGCACTGAGGCCAGACACCTATGGATGTGGCTTGAAGTTACCTGTCAGGTGAAAGGGCCAGAACCCAGGCCTCTCAGCCCGGGCCCAGCCAGGGTCTTCAAGCCCCAGAGACCCAGCCACAACTCAGCATCTCCACCCTCCTAGCAGAAGCCAGAAGAGCAGGGACCCGGAGATCCTCGAGAGTGAGACAGACAGGACAGGCTCCCGCCACGGGGACTGCTCGCCAAGGGCGGCGTGGACAACCCCACCGGCCAGCCCCACAAGCTCCCTGTGCTTCCACTCCCTTCCCAGCTGGGGAGAGATGTCTCTGTGTTGGAGCATTCTCAGCACCTCAGAAGCACAAGCAGGGGGGTCTTCCCAGCCCCTCCAGGGCTCCAAATTCAGTCACCCTCTCATGCTTCCTGCCACAGCTGGAGCCAGAGGCCAGCAGTGCAAAGATGCAACAAGATGCAACACGGCGCAGTCTTTCCCATCCCTGAGGCCGAGCAGCTCCCAGAGAGGAGAGGAGGGCCTTCAGCCTTCCCCGCTAGAAAGCCATGAGCCACTCAGAACCCCAGCCCTCAGGCCACTTTATTGCTCAAGAGTGGTCAGTCTGGGGTATCTGCATGCCTGAACTCCATGATGATGTCGCCTGTGTCGGGGTGAAACTCCACTGCATAGCTGACAGTCCGTGGGCCACCCAGCAGTGCTCTGGGATCTGGGGCAGGGCTGAAGAAGTAGACGGCCTGCTTGCAGTGGGGGTTCCAGCAGCAGCCCCCCTGTAGGAAGAAGAGCAGGAAGATGGTGAGGGCTCCCTGGCACCTGAGCCTCCTTCCTAGCCAGCCTCCAGCCCAGGCAGCTCGCAGCAGAGAGAAGCTGCTCAGGGGCCAGATGGCCCAGGACCACTGAGGGGTCATCATCTGGCCCGAAGAACTTGTGACAGAAACACCCAGAGCATGGGGGCAGGGAGGCCTCCCCAGGCGGCGCCTGCTCTCAGGGTCTGCACGCACACTGGGCCCGGTGCGCAGGCACTACCTCGGGGTCTGCAGGCTCCAGGAGGCCAGTGCTGAGCGTGCACTCCGGGGTCAGGTGGTACTCCATCCATAGCACCGCTGCGTGGCTCTGCCCGGGCCTGTCAAGGAGAGGGGGGCCCAGCAGAAGTAGTCACACAAGAGGCAGCGGGGGAACAGCTGCAGCTCCTGCGGCTTTCCAGAAACCTGTGGTCTTCCCCACTTCCTTCCTGCCCTGCCGGGAGTTCCTAGTGCTGCAGTTACATAAACGTTCCTCAGAAAAACCCCAGCCAGAAGAGCCGCAGCCAAGCCCCCACCTGAGCCAACCCGAGCCCTGCAGCCGGGCCACACATGGGGCAGGGCCGGTGTGGCTGCAGGGTCTGGGGGAGCTTGAGGCACAGCCTGGCACTGAAGGCCGGAAGGCCCCTCTGATGCCCCAGACAGCAACCCTGGGAGCTCAGGTGATGGCGCCCGCCCTGCCTGGCTGCCTGCCCCGAGTTGGGAGGTGCTTCCAGGAGAAGTCACTCCTCGGGCGAGGGTGGGGTGAGGGCCGGAGCAGGACAGGGCTGCCCGTCCCTGGACGCAAGCAGCACTTGCTGACCCTGACCTGCTTCAGCTCCCAGGAGGGTTCAGGAAAATGGTGCATCGGTGACCACAGGAAGTAAGCTCCCATCTTCCTGAGCTGTGATCCAACAAGGGAGCCTCAGCTGTAGAGGGGGAGCAGAGCCCTTCCTGGCTCCTCCACCAGTGGCACACACAGGACCGTGGGAACCACCACACGCGCAGGGCCACTCTGACAGGGAAGGGCAAGGTTGTGGGGAGGACGAATACCCCCTCCACGTGTCAGCGTCTCCCAGGCCAGCTGTGCTCACCACGGGGGTGAGAACTCCAAGGGCAAGCAGCAGCCCCTCCCTGCCCCCCAGCCCTCTCTGCACCCACCTTCTGAGCTCCACGGTGCCCTCGGCACACAGGGGCTGCAGGGGCACCGGCTGCTGGAAGTCAAAGGTCAGGATCTGCCAGGGCTCGGAGAGGCTGCGGCATGGGTACTCCCACAGCGGGTGGGGCTCAGCTTCCCTGCTCTCCCTGAAGTCCAGGGCACGCTGCGAACAGAAGGGGGCCTGGGGGCTGCAGAGACAGGCCGGCAGCTAGACAGAGGTACCGCTCCCCGGCTTGGCTCCCACTGACTGCAGTCACAAGGGGTGTGCGTTCTCCCATAAAGATGCCGAGCGCCCAGCAGACCAGCGGCGCCCCCTCTCTGCCACTTCTCTCTCATCAGTGGCTCCCCAGGCACCGCTGGCTCTGAGCCTCGCTCTCCGGATTTTTAAGATGGGGTGGTGCTGCCTGTCTCAAGCCTTCTGAGGACCACATATCTACATCACTGGTGAGAACACCCAGCACCTAGAAACTTGGTGACCACCACAGCTGTGTGGCCCCGACAGGTGGGCCCCGGGCCACAGGGAGGGATAAATGCGTGACAGTACAGCCCCGGTGCCTGGCGGCAGGCTGGGGGCACCTGCATCCAGGAGGGATGCAGAAAGCTACCTGGAGGAGGGGAGGTGACGGTCAAATGGGAGCCGGCAGGAGAAGGGCCAGAGGGGGCCTTGAGGATAGAGCTAAGTCAGGAGAGCAGGCCAGGGCACCCAGGCCAGCCGGGCCACTCTGCAGGTGTGGTGTGGGGAGCCAGCTAGGGCATTCCTGCAGTGGGGATGTGGCCAGACTCAGATCTACAAGTTCATGTGGGCTCCGTGTGGAGGACGGCCAGAGCAGGAGGGGCTCAAACCAGGACGGCAGCAGTCAGGGGACAGCCTGGGTCGGAGGCTCACCAGGAGCACGAAGACCAATGGCAGGGGATGGGAGGACTTGCCAGGGAGGATGCCCGGGGCCCTGGGCCTGGCTGGTCGTGTGAAGTGGCGCCAGGTCTAAGACAGGGCACTGGAAGGGCCAGGCTAAGGGTGGGGAAGGGCAGGTGGATTTGGAAAGCATAGAAGTAAAAATGCCTGGCACCCCACTGTGGGATACCCACCACTCTCGGCCATCTGCCTTAGCACACGAGAGACAGACACTGGCCCAGGACCAGAGTAGCAGAACCGTATCAGCAAGAGGGGACAGGGACAGCCAGGGTGGGCAGGCCATGAGCAGGGGCCCAGAGGAGGCGTAGAGCGCATGGGTCCAGAGCACGCAGGGCTCAGCACGAAGGAGATTTCTAAAAGCATCGAACAGTCAATGGTCTGCTGTGAGGGGCAGATAAGATACAAACTGAAAATATCCACAAGGTTTAATTTACTTAAAAAAGTGTTCACACACAGGCAATCCATGTTCACTATGGGAAAATGAGAGCAGAAAGGTGAGCAGAAGCAGAAAAGCCCCACCTCCCGATGCATAGCTGCTGCTGCGGGGCCACCGCTGCTTCCCGCTCCTCTGGTGTCCATGAGATTTCTTTTTTTGAGACAAGGTCTTGCTCTGTCACCCAGCCTGGAGGCAGTGGCACAAACGCAGCTCACTGCAGCCTCGACCTCCCAGGCTAAAGCCATCCTCCCACCTCAGCCTCCTGAGTAGCTGGG
Source organism: Homo sapiens (assembly GCF_000001405.40). Taxonomy (NCBI): domain Eukaryota; kingdom Metazoa; phylum Chordata; class Mammalia; order Primates; family Hominidae; genus Homo; species Homo sapiens. Next base: position 68,354,261 of record NC_000016.10, on the reverse strand, counting down.
AATACAGGTGTGCACTACCATGCCTGGCTAATTTTTTGTTATTTTTTGTCGAGACAGGGTCTTGCTATATTGCCCAAGCTGGTCTCAAACGTCTGGGCTCAAGCAATCCACCAGCCTCAGGTTCCCAGAGTGCTGGGATGACAAGCAGGAGCCACGTGCATTTCCTTAATACACAGCACGGCCCATGCTCCTCACCCTGCCCCTCTCATGTGGATGGAACACGACTCTCAGCTTCAGTCCTCATGAATCCAAGGACCACTGGCGCTGTCAGGACAGCCCATGGTTCTGGAGAACGTAGGCCCAGTTGCTAACCCCTACCATGTAAATAACCTGTGGGAATCTCCTCAGGTACCCCTCCCGGGAATGGAGCCCCCACCATGGAAATGGCTGCCTAAGAAGGTTCCCAGATGGCCTCTGGAAAGTCAGCCCCACTAGAAAAGAAGCTGTGGGCACTGGCAGGGGCAGTTGCAATGACAGGACGTGCAGGCCCAGTGGAGATTCTGACACAGGGTGACAGCACGGAGCCAAGAACAGGGCTGGTACCAAGCAATGCTCATGTTGAACCACACAAAATGGCAGCACCTGACCTCACTGCCCCCAACAGAAGAGCCTGTGCTGCCCAAGCTGGGACCCTGTGAGAGGCCTGCGATACAGGAGCAGGTCGGGGGTACTATGCAGAGTGTGGCCCTGCCTACCTTAATCATGTCGTCCATGATGTGCACGTCGAAGCCTTCGCAGTCACCACAGGGGCTCCGGATCCGCCACAGGTCCTGTGAGGAAGGAGCAGCCCCGTCCACACCCGCCCGCCAGGACACAGGGAAGCGTGGCAGCAAGAACAAGAGGCACATCTTGCTGTTCCCTGCACACCTGAAAGAGACCCCCAAGTATGAAGGGGCTCAGAGAGAACAAAGATCCACAACGGTTTCTGTAACAGACTGGGCTGGGCGGGAACCTGCAAGCTCTGACGTGACACCTGAGTCCTCTCCTATAAGGGACAGTCGGCCAGAGCTCCTAGGCTGGGGGCTGCACACTCCTATCCGGGCCATCCTGAACATCATTTCTTTGGGAAGAAATCTGTAAGCCAATTCTCTCCCCAGCATCATCTCCAGTTCATGAGGATGCTGGGGAGAGAAAAAGGCCCTGCCAAGAGGAACCCAGAGGACACTCAGGCCACACAGCCTTCCCTCCCTTCCTCCTGGTCACACGCACGCATGGATCGTGACATCCCCTCTTTGGCCATGAAAACCAGAATTCATGTGGAAATCTGATTAGGTAAACAAGTAACACAGGAGAAATGCCCAGACTTTCAGTGATGGAGCCACTAAGCTAGGAGAGAAAACCACTCTCATCAAATGAGATACACTCTCCATCCAGGGTAAAGCTTTTCAAATCCTTTTAATAAAAATGCCCTTCCCAAAATGACTTTGTGACTATGGTTCTGCTTTGATGAGAAAATTAAAAGGAAGCTTTTCCATTTTTTCTTGCACAAAGCAGCTGACTCTCCCATCTCAAAATGCCTTTAACAATCGAAGCCTCGGCTATTAATGAGAGCAGAGCAGGCCACACGGCATGGCTTCTGAAACGCTTAATTTATATTTTTAAATTATTCTGATAAGCCACAATTGTAAAATGACAACACTCAGCCATTTCCATTTCGTATGTCAAATTATCGCATTTTTTAAAAGGCAAGCATCTTCTATTCAACCCCACAGTGTGCTGACACAGAAAGAAAACACAAGCTCAAATCATCAAGGCCTGAGCCGCTCTACAGGCACCCAAGGTTCCTGCAAGAAAACAAGGTTCCCCACCCGCCTCCTCTGCTTTTTTCTCCAACATCCCCTGGGTGGCCTACCCTGAACTCCACAACCACAGCGTGCAGCGAGGCTGCCTGGGGCATCACCATGGCACCTGGCCCCAGGTGCTGGTCCACAGCGGTCCGCACGTACCAGAAGTAGAGGTTGTGCCACGGCAGCAGGCTGGTAGTGAAGAACGGCTCGCCCAGGAGGAGAGAGACCTGGTGAATGGGCGAGAAGCAGGGCCCAGGTGTCAGTAGGGCTCGGTCCAGGAGTGTTAACAGGAACACGGAAGCAACAGGCCACTCAGTCACTCAAGTCACTCCCTCACTCCCTCCCTCTCCCTCCCTCACTCAGTCACTCACTCATTCCCTCCCTCCCTCATCAGTCCCTCCCTCCCTCAGTCAACAAACAAGCAAGGCAGCAAGGTGCTCTGTACCTGCCCTGGAGGCTGTAAAGATTACAACCAGACATGAGTCCCGTGCTCAGGAGAGCAGAGCAGAAGAGGGAAGCAGACAAAGTGGGGCTGACCCCATGTGATAGAAAAAAGCAAGGAAGGGGGTCATGGAGGGAGCCCAGAAATAAACGTGCCAGACGGGGCTTCCAGAGTGGCATCCTGTCAACCCCCACTGGACGCTTTATCTCAGGACTTACCGGGGCTTGTCTCCGTCTCCCTCCCCAGGCTCTGAGCACCACAAGAGCAGGGACTGGTGGCCCAGCATCCCCCAGCAGTGGGCCAGTGCCGTGACCAGATGTTCTGTGAACATTTGTGAGTAAATGAACACGTGCACAGCGAGGAGCCTGAACGGCCGAGGGAGGGGCAGCAGGGGCAAGAGTGAGGCCGGGAGACAGCAAGGCCCCCCAAGGTGAGGGTGTGGAGCTGGACAGAAGCCAGCCCAGCCCAAGGCAGCCAGGACAGGGTGAGGGGCTGGACTCATCCCGGAGGCGGCAGTGGGGGTGGTGGATGTCACTAGAAGTTTTCATCAGGGTTCAAAATCAGAAGGAATGTGATTTAGAAGATGCTGCTGAGGACCACGAAGTGTGGAAGGGAACCTGCAGGTGCTGGGGACGGAGGCGACCTGGGAGAGTGCAGAAAGAGTCCGGGTAAGAAACGGAGACTACAGGGTGGGAGGGGTGGGAGGAGTGGAAGGAGTGGCAGAGGGTAAGGAGGTAGCCGACCCTGGGCAGGCCCAAGCAGTCAGGCACCAAAGTGGGGCCAGTCAGAGATGATGGAGATGCAGCAGGAAATGCTGGCAGACAGAAGGGGCTGCCCTGAGTGCTTCCTCGCCTCCCCACACAGCATCAGGAACATGGCAAGAACGCCCGCTCCCACCACTCCAATTCAATGTGACCCCGGTCTACCGGTACACCACACAGTGGCTTTCAGAATCATCTCCTATGCCCTCATCTATGAGGGAGAAAAAAGGCGACTTGTGGATGAATATTTATAGCAGCATTACTCACAACAGCCCAAAAGTAGGAGCCACCCAAATGTCCATCAGCTGAGAAACAGATAAATAACATGGTCTATCCACACAATGGAATCTTATTCAGCAAGAAAGAGAAATGAGGTATTGATTCAGGCTACGACATGGATGAGCCCGAAAACATGAAGCCACATGAGAGGCCAGCCACGAAAGACCACACACTTGTCTGATTCCATTCACACAAGATGCCCAGAATGGGCAAGCTAAAGACAGAAAGGAGAAGAGTGGGTGCCCAGGGCTGGGGGACTGCGGACAAATGGTGCATGACTGCCAATGGGTAATGAAAGGGTTCTTAAACTGATGTGGTGATGGTTACACAACCTTATGAATATACAAAAATCACTGAGTGAATCGTAAGGTATGTGAATTATATCTCAATAAAACTGTTATTTTTTTAAATGGGCAAAAGGCTTGAATAGACATTTCACCAAGCAAGACAAGCACACGAAATGATGTTCACCATCATCAGTCATTGGGCAAATACAAATTAAAACTATGTGGAGACATCACCACACTCCCATTAATATGGTTATGCTAAAAAAAAAAAGCCAATGCCAGGTGCTGGTGAGGATCCGAGAACCTGGACCCTCAGATGTTACCGATGGGGATGTCAAAAGGACAGCCACTTCAACCAACAGTTCAGCAGCTTCTTAAAAAGTCGATCGTAACTACCACATGACCCAGCAATCCACACCAAGGCATCTGCATAAGAGACTGAGGACATACATCCTCTCTAAGACCAGTGAATCCATGTTCACAGAAGCCTTATTCAAAGTGGCCAAAAACTGGACACAATCCAAACGTCCATAAGCACATGAATGGATAGCCACACCGTGGAATGCTACACAGCCTTCAAAAGAACGAAATGGGTGAATCTCAAAGACATTATGCTCAGCGAAAGGAGCCAGACTCACAAGACCACACACTGCGTACCTCACTTTTGAGATATGCCAGAAGAGGCACATACTGGAGACACAAACCAGACCAGTGGCTGCCAGGCCTGGGGCATGGGGATGCAGACTATCAACAGGCTCCCAGGAATTTGGGAGGTAACAGAAATGTTCTCTTTTCATTCCCATTTTTTTTAGAGACAAGGTATCACTCTGTCAGCCATGCTGTAGTGCTCTGCCACAAGCACGGCTCCCTGCAGCCTCCAACTCCTGGGCTCAGGCGATCCTCCCACCTCACCCACCTCAGCCTCCTGGGACTACAGGCACGTGCCACCACACTCGGTTAATTTTTTTTGTTTTTATAGAGACAGGGTCTCCCTATGTTACTCAGATTGGTCTTGAACTCCTGGGTCCAAGCGATCCTCCCACCTTGGCCTTCCGAAGTTCTGGGATTACAGACATGTGCCACCATGTCGGGCCTGGAAATGTTCTAAATGAGACTGGGTGACGGCTAACTCCATATATTTACTTAAAAAAATCACTCAACTGTACAATTGAAATGCATTAATTTTGTGGTATGTCAACTACATCTCAATAAAGCTGTTATTTAAAAAAAGACTGGCAGGAAAGATGAAAGATGATAGCTCCGCGTTGGGTGAGTCCAGTTTGTGGCATATTCAAGGAAAGGTGACAGGATGGCAGCTGGACATGAGATTTGAATCCAAAATAGTAAAGAGTGAAGGCCGGCTCTGATGGTCACTGATTCACACATGAGAAGGAACGTGATTACCAGAGAGGATGCAGTAGGGGAAGCGGGGGACACGGGGAGAGTGCCACGGAGCAGTGCAAGGTAAGGAGCAGCCAGGAAGGTGAGGGGAAAGCGACCTCCCCAGCACAGGCAGAAGTCCCGGGTCACAAGGACAAGCGGGTAGAGCAGATGAAGCCTGCAGGGAGACCGTGGGAGTAACGACGAGGTTGCTGGCAGAAGCAGTTTCAGGGCCCGGAAGCCTGACTGCAGCAGGAAGCCGTGGACGGGGAATGAAGACAGGAGTGCGGTGGAGAGGAAAGGACATGCTCTGCTCCTAGGAACCCCAAGAGAGCTGCTCTGTCCTGACCTGAAGGAGCAGAGATGAGGCTGAGCTAAGAGCAGTACAGCCAGGTGTGGTGGCTCATGCCTGTAACCCCGACACTTTGGGAGGCTGAGACTGGCAGATCGCATGAGCCCAGGAGTTCAAGACCAGCCTGGGCCACATGATGAAACGCTGACTCTACAAAAAATACAAAAATTAGCCAGGCATAATGGCACATGCCTACAGTCCCAGCTACTCGGGAGAGGTGGGAGGATCGCTTGAGGCTGGAAGGTCGAGGCTGCAGTAAGCCAAGATCGTGCCACTGCACTCCAGCCTGGACGACAGCGCGAGACCCCATTTTCAAAAAAAAAAAAAAAAAAAAAAAAAAAAGAGCAGTGCAACCATCTGCTCACCGGGCAGCTCCATGAAAGCTTCACCACACCCTTGATGGTGGGAGCTCGTAGGAGGTAAGGTTGCATGTGGAGGACCCACTGTGAGACTCCAGGGACAGGGTGGGGCCTGGGCTACTTCAGTGCCGTGCTGACCACCCTAACACAGCCCAGCGTGGCCAAAAGGCTCCCGCTACTCACCTTTCTGCCCTGTAGGTCCTCATTTGTTAATAATTCCGGCCGTTTCTCTATGATGTTAATTTTATCTTCCAAGTGGTTAGCCTTGAAGATCTTAGAAAGAAAACCGTAAAATTACTGTATTCATACTAAAGTATTGTGTTTGTCAGGAAAAAAAAATCTCTCAAAGTTGCATTCTCCGCTTTGAATTTTCCGGCAAATGGTTCTGGAACACCACTTTTATCTGCTTTGTGGAAAAATCCTCTCCTTGGGGGGCATCCTATAGACCACGGATGAGATCAGGAGCACAATGTGATAAAAGCAAAAGAAATTTCTCCCGCATGTGCACACCAGGACTCAGTGCGAGCCTGCAGTTCTGGTGAAGGGAGTTCCCCTTTGGAGAGGAAATCAAACCAGTTACTGGCCAGGGAGAGAAATGCCATCTCCCATCAGGCTGTGAGCACTGGCTCCCTCAGCACTGATGTCCCAGAAACACATCCTACATTTAATTCTACCGCAACAGTAGCTTATGTGAAGTGAGGAAAAAAGCCTAAACTTCTTCAGACACAAAAAAACAAAGCAGAGTGCAAATGCCTGCCTCTATTTCAGTGACAGCTCCCAAGGCCTCTGGCTGCTCTCCAGGCAGCAACCAAGACAACACAGGGGTGCAAGCGAGCCACCACTCCTTTGTTCCCCTGGGGCCAATGCCACTTCAAAGCCATCAACCCAGACCCCACAGGTCCTCTCACTATTTCAGCAACAACAATTCTCACTTACTTTTCTCAACAGTTTGTGAGAAGCTGCTGAACTCTCGACTGTAAACACCTAGAGGGAACACCACGCTATTAGTTGTAAGATATTCACTTAACAGAGAAGAAATTAAAGATTAAAATGCGACAAGACCATCCTAAGACAGAGGACACACCTGAACAACCCTCCCTGCCCTCATTCCCTCCCTGGGGCAGCCTGAACACCAGCTCTGAGGCCTGACGCCTGCCTGCACGCACAGGCAATAAACCCCCCAGCCCCTGACCCGAGCATGCTGTGCCCACAACAGTGGCCTTTGCAAAGAGCCTTGATCACAGAATTGTGCACCCGGACCACGCAATGCTCTAACTCACAAGCCCACATCAGGAGGCTGACAAGGGTGCATGTCAGTACCTGCTCCACCCCCAGGTGATGGGCCAGCACGGAGAGCAGGCTGCCATCGCTGACACACAGGCACACGCTGTCTGGCTTCAGCACCTGCGGGGAACAGGCAAGCTCAGCACAGGGCTTCCTCCAGTTTGCCAGAAGATTCCTGCTGGCAAGCTGTCAGAAATACTTCCCTTCTCACTCCACTTGCCCAGACCTCAGACCATCCCCCTGCGTCCTCATGCAGTAACCACCCCCAGCCACAAACATGCCCGCCTTGCTCACATCTCCCCACCTGTCCCCAGTGTCAGGAAAGACACCCCTCAACCCAGCCTAGAGGCCCCGCTGAAGGCCTGCACCACCTGCAGGCCACCTTCCAGTCCATGACAACAGGCTTCTTCCCTGTCTGGTTAGAGCACAGACAGCTGAGAGCCTCCAAGGCTTGAGTGTTCACAATTGACTGCCCAAAGGCAAGGATGCCTTTCTGGGTGACAGACCCCTCTGAGAGAAACTCAGGATGGCTTGGATCCTCCCCCCATCCCCCAAAATGCACACATTCACACCTATTTCTGTACACACCCCCAAGGGCCTCAAGAGACCCTCCCTCTAAGCCCCATCTGTAATCCCCAAGCCGAGTCCCCTGCTACAGGTAGCAGGGAGCAAAGGTTTTCAGGCAGGAGAGCGACATGATCAGATTTACATCTTAGAAAATTTTAGAAAGGTGACAACACATGAAAAGAGGGGGTGGCCTAATCCACCGTGACCACCCACAGCAATGACTGTGTCTGACAAGGCAAAGGTGTCCAGCAGGAGCCCAGCCAGAGGCTCTCCCAGTAGAGCAGAGAGCAAGCCCTCAGGAAGTCCAGCCCCAGGCTCTCCCGCTTTCTGCTCCAGTGCCCACCCAGGAGGCGCTCGCTGAAGCCACTCATAGACAAGAGGACACAGGAAAGAAACAGCAAATCATAAGCAAAGTGCTGGGGTTCATGGGACAAACTTCTTTCTCCCTTTTCCCCACAACAAGCCAAGGGGCTGGACACTTACGGTCCTCAGAGCCTGGACGTATCGATCAGTTCTGTCCTGGTCATTGATCTCTCCAAACCGAGGCCGGTTCCAGAGCAGGTGAGCCTGGCAGTCACACACGGGGCGCATCTGGCGGACTCTCTCATTCTTTTCAGGGCTAGGCCAGGAGATGAACAAACAGACGTGGGCTGTGAGCGCCTCCACAGGTCTCCAGAGGGCATGAATCTGGACACTGGTCTCCAGTAGGCATGAGGGCTTAGAGCACCCGCTAATTCCAGACTTTTCCTACGCATCTGCTCTAAACAGATTCCAGCAACCCATGACAGCCTCTCCTGGGTACACACGAATGGGCACTGACACACTGGTCACAAATCTTTGTTCTTATGTTATTCTGTCCAGACACAAATCAACCCACTGGCACCTCCAGAGGATCTGTAAATGGGGAATTTACATACAAGTCTCAGAGGCTCATCCTCCACCCCCACGAGGCTCGACGTACCTGGTCCTCTGCAGGCTGTACCATACGCAGTAGTCATCGTGGTGGGCTACCAGATAGAGCGCTGAGCCCTGCACCACAGGCTCCTCTTGTGGCAGGAAGTACACACACTGCATCCAGTGGTCCCGCCACTGAAACGGAGAACAGAGTCAGCTGTCAACGAGCTGCAGTATGAGCAATGCTTCTAATCCAGGAGCCAAATGCCAGAGAACTGCCAGTTTTCAGGACGTCCACAATGTAGACTACAGCTGGCTATTGTGGCCAAGGAGATAAATAAACTCTAAACTCAGAGGCCAGTGGCCCAAAAGTTTGCGGGAACCCTGCTGGCTTTAGGAAGACACAATGTGGCCAAGAGCAGCAATCTGCCAGAGTGGCTCAGGGGAGGGGACAAGTGCAGGCTCCAGTCCCCACCCCATCAGAGTAGCACCAAAGCTCTCTCTTCAACACGTAGAGCTGTGCTGAATGTTTCCTTTGAAGGAAAAAAATTGGTTTAAACCTAGTGGTTTAAGGGGAACCTTTTCAGAACAGTCCATGGCACGCATTCCAAAGGCTTTAACGTACTCGGAATTTACAAAACAGTCAGACTCAATGCACTAAACCTAACTGGATCGTAGACTGAGGAAACAAAAGCTATCAAGGACTTCTGGAGACAAATTTTATTTTGAACCATATGTTAGACGATACTATGGAACCACTGTTTTTCTTAGGTGTGATCATGTGTTTCATTTATGTTGCAGACTGTTTTCATTCTTGGGAGATAAGTGTTGAAGTATTTAAAAGTAAAGTGTCAGATGTCTGCAACTTACTTTCAAATGATTTAGCAATAAAAAAAAAAAATGTGCATGCCCGTGTGTGTGTGTGTGTGTGTGTGTAGAGATGCAGGAAGGGAGGCAGAAAGACAAAGATAAAGCAGATGTGGCAAACGTTAACAACTGGTAAATTTAAATTAATAAAGCGACCATCAGTGTTCATTTTCACTTATTCTGTGGATATATAATTTTTCAAAATAAAAAGGTGGGAAAATACAAAAAGGTTTTGGCTTATTCTTTGAATTAAATTGAAGTATTTAAATAACTGAATATTCTAAATTGTGAAACATGGTTGACAATGATCCACGGTCAATTTTTAATAAGCTGTGCTAGTCCTTACTACAAACCCCACATACAGGTTTCTATCCTAAGAAAACCCCAAAAGAAAAAAAAAAGTTATATTCACATAAAAATGCAAATCACAGAATTATTTATACCAGCAAAAACTGGAACCCACCCAAATGGCCAGCACTCAGAACGGGATATAAACCCTCGTGCAGAATACGGACAGACATCTTAAACGCTGCTGCTGAAGGCCACGGGGCCCGGAACAGAGATGAGCACCGATGACACCCACGCGTTTGGAGAGAGACCAAACAAAGGGAGCTATTTTGAGTGAAAGGGAGGACCATGAGTGATATTTTTATTTTATATAATGAGGTTTATTTCGCTCATAATTGTTAAGCCTCTTTTTGAAAAAGGAAGAACTGCCCTAAAAAGTAGATGCCAGCTGGACACGGTGGCTCATGCCTGTAATCCCAACAATTTGGGAGGCCGAGGCTGGCAAATCGTTTGAGGCCAGGTGTACGGGACCAGCCTGGGTAACATACCAGTGACACCCATTTCTACAAAAAACACAAGATTAGCCATGCATAGTGGCAAGTGCCTGTAGTCCCAGCTACTCAGGAGGCTGAGGTGGGAGGATCGCTTGTGCCCAGGAGTTCACAGTTGCAGTGAGCTAAGAGGTGCCACCACAATCCAACCTGAGCAATAAAGCAAGACCCTGTCTCTAACAAACAAAAACAGGAGATGCCTGGCTCAACTCTGATGAGACGACTGCCTGCTCATTCTGTCACCTTCAGGAACTAAGAAAAACTTGGCCCTGTGGGACTCCAAGAGCACAGGTAAGGAATGTGCCCACCCACCTGGTCTTTAATTTAACAAAAAGGCAGGAGAATGACATTCCCACACGCTTAAGACGCTTACTTGAACATAAAAACTAGAAAATGAAAATCTGACCAGATATGTTCTGGAAAAATAAATAGTAACAGGAATAACACAGGTTCTTTTAAACCTTTTATTCATTCCCACACTATGCAAATGCATGTGAAGAAGACAGGAGAACCCTTTCCCGACCCCTCCTAGGCTCCCATGGCACTGCCCTGTCATCATGTCCTTCCCATACTACCTACCACAGGGACCTCCTGGGTCCTAACGTTGAGGAGCTGGTGACAGAACCCACTGTGCCAAGGTGGGACAGACTAAATATACTTAGGATCAAAGCAGTTACATGAATTCATGAGGGAGATTCATTAGCAGCTTTCAAATTTCCAATCCAAAAGTCAACGCTGGTAGAGAAACAACACAAGACCCACAGTCAAGAGACCAGGGGCAGGACCCACTCTACTGCTCCTGGACACAAGGCCCCGCTCCAATCCCTGGAGCCTGCTGAGTCCCGGGTTGGCTATGGTTGTGGTTACCTTGTTTGTCTACTAAGAGGATTCAAGGAGAAAAAATACATAGTAGCGCTCCGAAGATATGCAAATTAAAAGTACTAACTTTTTTTTTTTTTGAGACGGAGTTTCGCTCTTGTTGCCCAGGCTGGAGGGCAATGGTGCAGTCTCAGCTTACTGCAACCTCCACCTCCCAGGTTGAAGTGATTCTCCTGCCTCAGCCCTGTAGCTGGGATTACAGGCGCCTGCCACCATGCCCGGCTAATTTTCTTTGTATTTTTAGTAGAGACAGGGTTTCAACATGTTAGCCAGGCTGGTCTTGAACTCCTGACCTCAGGTGATCCACCTGCCTTGGCCTCCCAAGTGCTGGGATTATAGGAGTGAGCCACCGGCCAAAAGTACTAACATTTTAATGCTATTCTTATGCTAATTCTGCAACACAGTCTTAGGAAGAATGTGACGCGGTGCCAATCTCAACTCTGTGGGTGAATTCAGAGTGACACACACACAGCCTGCAGAGGGATGCTGGCAGGCCCTGGCTGGACACACACACACCCGGGGCCAGGCACCTGGAAGGTGGAGGGGAGACTAGGAAGCTCACATACTTCTTAGTCTCACATGCTGCTGTCGGTATGGGTACGCTGATTGACAGCAATTCCCCAGCAGTCACAACCCTTCGGCCTAAACAGTAACTCTGGGAATGGGGTAGGTGAAGCTGCTAAGGCCTTCCATAATGTTGTGGACACCTAGAACCAGCAGGTGAGCATTCAACACAAAGCCAGGGGTTAAGGCCAGGCAGGCTGGACCATGGACAAAGGATGGTGCCTGAGGCGCTCCTGGGTAGAGACAGGTTCTATTTCTTGGTCCTGAAACCAAAACTGCCTTTGCGAAAAAGTGAGAAAATTATGACAGTGAAAGAGATCTCATCTAACCAACCCCCATTTTGCTTTAATGTCCAAACTGCCCTTAATCATTCCTGGGTCCGGGCCAAGCTAACTTTGGGAGACATTTGGTTAACAGTTTATTTTTTGTTCTTATTATTTTTTGAGACAGAGTCTCGCTCTGCCACCCAGGTTTGAGTGCAGTGGTGTGACCTCAGCTCACTTCAATTTCCACCTCCTGGGTTCAAGCAATTCTCCTGCCTCAGCCTCCCGAGTAGCTGGAATTACAGGCACGCACCACCACATCCGGGTAATTTTTGTATTTTTAGTAGAAGTGGGGTTTCTCCATGTTGGCCAGGCTGGTCTCGAACTCCTGACCTCAAATGATCCACCCACCTGGGGCTCCCAAAGTGTTGGGATTACAGGCGTGAGCCACCACACCCAGCTGGTTAATACTTTAAATGATAACCGTCCTTCCCCAAAATTAAACTTAAACTGAATGAAAGATCATCAGGTTAGGAGGATGAGAGGAGGCTGAATTCTGCTAAGGTGAAGCCATTGTTAGGTCACAAGATCTGCAACCTTCCCTGATTCCTCCTGCAGATAACACCACCTTGCAGAAACTAAGATTGACCCTTTGAAATGTCTTTTCGGGTTTTTACGTTTCTGTCTGATGACTCCACCCAGAAGTGGACTCCCTCGCCTGCCAAACTATCCTTGAAAAACCCTAGCCTGAGCCGGGCATAGCGGCTCACGCCTGTAATCCCAGCACTTTGGGAGGCCGGTGGGGCAGGTCACCTGAGGTCGGGAATTTGAGACCAGCCTGGCCAACGTGGAGAAACCCCATCTCTACTAAAAATACAAAATTAGCCAGGCATGGTGGCGCATGCCCGTAATCCCAGCTACTCAGGGGGCTGAGGCAGGAGAATTGCTTGAACCCGGGAGGTAGAGGTTGCAGTGAGCTGAGATCGCGCCATTGCACTCCAGCCTGACCAACAAGAACGAAACTCCATCTCAAAACAAACAAACAAAAAACCGTAGCCTGTGAATTTTCAGGGAGACTGATTTGAGTAACAAATCTCTCCCCCACGTGGTGTGGCTGGCTTCGTGTCAATTAAAGTCTTTATTGCAATGCCATGGTGTCAGCGAATTGGTTTTGTCTGAACAGTGGGTGGGAAGAACCCATCAGGCAATTCCGACACACCTTTCCCACTTTCTTTTCCTTTGAGTGTGAGAGTGAGAGAGGGTGGATGGGGGTGTAAATAACACAAGCACATGAGAGAAAATTCAAAAGGTATACAAGGACGCATAGTAAAAAATATGTTTCCTTTCCACCCCTAACCTCCAGTCCCCATTCCCAGATGCAGTCAGTTTTACGAATTTCTGGGAATTCTTCCAAAGACCTCCTTATATGTACACCACACATGACTATCCACTCACAAACACATATATTCCTATTTTTACTAACACCAGTGCTGCCACACAACACACCATTCTGCACCTTTATTTTTGTGTCAGGTAATAATCCACCCTGAAGCTTGTCCCACATCAGTGCACAGAGAGCTACCTCACCCACTGAAAGGATAATGGACTTGATCCCTGCTAGTGGCCTTTAGGTTGGCCTTTTTCTACTAAACCAGGGCTGCACACATCTATTCTGCACAGACGCAAATCCAGCCACAGCCCCATGTCTGAAAGCAGCATTGCTTTCTACCTGAAACGTTCTGATGACTCGCTTTCCTGCTTTTTCCCTGAGCTTCCCCAACAGTGTGCTTGCAAACTGTTTAAACTTTATTCACTAGTAGGTGAAAATGAGATCTCATTGCAGTTTAAAGTTGCATTTCTCTTTTTTTTTTTTTTTAGAGACAGGTTCTCATCTTATTGCCCAGGCGGGAGTGCAGTAATGCAGTCCCGACTCACTGCAGCCTCAACTTCCTGGGTTCAAGCAACCCTCCTGCCTCAGTCTCCTGAGAGGCTGGGAGCATAGGTGCTGTGAGCAGCTAAAACTGCATTTCTCTTATTATGAGGGACAGTGGGCAACTATCCCCATCATCTGTATTTCCTTTTCTGTGTTTCATGTCCTCTGCCTACTTTCTATCGGGGTGGAGAAAGGAGATTTTGAGGCCACAGAAGGTGAGGCTGTAGTTCTCTATTCCAAGCTGATGGGAGCCCCCTGGGATTACTCAGGGGATGAGGGGTGGTATCTAAGGGTGGCTGCATCATGATGAGGCGGGAGAGGAAAGCCAACTTCTCTGTTCCTCACTGTGTCCATGAGTGCTCACCATGAGCTCACCCTGGGAAGGCTACGTTACTACAGCTAGCCTTTGCTTGCTTTTTAAAAACTTTTGTCTTTGATTCTGACACAGCCCTCCTGTCTCTAAATTCTCCTGGGTCCAAGGCTCAACTGTTACTTTCCCATGAACAGCAGTGGACAAGTTTCCTGACAGGGCACATGCTAGGCTCCTGCCTCTTACCTGCATCTCCTCTGGGTCTGAGTGTGCCCAGAAGGGGGCCATGGTGCACTTGATCTTCCCCTCAGGGTCCATTTCAATGTCCCACCACGAGAGAACCACCTGAGCTCGGCCAGATGTCAGAGGTTCAAACCGCCTGCTATGGCAGGCTGCTGAGCTACTGACTTGCTTGCTGAAGTCTATGCTGAGGAATAATATTCAAGAATGTAAGCAGAGTTTAACCTCACACACTCCATTTTTTAAGCTTTTACAGTGACTTCACTGGCAATGACATTTGGCTGCAAAGGACTCTTGCCTTCGAGGCAGGTGACAGCAGCTAGATTTCCTTCCCACTCAAAAAGAACCTCCTAATACCCAACTTCCATCAAATGTCTCAAAGCGCCATCACCTATGGTGGCTCCTTGGTACCTGAACATGGGCAGCACATCGCTGAGGACTGTAAAGTCGGCTGGTGACACCTGGTTCAGCTGAATGTCACAGACAGAGGGTGCGCCAGGGCAGCTCTCCACGTCAACGGGAGGGACGATGACCTGCTCTCCGAGGCTGGTCTGCACGTGGATGGGAAATAGCTTGTTCCACGACCACATCCTCCCGGACTCCACCAGCTGTGCATAGACGGTGGCTCTGTGGGGCACGGCCTCACAATTTTCCTAAGTTTATATTAAAAACAAAACCAAACAAAAATCAGATGCTTAGACCCACAGTAATTCCCATTGATCAAAAGAGGTTTATTCCTTAACATTAGGTTGGTTCAGTAATGCCCAACACCTTATACTATTAGAATAGTGAACTGTTTTCAGCCCTATGCCCTTGGAAAAGGGAAAAAAAGGGTACTACATTTCAAAAAGAACACACACTGTGCCTAAAATGACTTCTGTCAGCTAAGTTCCTGGCTACCTGGCACTCTTAAATGCTTCACGTCCTGCTGCTGGGTGGTGATCCTGGCTCTGGGCTCAGTGTCCCTTCAGTGCCGCTCCTGCCCAGCACCAAAACAAGAGCCTCCTTGTGGCAAAGCCCTGTGGACCACGGTGCCCCCTCAGCTGCCCAGCCCTCTAGCGCCGCTGGGCACTGCTGCACACTCAGCCCCTAGGGCTGTGGCTCCGGCTCCGGCTCCTTGTCCGGCTCTCCTCCTACCTCTTGCATCCACTCCACGTCCTCCATGCACCAGGCAATAGGGACCCGGCAAGAGCACACTCACAGCTGCTACCCACATGGCTTTCACCACCAGGACACCACTGGCCTCTTGGGCCAAATGATTCTCTGCTGTAGGGGTTGCTCTGGGCATGGTAAAAGGCTAGCAGAATAACTGGCCTCCCTGCGAAGCATCTCCCAACCTTGCTCTGGTAGACAAATGCTGCTCTAACTGGACTCACTCCCGCTGCCTTCCCCAGGCTGTGCTTCCTCCGCCCCACCTCACAAGGGGACTCCCTGGTCCGGACTGTCTCCCTCCACACTCTCCACAGTGACCTCAACCATGCCCTCTTCACTGAGTAAATCCATGCATCTCTGGGCCTCTTTGCTTGGCTGACCTTTAGAGAGCTCAAACTCTGTGTAAACCAGAAGAATCGCCCTCACCACTTCCCAACCTTCCCAAGGCTACCCCTCTTCCTGCACTCCCCGTCAACAGGAAGCACCACCATCCAATCCAGGTGCCCAAACCCTAGCATCGATATCTCTACACCTAAGGGACCACCAACTCCTGGGACCACCTATCAGGCCTCTGTCTACAGCCTTAGCTGAGGCCCACTGTACCACAGCGTCTGGACGATTCCACAGCCTTTTAACCCACCCGCAACCTCCAGCCCTATACCCCAACTGCCCTCCACACATCTGCCTGCATAAGTCTGCTGTCAATCCTCTGCTTCAAACCCTCCTGTGATGCCACCCCACCTTCTAATGACAGCTACCCTCTGGGCATGGCCCCCAAACCCCACTCCATCTAGCCCCTGCCCAGCTCTCTAGCCTCAGTTGCTAAGCCCATCTCTCCTGCCTCCCACACAGCACAAAATCCAAAGCAGGCTCCGGAGCCACCGCACCGATTC
This sequence comes from Homo sapiens, assembly GCF_000001405.40. Taxonomy (NCBI): domain Eukaryota; kingdom Metazoa; phylum Chordata; class Mammalia; order Primates; family Hominidae; genus Homo; species Homo sapiens. The sequence continues at coordinate 68,337,929 of NC_000016.10, read as the reverse complement.
AGTCTCACGTCTAGCACGTGCTGCTCTCCTCTACCAGAAATATTCCATCTGCCAGGCCAACACCTGATCACTTCTCAAGACTGACAGCTCAAGCATCGCCTTCCTGAGAATATTTGCTGAACTTAACTGAATTTGAATATAGTTTCTTGCTTTTCAACTCTAACCTATTAAGATTTGGCATTCAAGGGACATGAAAGTTTTAAGTGAGGAGAACCAGAGCCCCCCCAGGAATGGAGGGGTGTCCCAGGTGTATCAGAGGTGCTGAGGGCTTGGGCTGTGTGGGACACGGTGCATGAGTGAGTGCTATGTGAGCTGGCTGAGACCACAGACACGTCTGAGGGAGCCCTCCGTCTACTACCTCCACGAGATGCCTGTGTGCGTGCTCATAGGAGGGCAGCGCCCCCTCCCCGATCAGCTCTGTGTCAAACAACTCTGTGACCAGGATGTTGGCACGGCATGGCATGTCACCCTCTGAAAAACACAAGAAAACAGAGTTGGACATAAGCAACAGACTAGGAAAAATATTTACAGCAAATATGGGAAAGATAAGTGGTTAAGGGGCCATCACGCTAAAAGCACATATACATGCTGAGGTATTCAGAAGTGTCAGGATGTCTGCAACTGACTTGCCAATGGTTCAGGAAAAAAAAAAAATCCATATGTAAATGTATGACAAAACGCTAATTGATAAATCTAGGGTAAGGGATCATAAGTGTTTACTGTACTGCTCTTACAGCTATTCTGTATGCTTAATATTGGGAGGGAGACTGCAAAAAATGATAAGAAAACTATAAATACCCAATGGATTGAGTTCAGGAGTTTGAGATCAGCCTGGGAAACATGACAAAACCCCATTTCCACAAAAAATACAAAAATTAGCCAGGCATGGTGGCTCACGCCTGTAATCCTAGCACTTTGGGAGGCCAAGGCAGGAGGATCACTTGAAGCCAGGAGTTCAAGACCAGCCTGGCCATCATGGCGAAACCCCATCTCTACTAAAAATACAAAAATTAGCCAGGTGTGATGGCACACGCCTGTAACCCCAGCTACCCAGGAGGCTGAGGCATGAGAATCACTTGAACCTGGGAGGCAGAGGTTGCAGTGAGCCGAAATTGTGCCACTGTACTCCAGCCTGCGCGACAGAGTGATCCAGCCTGCGCGACAGAGTGAGACTCTGTCTCAAACAAACAAAAAAAACACACACCCAAAAAGAAACCAGGTAAAAATATAAACAGAAAATTCAAAACAGAAATCAAACTTATGAAAACTTTTTCATCCCTATTAGCAATTAGAGAGATATAAATTAACAATTAAACTATTAACCACTAAATTAGAAAAATTATTTGAAAAGCAAAAACAGAATGCTGGTATGTCAAATACTTCTAGGTTGCAGGGAGAGGGAGGGAAAGCCAAAGCAAGACAACAAGGTTCTCTGATGATCTTCCAGCTACTGTGAGTTAGGCTCTGGCAGCCAAAATTGAGATCCATGACTTAGAATCCCCAGATCACTATGGCAAATTCCCTTAATGAAAGCGCCTTGTCACCAAACAATCTCTTAAATAACAGTTGTTTTAGGACAGTAGGATTTTAGAGAAGAGTAGGATTTGGGAGGGATCTTCTGTTAACTGTTTTCTAAACCTCAGTAATGTACTGCTACTTCTACAATTATAATTTTTAATGAGCCAAGAGCCAAAATAGACTTTGGAAGGGGCTATTCATCAGGGAGAATTAACTGTAAACACTTTTAATGCCTCATGAATTATAATCTGACAAAGCCCACTCATTTCCCCTACACAGAGCACAAGTCTCACAGATGACACAAGGAAAAGAGAAGCATGAAAGCAGCTGACAGGGGCCGGGCGCGGTGGCTCCCGCCTGTAATCCCAGCACTTTGGGAGGCTGAGATGGGCAGATCACCTGAGGTCAGAAGTTTGAAACCAACCTGGCCAACGTGGTGAAACCCTGTCTCTACTAAGAATACAAAAATTAGCCAGGCGTGGTGATGGGTGCCTGTAATCCCAGCTACTTGAGAGGCTGAGGCAGGAGAATCACTTAAACCTGGGAGGCAGAGGTTGCAGTGAGCCGAGATCACGCCACTGCACTCTAATCTGGGCCAGAGTGAGACTCCATTTCAAAAAAAAAAAAAAAAGAAAGAGAGCAGCTGATAGAAGAGCACAACAGAGACAGCGTGAACCTCGAGCTCGAGGCTGGAGCCTGGCCTGGATCTCACTTCCTATCCCTGAGCCCTCCGTTCTGACCATCAGTTGCCTCATCAGTAAAACGGGTGAATGGGCTCTGTCTCATGTGGTGGTGGTCGGGATGATGAAGATAAAAAAAAAAAAGCACACTTCCTATGAAGCTCACCTGTGCTCCATGACAGTATCACGTGGAGGAGCTTAAGAAGAAACTTCTGTCTTCTGCCACAGAGACCACCCTCCCGAGAAGCCCTGCCCATCCTCTCTGATGTCACATCAAACTCCAACTGGAATACACTGTCCAAAACTCATCCCACCCACCCCAGCTAACACGCCTGCTCCTCCCTCCAGGGTTTCTGCCTCAATCAATCAATGAGTCACATAGTCCAGGAATCTGGGCATCATTTACTAGTTCCAGGACAGCAGGACCGCTGACTGCCTGTCCACTACTGTACCCCAGCACCCACAAGGTCTAGTGCCCCGTAACAGTCAACACACATTAGATAAATTATTGATTTCTGTCACCCTACAACCCACTGATCACCCACTCTGCCAATTCTATCTCCTGAATGTTTAAACCAATTATATAACTTAAAATGCTTTATAGTCCAAATTGCTTCATTAAAATAAAAATCAAGAGCCAGGCACAGTGACTCACACCTGTAATTCCAGCACTTTGAGAGGCCAAGCTGGGCTGATCACTTGAGGCCAGGAGTTCGATACCAGCCTGGCCAATGTGGTGAAACCTTGTCTCTACTAAAAATACAAAAATTAGCCGGGTGTAGTAGCACGCGCCTGTAGTCCCAGCTACTCAGGAGGCTGAGGCATGAGAATTGCCTGAACCCGGGAGGCAGATGTTGTAGTGAGCTGAAATTGCCCCACCATACTCCATCTTGGGTGATACAGTGAGACTGTCTCAAAAAATAATAAAAATTAAAAAAAAAAAATTCAAGCTTTATGGTCCAGTGCATTTTAACAAGTACTTCTTGAGGGCCTGGTATTTTGAGTGTGACTGCTAATGTATAAGGGCACGGGGTGGGGGAGTCTGAAGCAGGTAGCCACCCCAGGAGCTTCCTAAGCCCTTTCCAAATGAACAAAATGGACGGATGAACACACGCTGCTCCCTGGGTTGGCTCTCCACAAGCCTCAGCATGTAACCCAGCTCTGGGGAACAGGCAACTTCAGATGCCACTTTTAAAAAGGGCTGAGAGCAGAACCTTGGAAAGTATACATCTGGAGCAGAAAGAAAGCAACACAGGAGAACCAAGATGAAGAGATGTCACTAAGGTCCAGGGAGAGTTTCAAGAAGGAAGGAATGGCAGAAGTACCAAAGCGGCAGTGGTTAGAGAGGAAAAGCAGAGGAAAGACCACCCAACTTGGCAATGAGGAAGCCACTTGTCAGGCTGAGGATCGGAAACAAAGTCACATTTACAAGGGATTATGGATGAAGCACAACTGACAATCTACTCACTTTACAAAAATTACCTAACTCCTTTACATGACAGGCCCGGAGCAAATAACGGAATGGAATAGTTAATACAACCCACGCAGTGCATGACCTCAGGATGCCTCAGCTGGGTGGGGATACAGACATTAAATACATAACTACATAATGATTTAATGATTGCAGTGGTAAGCGCTATGAAGAAAAGTATTACGAAATTGGCCAGGCGTGGTGGTTCATGCCTGTAATCCCAGCATTTTGGGAGGCCAAGGCAGGCAGATCGCTTGAGGTCATGAGTTCAAGACCAGCTTGGCCAACATAGTGAAACCCCATCTCTACTAAAAATACAAAAATTAGCCAGGTGGTGGTGCATGCCTGTAATATCAGCTACTTAGGAGGCTGACGTGGAAGGATCACTTGAATCCGGGAGGTGGAGGTTGCAGTGAGCCGAGGTCATGCCACTGCACTCCAGCCTGGGCGACAGAGCCACTCTATCTAAAAAAAATTTTTTTTTTTAATAAGAAATCATATGAGGGGCCTGGCCTAAGCTGAGGTGTGTGTGAACAATGCTGCCTGGAGGCAGAGTCAGCATACTTCATGGCCAAGGCTGCCCTGCAGATCAGTCTCCCTGCCGTCAAAATGGATAAATTTTCAAGAATAAATGATCTCGCCAGGTACAGTGGCTCCCATCTGTGATCCCAGCACTTTGGGAGGCTGAGGCAGAAGGACTGTGTGAGGCCTGGCGTTCAAGACCAGCCTGTGAAACAAAGCGAGACCTAGTTTCTTTTCTTTTCTTTTTTTTTTTTTTTGAGCCAGAATTTTGCTCTTGTTGCCCAGGCTGAAGTGCAATAGCGCAATCTCGGCTCACCGCAACCTTTGCCTCCCAGGTTCAAGCAATTCTCCTGCCTCAATCTCCTCAGTAGCTGGGATTACAGGCATGCACCACCACACCTGACTAATTTTGTATTTTTAGTAGAGACAGGTTTCTCCAAGTTGGTCAGGCTGGTTGCTACTCCCAACCTCAGGTGATCCGCCAGCCTCGGCCTCCCAAAGTGCTAGGATTACAGGCATAAGCCACTGCACCCAGCCGCAAGACTTAGTTTCTAATAAAAATTTAAAAAAACAAAAAAATTAGTTGGGTATGGTGGCGCCTGCCTGTGGTCCCAGCTACTCAGGAGGCTGAGGCAGGAGGATCACTTGAGCCCAGAAGTCGAGGCTGCAGTGAGCTGTGTTCGCATCACTGTACTCCAGCCTAGGCAACAGAGTGAGACTGTCTCAAAAAAAAATAAATAAATGAATCAATCTCCACTCTGGCCATAGTGGAATAAGTGGGATCAGGCTTACCCTCCGGCTGTTATCAACTAGAAAACTGGGCAAAATATATGAAACAAGTGTTTTCAGATGTTGAGCAAGAGGCAACACAGTTTGCTCCCTAAGAAGGGAAACAAACCAAGTAACCCTTACCCTGCTCTGGCTATCAGCCAGGAGACCCTTTCCAGACCACAGTATAGGGTAAGAGGTGACACAGAGCACGGCAGTCTTGCTGAGTTAAACAGACAGGAAACGAGTTCAGGGAAGTGGAAGCAGCTGGAACTTGCCAGGCAGAGAATCAGAGAGGAAATTACACAGAAAAAAAGCCTTCAGAATGCTGCACAGGGTTCCTCTAGGGTCTGTGTTAATACATTCACACACACACAGGGTAATACTCTGTGAAGCCGAGCAAAGGTTGCATGAGTGATAACAATCTCCGGAGCTCTCAGAGGCCTGGGAAACATTCAAGTTCTGATCAGCCAGACAAGGGAAACCCTGCTGAGCACCTAGAGCTCTCAGCAGACACTCCAGAAAGGTTACAGTAACTGTCTGGCTAAACAGCCTTAGAGCAGTGGTTCTCAACAGGTGGCAATTTTACACACTCGAGACCAAGGAAGACGTGGCAGTCTGGAGACATTTTTAGTTGGCAAGAATGGTGGGAGGAGGGGAGTGCTACTGACATCCACTGGGAAGAGGCCAGGGACACTGCTAAACATCCTACAATGCAAAGGACAGGGTCCACAACAAAGAATTATCAAAATGTCACATAGTTGGAGAATGCCAAAACGTCACAGCACTACTGTTGAGAAGGCCTGACTTAAAGCTACTCTAACCCCACTCCAAAGAAAGCTTAAACAAGCCCTGAAAGGATCAATCTGAACTGCAAGTAACCCAACTGCATGCCAAAGTTTAAAAAGCAAAACCAACGAAGTCTAGCACTCAACAATGGGGAATTCCAAATAGCCACAGCATCCAAACAAAAATGGTTAGACATGTGAAGAAGGAAAATGTGACCCAGAATAAGGATAAAAATGAGTCAAGAGAACAAACCCAGAAAAAACAAAGATGGTGGGAACAGAAGATAAGGATGTTCAAAAAGCTAAAATAAATGTGCTTATAGAAAACTATGAACATGAGAAAAATGGAAGTTATGAAAAAGAATCAAGTGGAACTTTCAGAGATTAAAAAATACAATATCAAAAATGAGGCCAGGCACAGCGGCCCACGCCTGTAATCCTAGGACTTTGGGATGCTGAGGTGGGAGAATCGCTTGAGCCCAGGAGTTTGAGACCAGCCTAAGCAACAAACTGAGATCCCATCTCTACAAAAAAAAATTTTTTTTAAGTTAGCCAGGCATGGTGGCATGAGCCTGTGGTCCCAGCTACACAGGAGGCTGAAGCAGGAGGACTGCTTGAGCCCAGGAGGTCAAAGCTGCAATAAGCCATGCTCACACCCCTGCACTCCAGCCTGGGGGACAGGTCAAGATCCTGTCTCAAAAAAAAAAAAAAAAGAACAACAAAGAAAGAGAAATGAAAAGTTTACTAAATATACTTAACAGCATATTAGATGCTGCAAAAGAAAAGATCAGTGAATCTAAAGACCTATCCAAGAAATCCCTGTCCATCAACAGGTAGAGAGATAAACAAGTTATGGTACATCTATCTAATAGAGTGCTGCTCAGTAACACAAAAGAACGGACCCCCAAGACATGAACAGTGTGGAAGAATCTTACCAGCATCACGCTATAAAAAAGAGAGCACACACACAGAAGAGTCCACACTTCTTTGATTCCACTTCCTTGAAATCCTAGACAGGCAAATCTAATCTATAATGAAGTCTATGAGTGGGTGCCTAGGACCAGGATATGGGGGGACTGATAGAAAGGGTTATGAGGAATCTCTTTGGGCATGATGGAGATGTTCTATTATCTTCATTATGGTGATGGTGGTTACAAGTGTGTTTATATTTGTCAAATATCCATAATGAAAATGGATATTCATTTAATGTAAATCATACTTCAATAACGTTGATTGTAAATGGAATGATTTGAGCACTCTATTGTATATTTTAAAAATAAAAAAGATAGGCCGGGCGCGGTGGCTCACACCTGTAATCCCAGCACTTTCGGAGGCCGAGGCAGGCTGGTCACCTGAGGTCAGGAGTTCGGGACTAGCCTGGCCAACACGGTGAAACCCCGTCTCCACTAAAAATACAAAAATTAGCCAGGCATGGTGGTGCACGCCTGTAATCCCAGCTACTCATGAGGCTGAAGCAGGAGAATCGCTTGAACATGGGAGGCAGAGGTTGCAGTGAGCTGAGATCCTGCCATTGCACTCCAGCCTGGGCAACAGAGTGAGACTCTGTCTCAAATAAATAAATAAATAAGATAGTACCCACTTCTTTTGTACATGTTTCAGATTCTCCATTAAAAAAAAATTGTTAAATGGGAGAATAATGTTGACCTTAGGTAGAAGCTTCAATTCAGAATGATACTGCATTCTCCAAAACCGTGGTGAAAAAGCCAGGTGCAGTAGTGCACACCTGTAGTCCCAGGTACTTGGGTCGCTGAGATGGGAGGATCACTTTAGCATAAGAGTTTGAGTCCAGCCTGGGCAACATAGTAAGACCCTATCTCCACAAAAAATTAGAAAAAACCCATGGTGTTATCCATAACTTCACCACAGTTTTTCCTTTGCAAATCTTTCAACTATGTTCTCTAAGTGTCAGTGGCATGTGAAATTTTCAAAGACTGAAACAAAGTTCTAGACTATAAAAAATATTCTGGAGGCCAGGCATGGTGGCTCACGCTTATAATCCTAGCACTTTGGGAGGCTGAGGCAGGCGGATCACCTGAGGTCAGGGGTTCAAGACCAGCCTGGCCAACATGGTGAAACCCCGTCTCTGCTAAAAATACAAAAAGCAGCCAGGTGTGGTGGCAGGCACCTGTAATCACCGCTACTTGGGAGGCTGAGGCAGGAGAATCACTTGTACCCAGGAGGTGGAGGATGCAGTGAGCCAAGATTGCACCACTGCAATGCAGCCTGGGTGACACAGTGAGATTCCGTCTCAAAAAAAAAATATGTGTGTGTGTGTGTGTGTGTGTACATATACATATTCTGGAAACCTTAAGAGACAATGCTATACAGGAAAATTGTTCATGTTGTATGCAGAAGCAGAATGTCAGAACTACTCTCGCCATTCTCCTGCCTCAGCCTCTCCAGTAGCTGGGACTACAGGTGCCCACCACCATGCCTGGCTAATTTTTTGTATTTTTAGTAGAGATAGAGTTTCACCGTGTTAGCCAGGATGGGTGAACCCAGGAGGCAGAGCTTGCAGTGAGGCAAGATAGCGCCACTGCACTCCAGCCTGGGCGACAGAGTGAGACTCTCTCTCAAAAAAATAAATAAATAAAAGAACTAAGTACTTTCTGCCTGATGAAACTCAGAGTTGAGCTTTGAGCAGTGGCAGTATCGTAGCCAATGAGGTTTATCCAAGGCGTAATTATTGGTAGTTGAAACTCAAGAGTTGAGCCCCATAAGAATTCCAATTTGCTTAAAGCAAATGTAGGTTTTGTTTGCGTCTCCATTGCTGGACCTGACTAGCTCTAGTCTACTCCTTGTTGACTAGTTTTAACTAGCAGGAAAATAAACATCAAGAGAAACCAAGTCCTTACTGTCAGAGCTCCACACAGAGAGGTCCCACTTCTATGCTATGACCTGGATTTGTTCCAGGTAACTGGAATAACCCTTTTCCTCTCTCACACAAGAGCAAGCAAAGCTTTCAACACAGGGTGTGTAAATCTCACCTGGACCTACAGTCACCTCGGTGGAATGCTTGTTGATAACCTTAATCTTATCACTAAAGCCATTTTTCTCCACAATCTTCACAGCAGCATCAGCCATAGGCTTGAAAACCTAGAAAATAGAGCCGAAACCCAAGGAAAAATGAGCAATAAATTAAACAGTAGTCTGACCTTTAAGGTGAGCAAGCTATTCCTTGATTCTGGTCCTAAGATATGTAACTTAAATACTTTATTCTCCAAATGTGCATCATGAAAAAGGGCTGAGATTCAGCTGGCTTTAACTTGTGATTAGGGACTCTCATTCCGTGCCAGGCACAGCGGGGATGCCGGGGATCCTGAGGAGGCTGCACTACTTAGTAAGAGCAGTAGGTGTCAGTACCGCACAAGAGGACGCCAAAAAGCCAGGAAAGGGACTTGCCTCACGAACCTGGGAGGCGTGCTGTGCCCTCCAGAGGAGAGCAGACTGTAGGTGTGAGTAAGTAGGTCATCCTCTGGGCTCAAAATTGTCCCAAATCCCCACTGTTGGCAGAACACAGCCTCTATTTTCTTATGGTGCAGCAGTGCCTCTTGTCCATGGGGGATACATTTTAAGACCCTTGGTGGATGCTTGAAACCTCAGACAGTACTGACCCTTATGTATACCATTTTTTTTTTTTTTTTTTTTTTGCTATACATACATACTGTTCCATGGTGGGCAGCTCTATGCAAACCTACCCCAACAGGCCACGGGAGCTGAGAGGCTGAGGAAAGACTGGCAAATCCAGCTTCTCAGAAAGACACACTTTATAGAGACATACAAACAGAAGCCTTGTCTCGGGCAGTGAGAAACTGGGCCCCCACACTGTTATGGCTCAGACGCAGGGCTTACATACCACAGGGAATTTGACGAAGGGCAGGATTTACGGTAAGTATGTATTTATGATAACATCAAAGTTGTTCTGACCTGAGGGCAGGATTTACATCAAAGTGCATGAGAGCGGAAATTTTAGAGGCATTCCTGAAGCTGGGGTTGGTCAGAAGTCAGCGTGGAGGATTAGCATTCACAGTGGAGCTGCTTCAGCCTCCAAGCTTACCTATGACCAGGTTTAATTTATAAATTAGGCACAATAATAAATATAAATAATAATTTATAAATTAACAATAACTAAAAATAGAACAATTATGTAATAATACTCAGAATGGTACACAACTTACAACTTATAAATAATTTCTGGAATTTTCCATTTAATTTTTCTTTTTTTTTTTTTTGAGAAGGGTCTCACTCTATTGTCCAGGCTGGAGTCCAGTGGCATGATCACTGCAGCTTCCACCTCCCAGGCTCAAGCAATTTCCCACCTCAATCTCCCAAGTAGCTGGGACTACAGGCGTAGATCACCATGCCCAGCTACTTTTTGTAGAGGCGGGGTTTTGCCATGTTGCCCAGGCTGGTCTCCAACTCTGGGACTCAAGGTTTCCACCTGTCTCAGCCACCCAAAGTGCTGGGATTACAGGCGTGAGCCACCGCACCTGGCTCCATTTAGTATTTTTGGACCTCAGTTGACCACAGGTAACTGAAATCACGAAAAGTGAAACCATAGATAAGGGGAAACTACTGCTTTGGAGGCCCTCCCTTACCTTCCCAGTCTTCCTCCCCCATTCCCCCAACAACCAACACTCCAGCCACAATGATCTCATGATCACTGAGCCTTCCCTATCCTGGCCCCACCTGCCAAATCAAACCCCACTTCCCAGGGCAGCATGAATCCCCCATCCAGAAGTCTTCCCTGAACTCTTCGAGTTTCCCTGAACATAAATAAGCACCTCCAACTCTTTGTTTTCAACTTATCCAGTCTAGATTCCACAGCCCCAAGAGCTCTAGCATGTAAAACAAACAGACTCACGTGTGGCCCTACACACGAAGTGGAAACCACAAAATGATACCGAGACTGTTCCTGATAAGATTTTCCTTTTTTCTAAATCCTTTTCTGTATTTCCCACATTTTCTACCATGAATACTATATTTTTTACTATAATCAAGGGACAAATGCTGTATCCTTTCGTAAAGAGTACTTACGTGAGCAGCTCCAGTTGTGCAATTGATTAGCGCGCAGTATTTACATGGAATACACACACATGTTCTCCTAGAAAAATCTTCATCATCTATTTCAAATTATTTCTAGGATTTGCCTTGATGTTTTTAGATGTGGTTTGAGGGCCTTAAACCCTAGTTCTCACCAATCACTTTGCCTCCACCCTGACAATATCCAAAGCCAGTGTCGTCCCTCACCCCTGCTGCCTTCTGACTCATCAGTCACCTCTCCCTGAACCTGCAAGCTGGTACCTTCACACCTCCTTCTCCTCAGCCCATCAAGAAGCTCAAGATCTCACCCAAAACACTACCAGGAGTGGACACTGAAGATGACCTCCCGACATCCATTCTGTGTCCTCCTCTCCCCTGAAATCAGGTGAGGGTGCAGCGTGGGGAACTGACCTTTGCAGTGGTGCACTTGTCTGAGCTAAGAGTAACTGAATCCCTCTTGCCAGAGATAAGAAATGAGATTTAACCTCATTCTAGCCGATGGTACCCAAGGAGAGGTTTGCTATAATAGAAATTCCTGGGAAAGTTATTCTTACTTTTAAAAAAGAGGAACAAGGCAGGGCGCAGTGATTCACACCTGTAATCCCAACACTTTGGGAGGCTGAGGTGGGGGGATCCCCTGAGATCAGGAATTCAAGACCAGCCTGGCCAACATGGCGAAACCCTATCTCTACTAAAAATATAAAAATTAGCCAGGTGCAGTGGTACATACCTGTAATCCCAGCTATTTGGGAGGCTGAGAAAAGAGAATTGCTTGAACCCAGGAGGCGGAGGTTGCGGTGAATAGAGATCACGCCACGAAAAAGATAGCAAAAAACTACTCTACCTTAAACCACAGTGATTTTGAGGCTTTGTTATTTCCAACTCAATCACTACATGAACCCAATTTTGTAGGGAAAGTATTTATATACATGCTCCCTGCCTGCCCCCAAAACTTGGAAGAATATACACCAAAATGTTAACAGTACTTAACTTTGGGTCAACATACTATTTTTATTTGGTATTTACCAAATTTCCTATAATAATATGCATTATTTGTTTTATGAGAAAAATAACATGTTTAATTTTTAATTTTGTTTGGTTTTTAATTTTTCTTGCTCTGTGGGCTCAAGCTGTTTAATGTTTTATTAAAGAAATGACAAATTGGTAAACATAAGAGAGCTGACTCCATAGGGACATTTAAGGTAGTGGTTCTCAACCTTGCCGCACATTCCCAAGTCCCAAGGCTCAGGCCTCACCCCAGAAAAGTTAAATCAAAATCTGTTAGGGCTGGGGACTAGGCATAAGGTTTTTTTGTTTTGTTTTGTTTTGAGATGGAGTCTCACTCTGTCGCCCAGGCTGGAGTGCAGTGGCGCAATCTCGGCTCACTGTAACCTCTGCCTCCTGGGTTCAAGCGATTCTCTCGCCTCAGCCTCCTGAGTAGCTGGGATTACAGGCGCGCATCACCACACCCGGCTAATTTTTGTATTTTTAGTAAAGATGGAGTTTCACCATGTTGGTCAGGCTGGTCTTGAACTCCTGACCTCATGATCCAAGCCTCGGCCTCCCAAAGTGCTGGGATTACAGGGGTGAGACACTGTGCCCAGCCTTTGTTTCGTTTTGATTTTTTTGAGATAAAGTCTCACTCTGTCACCCAGGCTGGAGTGTGGTGGTGTGGGGGCATGTATTTAAATACTTTCCCCTACAAAACTGAGTTCATATACTGATTAGTTGGAAACAACAAAGTCCCACAATAACTGGCTTAAACAAGGTAGAAGTAATTTTTTGCTTTCTTACATGAAGTCCAAATCATGGCTCACTGCAGCCTTGACTTTCCGGGCTCAAGAGATCTTCCCATCTCAGCCTCAAGAATAGCTGGAACACAGGCACATGCCACCATGCCCAGCTAATATTTAAAAGTTTTTCTGTAGAGATGGGATCTCACTATGTTGCCCAGGCTGGTCTCAAACTCCTGGGCTCAAGCAATTGTCTTGCCTCACCCTCCCGAAGTGCTGGGATTACAGGCGTGAGCCACTGTGCCCAGCCTGTAAGTATTTTCTAAAGCTCCTAGTGATTCTGATGTGCAGCCTAGGCTGACAGAGGAGAAAATTAGCTCCTGGAGGAAGGAACTGTGTCTGACTCATCTCTATACGCTCAGAGCCTGGCTCTGTGCTTGGCACAGAGTGAGCACTCCATGAATGTTTGTGAAGGAACAGACGGGGAAAGTGCAAGAGCATAGGGGATTTCCCATGCAAGATGCAGGACACACACCTGAAGGGAATGGCTTACCTCGATGGCATAGCAGAAGTCGGCACCTGCTGTGACCGCCATCATTGACAAGAGTCCCGTGCCAGTGCCAATGTCGAGAACCAAGGCCTTCTGTCCTCTGTCCTTCACCCTGCTCACGGCAGCCCGGATACCTTGGTAGTATTTTACATTCTAAGGAAGACATGGCCGTCACTTACTACCAGTTATTATAAGTAAGTGGAAAGGTGCTTTGCAAAGTTCTAGAGTCACAGCTGGCAGTGGCAGTGCAAGTCAGGGCCCTATGGCCTTTCTGGCCCCTGGCAGAACAGCTCTGGCTGAGTTGGGCAGGTCTTGTGAGTCAGCCCCTTGCCCTTTATTAAGCGACTGTCCCTGCTCCACACTCACTCTTCTATCCTCTACTAAGTGATGCCAGAGCCCTGCAAACCATGTTCTCCTTTTTCCAACTGTTAGGTACAGCCAAAAGGGGGACCAAGAGGGCGACTGGAAGGTAGGAGGACAGAGCAGGCTTGCTCCTTTCTGCATGCTGCTGTTCTCATCAGGGTCCTCTCGGTAGGGGCAGTTGATTGCAGACTCCAACTTTTCCCAATGATCCCATAACCAGCTCCTTGGGCCCCTCAGAGCTGCAGCCGTACTTGGACAGTGGTCCACAGGATCTCTCCTCAATGCTTGTGGCTTCTGGAAATCCTAATCTTCTCGTTTAGTTTCTCAGCCCTAGGCAAGGTAACTGCTCCCTGCAATCTCTACTGTTAGGTTACTCAGCGTTCCCATTTGCTTTCTAGCCCTCCCACAGCTGGGTAGCCAGCTCCTTGTGTTAAAGCCGCTCTGCTGCAATATGTATGGCTTGTTTTCCTTTACCGACTCTAACTCAGAGAGCTTCACTAAAAAGTATTTTCCCCATCAGAAAATAACTTCTTTGCATCTTGAAGATTTTTACTTCTGTCTTTAGTAAACACATACATCTTTCATCTATAACGGTCTGACTCAATAGGCACAGTGACCCTTCTGTTGAAAATAACTAAAGATGATGGAAAAAATATGTGCAAATCTTTTAAATAGACTGATGACCTGCCAAGTTAGTAAGAAATATTAAGAGGCTATTAAAATTTAAGGTAATTTGTTAAATAACATTAGACAGCTAATACAGAACTGGCATCAAAAGGGTGATATCCTCTGACCACAATGCAAAACAAGTCAAAAATCTTAATATCAGAAACACAACTGAAGAAAAAAAATTTTTCATACATTAAGAAACACACTTCTAAACTGATAGGCAAAAGACTAAATCAGACTGGAATTAGAAAATATCTAGAACTGAATATTCTTTAGAATTACCAGGCCGGGTGCAGTGACTCACATCTGTAATCCCAGCACTTTGGGAGGCTGAGGCGGGTGGATCACTTGAGGTCAGGAGTTGGAGACCAACCTGGCCAACATGGTGAAACCCCATCTCTACTAAAGATACAAAAAATTAGCCAGGCATGGTGGCGCATGCCTGTAACCCCAGCTACTTGGGAGGCTAAGGCAGGAGAATCACTTGAACTCGGGAGGTGGAGGTTGCAGTGAGCTAAGATCACACCACTGCACTAAAGCCTGGCAACAGAGGGAGACTCATTCTTGTTAAAAAAAAAAAAAGAAAGAAAGAAAAAAGAAAAAAAAGAAATGACGTTGCCTCTGAGGTAAAGCACAAAAATGTTTAGTCTGGGTGAAATAATTTTTCACAGAAATATAGAACTATTTCATTGTCAAAGTAAGTGCATTTATGTCTTAGATACAATCAGTATGACCGTTTATGTTATGTGTTTTTACCACAATTTTTTTTTTTGAGACGGAGTCTCCCTGTCGCCCAGGCTGGAGTGCAGTGGTGCAATCTCGGCTCACTGCAAGCTCCGCCTCCCAGATTCACGCCATTCTCCCGCATCAGCCTCCTGAGTAGCTGGGATTACAGGCCCTGCCCGCCACCACGCTCGGCTTTTTTTTGTATTTTTAGTAGGGACGGGGTTTCACCATGTTAGCCAGGATGGTCTCGATCTCCTGACCCCGTGATCTGCCTGCCTCGGCTTCCCAAAGTGCTGGGATTACAGGCATGAGCCACCGTGCCTGGCCTTGTTTTATTTATTTTTTAAGTTAAAAAAAATTGATGAACAGCGTCCTCAATTGTAAACCAGGGATGGCACAGCCTTCACTTTAACGATGCCATTAAATTAGCTGTCACTTTTTAATGACCCAGTTTTGAAGATATTACAGTGAATCTGGAACCCTTTTTGAAGGCAATGTGGCAGTGTCTATCAAGAATCACACCTATGTTCATAACCCTAGACTAGAACAAAGATATACACATGGTAAACAAGCACACGATGGCCGGGCGCAGTAGCTCATGCCCATAATCCCAGCACTTTGGGAGACCAAGGCGGGTGGATCACTTGACCTCAGGGGATCAAGACCAGCCTGGGCAATACAGCGAAACTCTGCCTCTACAAAACATACAAAAATTAGCCAGGCATGGTGGCATGCCTGTAGTCCCAGCTACTGGGAAGGCTGAGGTTGGGGGATCGCTTAAGCCCAAGAAGTCTAGGCTGCAGTGCAGCCGAGATCACACCACTGCACTGGGCAACAGAGACCCAGTCTCAAAAAAATAAAATTAAAATTAAAAATGGAAATTAAAACTACAGTGAAGGCCAGGTGTCATGGCACGCACCTGTAATCCCAAGTTATAATCCCAATACTAGGTATAATAGTATAATAATAGTATTATCCCAATACTAGGTACAATCCCAACACTTAGGCAGGTTGAGGCAGGAGAATCGCTTGAACTCGGGAGACTGAGGCTGCAGTGAGCCGAGATCTCGCCCCTGTACTCTAGCCTGAGTGACAGAGCGAGATTCTGTCTCAAAAAAAAAAAAAAATGTTGAACTCAGAAGCCCAGAGAATGGTACCTGCTAAGGGAGAGGATCTGATGTTTCAGTCAGATAGGATGAATAAGTTGTGGAGATCTGCTGTACGGCATTGTGAGCTATAGTTAATAATGTACACTTAAAAATTACTAAGCGAGTAGATCTTAAATGTTCTCACCACACACAAAAAAGTATGAGGCGGTAGATTTGTTAATTAGCTTGATTCAATCATTTTACACCATACACATATATTCATCACATTGTATTACCATAAACATAGACCATTTTTATTTGTCAGTTCTATCTTGATAAAGCTGGGAGATTAAACAACAAAAATAGAGCCAGAAGTAGGACCCAGTCTCCCAACTGATTTCCTGACTTCTACACCATACGCCTCTCAGTATCATTTAACATCATGACCCCCAGGGATTCTTAACCTTCTTGTAATCCAAGACTTCAAAACACCCCACATCAAGATAATAGTTTCCTTTTACACTTACTCTGTCTTTGTCATGTAGCATATCTGCATAAGATGACCTAAAAAACAAAAAAGTCAGTAACCTTTGCATGATACACATCAACACACAAGAGTATTCACATATATAAACACATTGCTAAACAGATAGAACAAACGTGTCATCTATTTTAAACTATTTTTTGGTTGTCTTTTATCTTTATTTATTTTTTTTTTTTTGAGACAGGGTCTCACCCCATCACCCAGGCTGGAGTACAGTGGTGCAATCTCAGCTCACTGCAACCTCTGCCTCCCAAGTTCAAGTGATTCTCATGCCTCAGCCTCCCAGGTAGCTGGGATTACAGGTGCTCACCACCACGCCTGGCTAATTTTTGTATTTACATTAGAGATGGGGTTTCACTATGTTGGCCAGGCTGTTCTCGAACTCCTGACCTCAACTGATCCGCCCACCTTGGCCTCCTAAAGTGCTGGGATTACAGGTGTGAGCTACTGCGCCTGGCCTATTTTTTTGTTTATTTTTAGAAACAGGGTCTCGTTATGTCACCCAGGCTGTAGTGCAGTGGCTATGAACAGCCTCAATCATTGGGCACTGCAGCCTTGAACTCCTTAGCTCAAGAGATCCTCTTGCCTCAGCAGAACTACAATACAAGCATCCGTCGCTGCACCTGGCCACTTTATTTTAATAGAGTTTCAAGCTGTTATTCTCTAGTGCTGCAGAAAAAAGTCTCAGAGAAAGATGTTCTCAGACCTAAAAATGCTCCAGTAGTTAGCTGCTGGGAACAGGCCCCCAAATCTGGCCAAAAACAGGCCCCAAAACTGGTCATAAACAAATCTCTGCAGCACTGTGACATGCTCGTTGATGGCTATGATGCCCACACTGAAGGTCGTGGGTTTACTGGAATGAGGGCAAGGAATACCTGGCCCACCCAGGGCGGCTTTCGCTTAAGGCGTTCCTGAACCACAAACAATAGCATGAGTGATCTGTGCCTTAAGGACATGTTCCTGCTGCAAATAACTAGCCAGAGCCCATCCCTTTGTTTCCCGTTTTAATCTATAATCTATAGGAACAATGCTTATCACTGGCTTGCTGTCAATAAATATGTAGGTAAAGTTCTGTTCGTGGCTGTCAGCTCTGAAGGCTGTCAGCCCCCCAATTCCCACTCTGCACTCTATATTTCTGTGTGTGTGTCTTTAATTCCTCTAGCGCCACTGGGTTAGGGTCTCCACGACCGAGCTGGTCTCGGCAGTTAGCCCTGTCACAGTAATTCCACAGCCACTAGCATCTTGATCTTGCTATACACTACACATTTTCCTCCTCAGGAAAAACTCAGACTCAATCTGCCTAATACTTGACCTAACCTGGCCTACATCTCTGCCTGGAGATAACCACTGATGCGGTATTAGGGAGAGCAGCCGGGGAAAGAGAAGCACTCACATACACCCACTGTATATGTGACAGGTACCCCACTGGGCACGTTCACTTAACATCATCAGGGAAAACTAAAGAGTTCACCAATACCGTAGTAAAGGGAGGAGAATCACTTCTCCATATTTCCTACTGCAGTAATTCACACACTGAAAACCCTCAGGCGGGGTCGGGATGAGCACCCAGAACTAGGCAGGCCCTGCCACGCTTTCTGGGAATTCAAGGGGACAGCTAAGGAGCTCACATTAAAACAGAGGCCCTCCAGCCTTGGGTCAACACTAGAATCACTAGAAAGCTTACCTGAAATGCAGAGTCCCAGAACACACACACACACACACACACACACACACTCTCACTCTTATTGAGAAGGCTGGGCTAATGTGCTCCAGGCAATTGTGCCACAGGTGGTCCACATTCCACACTTTGAAGAGCGGTGCACTGAAAGAAGGGGGTTCTTTTTTTTTTTTTTTTAATGGCACATCAAGGTTTTATATCTGAAGCCAGCTATGGATGCTTAGCTGAAATGTAGTCCTTTCTACCTCTGCTCACTATTTAAAAGGCATCTCACTCACCACCTTCCTGGCCTCTTCACACTTACTGCCCACCACTCCACTGACATCACTCTCGGTAACCACCACCAGCTCACTCCTGCAGCTGATGTCAGTCATCAGTATCTGGGACTTCCCAGTGCCTCTGACCTTGCTAGACACACTCCCTCTTTCTTCCTTTCCATGCTGGCTATCTCCCTTGCCCTTCTTTGCCTCCTCAGCTATTCCGGGATTCCTTCTTCAGCCCTCTACCTTTCACATTCCACACCCCCTTGAGAGACTGCAACCTCTCCCAGTTTCAGTTCCAACAACTACAAATTCTGTCTCCAGACCCAAAATTCTATCTGCCATTGGCATCTCTATGTGGATGTCCAAACCTAAACGCCTAATCTCCATCGTGTTCCCCTCCCCACACCACCCATTCCTCCCTTGCAGGCCCCATCCACTTTGTCATTCTAACCAGAAGTCTTGGTGCTTCTTGAATCTTCTCTCTCCCTCCATCATATCCAGTGAGTTACCAAACTCAAGTTCCCCCGAGCTGTCTCCTCTGGGACTATGCAGCTCTGGGACTACAATATCCCCAAATGCTCTCCTCTCCACACCGCTCTCAGTGAGTGTTCCAAAATGCAATCCAATCCTCTTTCTCTCCTGTTTAATATATCACTCAGAAAATAACGTCCAGGCCTGACACTGTGGCTCACACCTGTAATCCCAGCACTTTGGGAGGCAGAGGCAGGTGGATCACCTGAGGTCAGAAGTTCAAGACCAGCCTGGCCAACAGGTGAAACCAAGTCTCTACTAAAAACACAAATATTAGCCAGGTGTGGTGGCAGATGCCTGTAATCCCAGTTACCTAAGAGGCTGAGGCAAGAGAATCCCTTGAACCTGGGAGGCAGAGATTGCAGTGAGCCGAGACTGCGCCACTGCACTCCAGCCAAGGCAACAGAGTAAGACTCCATCTGAACAATAAAACAAGAAAATAATGTCCAAAATGTTTAGAAATATTTTAAGACCTGGGCAGGTGCAGTGGCTCACGCCTGTAATCCCAGCTCTTTGGGAGGCCGAGGCGGGCGGATCACAAGGTCAGGAGATCAAGATCATCCTGGCTAACACGGTGAAACCCCGTCTCTATTAAAAATACAAAAAATTAGCCGGGCGTGGCAGCGGGCACCTGTAGTCCCAGCTACTCAAGAGGCTGAGGCGGGAGAATGGCGTGAACCCAGGAGGCGGAGCTTGCAGTGAGCAGAGATCGTGCCACTGCACTTTAGCCTGGGAAACAGAGCGAGACTCTGTCTCAAAAAAAAAAAAAGAAAAAAAAGTAAATATTTTAAGCCCTAATTCTGCACCAGATACTGTATTACATTTAATCATCAAACAATTCTAAGATAATTGTATTATACTGTGAGATAATGTATTACTATATTGAAGTATATATTATTTTATATTAAGGCTCAGAGAAGTAACTTGGCCAAGAGAGTAAAGAAGTGGCAAAGCTTGGACTTAAACTCATGTTCCTCTTCCTGCATTTTGCTACCACCCTTTACAAAATGACCCCGCGTATGCTTTCGGCAGCCTCTCTTACCATAGTACTTTTGTACCACACTCCAGCTGCACTAAACTGCTAGCTGCTCCCCAGAATAGCCCATCTGTGTGTGTGTGGTTTTTTTTCTTTTTTTTTTTTTGAGACAGAGTTTAGCTCTTGTTGCCCAGGCTGGAATGCAATGGCACGATCTCGGCTCATGGCAACCTCCGCCTCCCAGGTTCAAGTGATTCTCCTGCCTCAGCCTCCCGAGCAGCTGGGATTACAGGCATGCATGCGCCACCACACCTGGCTAATTTTGTATTTTTAGTAGAGACAGGGTTTCTCCATGTTGGTCAGGCTGGTCTCGAACTCCCGACCTCAGGTGATCCGCCCGCCTTGGTCTCCCAAAGTGCTGGGATTACAGGCATGAGCCACTGTGCCCAGCCTGTTTTTGGTCTTTGTTTGTTTGTGAGACAGTGTTTTACTATGTTGAACTCGTGGGCATAAGCAATCCTCCTGCCTTGGCCTCCCAAGTAGCTGGGACTACAGGTGTAGGCCACTGCACCCAGCCACAATCTGGCTCATCTGAAAGCTTACCTGTAATCCCTGCTGCTCAAACTTCACCTTCTCTTCCTTTAGAACTGAGAAATTATTCAAACATTACCTCCCACCCCAAGTTCAGCTGGTTCTTGCTGCTTCCATGACCTCTTGTGCCTTTATCTCACTGTGCTGTAATTTTTTTTTTTTTTTTTTTGAGACAGAGTCTCACTCTGTTACCCAGGCTGGAGTGCAGTGGCACAACCTTGGCTCACTGCAACCTCCACCTCCCGAGTTCAAGTGATTTTCCTGCCTCAGCCTCCCGAGTACCTGGGATTACAGGCGCCCACCACCACTCCCAGCTAATTTTTTTTTATAGAGACGGGGTTTCACCGTGTTGGCCAGGCTGGTCTCGAACTCCTGACCCTCAAGTGATCAGCCGCCACCACCCCCTCCACCGCCCGCCCGCCCGCCCTTTGCCTCCCAAAGTGCTGGGATTACGGGCATGAGCCACCGTGCCTGGCTTTTGTGCTGTAATTTTGTATGTGCCTGTCTCTTCCACAAAACTGCATGGTCCTTGAAGATGAGAACAGGATCTTCTTCATCTGGTATCCACAGCCTTAGCACAATGCTGGCACACTGAATGCACTTAATGATTGCTACATAACAACTCACATACTTTTTTTTTGAGACAGAGTTTCGCTCTTGTTGCCCAGGCTGGAGTGCAATGGCTCGATCTCGGCTCAACACAACCTCTGCCTCCCAGGCTCAAGTGATTCTCCTGCCTCAGCCTCTCAAGTAAGCTGGGATTACAGGCATGAGCCACCATGCCCAGCTAATTTTGTATTTTTAGTAGAAACGGGGTTTCTCCATGTTGGTCAGGCTGGTCTCGAACTCCTGACCTCAGGTGATCTGGCCACCTCGGCCTCCCAAAGTGCTAGGATTAGAGGCGTGAGCCACTGCGCCTGGCCAACAACTCACATACTTTTAAATATTTCTTCTAAGGGAAAAAAAAAACCATTTTCATTTTTTTCATTCAAAAGAATTTAACCATATGATGAACATGTCACCATTTCAGTAAGGCAAGTAAATGATTCAACTTCATCAACACTACTGAGGCTTGGGTTTTCTTTGCTCCGTTAAACAGATGCTGAGGCTCTGCTAAGGCTGCTACATAATGTCTGACTCTCCAAACAGGCATGATTTTGCCTAACTGCTACATATACCTACCTGGCTGAGCAGACCTGCTCAGGACCAACACCAGCCCTCATCATAAGCACTGGGTGACAGCCTAGCCCACGCTCAGACTGGAGCCCAAGGCATCTGCTTTGAGATCAAGTGCCCCACCCAGCTGCAGCCTGCTGTAAACCAACCCAGTACCTTGCAATCTCCTGGTGGTAATCATAGTGTTCATCCTCCTCCAGCCACTCCACAGACCCCGTGGTCGGATTGGCCCGACTGCAGAAGATCTTCATGGTGCCCACTAGCTCCCCAGTTTTAGCACAGAAAAGCAGCCTTGCCAGTTGAGTTCTTGTGGACAAGTCTGACTGTCAGAAATCTATTAACATCAGAAGGAAACAGGAGGTATATAAACAAACGAACAGAAAAAAAATCTATTAACAGCACAATGCCCCAAAATGTGGAGGGGGGAAGGGGAGACAAAAGCGGGGAAAAAAATCAAGAAACTGACAAAAATGTCAAAGCCACTGATAGTATTTGTTAATCGATATTGTAAATGTTTCCAGCAGGAGTTACTTGGTTTTATATTCAGCATATAACATTAAAAAACTACAACAGATTCATACAGATGTCTGGAAACTTCAGCAGGCTTCGGTGCTTCCAAAAGGTTCAAATGAGCCTCACAAGTTCATCTAGGTGCAGCCCTCAAGGCTAGGAGAAGAGATGGGGTACTGTTAAAGAAGTGCCACCAATACTGCCTTCGTATGCTGAACCCTTAGCTTAAGGAAAAATATGAAGATAGAGCAAGTCAAACCAGGAAAACTTTCATCTAAACAATAAATTACAGTCACACATAAACCTAAAAATGGATAATCCCAGGAATATAATGATGAGCAAAAACAGCAAATCACACAACACATGCAATACGATTCCATTTCTATGAAATTTATAGCTATGCAAAATGGAGTGATACGTTCTTCAGGGATCACACTAAAAAGCATAGCAAGGAATCAGGATAGTTAACTCCTAAAAGAGAAGGGAAAGAGATGGGATCAAGGAGGGGTACGCAGTGGACTTCAAAAGTATTGTTCTTTTTCTTAAATTGGGTGGTGGGAACATAAATGTTCACGATATTAGCATTCTTTTTCTTTTTTTTTTTTTTTAAAAGATGGGGTCTCGTTATGTTGCCCAGGCTGGACTCAAACTCCTGGGCTCAAGCATTCTTCCTGCCTCAGCCTCTCCAGTAGTTGGGACTACAAGTGAGTGCCCCACACCCAGCTAATACTAGCATTCCTTATGCTTCATTATTTTTTATAGTGATTACTTCTTATCTATTCAAATTTTAATTTTAAAAGCAATTTTTAAAAACCCTCCATCATCTAAAAAAATTTTGCTTCAAACAAGTAAAATGTCACCAGATTCACGTCTTGTATGGCCTGTCTCCCCAAAGAGATCTATTTCTGGGAGGGAGAGAAACACCACCGCTCAAAGTCTAAAGGCACTCCTCAGCAGGTGTGGGCTCTCCCAATACCCATCCCTCTTACCATGCAGAAAGCAATAGGTGTTCTACACTGCCCTTCCTTTCTTGTTAAACATTGGTGCATCTTCAGGAAAACTTAGAAAGAATGCCTACTCCACATATCCCTAAACATTCCTATGGCATTTTATTGGCCAGAGTTTTTTTTCTTTTGAAGTTATCTAGAGTAAGTAAACATGGAATTCTTACACAAATAGATGAGAAACAGGCTGGGCACGGTGGCTCACACCTGTAATCCCAGCACTTTGGGAGGCCAAGGCAGGCGGATCACCTGAGGTCAGGAGTTCAAGACCAGCCTTGCCAACATGGCGAAACCCTCGTCTCTACTAAAAATACAAAAATTAGCCAGACATGGTGGCGCACGTCTGTATTCCCAGCTACTCAGGAGGCTGAGGCAGGAGAATCACTTGAATCCAGGAGGCGGAGGTTGCAGTGAGCTGAGACCGCACCACTGCACTCCAGCCTGGGCAACAGAGTAAGACTCCGTCACCAAAACAAACAAACAAAAAGCAAATAGATTAGAAACAATCTTCCCTGAACAAACTCAGGCCGGCAGTCAGGTTCAAAGTAGACAATTTGTCCAGGTAAAACTCTACTACTAAAATCTCAGCATACCTATCCCCTAGTCTAATGATTTTCAAACTTTCTGATAACCCCAGTAAGAAATATACTTTAAAATGAGACTCAATACACATACCTGCATGTACGCATACAACTAAATGTTCCACAAAACAATACTGACTTCCTACGAACAAGGCCCTCTGATATGCTCTATTTCATTTTTATTGTTTTTAAGAGATGGGATCTCCCTGCTGTCCAGGTTGGATCACAGTGGCTATTCACAGGCATGATCATTACACTCTACAGCCTTAAACTCCTGGACTCAAGCGATCCTCCTACGTCAGCCTCCCAAGTAGCTAGACTACCGGCATGCACCACGGCACCCAGCTGCACTTTTACTTGCTGGTCAGGACCCATCAATGGGTTGCAACCAGCAGTTTAACAACATTGCTATAATCCACTTTATCTCATGTACTAACATTTATTTTACAGACAGAATATCTAGAACTGTCAGAATCTGTAATGTGCATTAGAAAACTGTGTCCAACAAATGTTGGAGTAGAGAAAGAAATGGCCATATCTGACTGAATGTTCAAGGAAGGCTTAAAAGGTGGATTCAGCTGAGGCAGGAGGAGAAGGAGGGGGTTGTGGACGGAGAAGGCATTTCATCCAATTAGAAAGGCTTAGACAATCATGCACATTATATCAATCAGTTTAGTGAAGTAAAACTGGACCAGGTGTCAAACATATCAATAGGATCCATATGGTAGAGTCCTGAAATACTAATCCTGTGGTCCATGTGGAATCAATTCTGAAGTCACTTCAAGGTTAAGAGTCATCGTTTTGTAGTTCATAAGCGTGATGACTGGGTGTTCATGTGCCTGTGTCAGACGTGCCTCCCTCAAACCTTTACTACATTGGCACGTTACCCATTTGAACTGGAGGAAAAAAAAAACTTATAGTGAAGAACTTTAATCCATAGGATTCCTTTCTTGTCTGTGATGTTGCTGAGTCTAAAACCAGGACCACAGTGTCTTTTCAAAACCTGGAACAGCCCAGGCACGGTGACTCACGCCTATAATCCCAGCACTTTGGGAGACCAAAGCAGGTGGATCACCTGAGGTCAGGAGTTCGAGACCAGCCTGGCCAACATGGCGAAACCCCGTCTCTACTAAAAATACAAAAAATTAGCCAGCATGGTGGCAGGTGCCTGTAATCCCTGCTACTTGGGAGGCTGAGGCAGGAGAATTGCTTGAACCTGGGAGGCAGAGGTTGCAGTGAGCCAAGATCGCGCCACTGCACTCCAGCCTGGGCAACAGAGCAAGACTGTATCTCAAACAAACAAACAAACCTGGAACTATGTCTTGTGTTAACAATTTTATGAAGGCATGAACCTCTTCTGGTGGGCACTACACACCTTCTCTGGCTGAATGCCCTCATCCATTATTATTTGTTCTCTCCCAGAAGCAGTCTACACTACAGATTCAGGAGATATTCTCTGAACCCCTCCTCATTCTCCAAGAGTTGTAAACTTGCATGGCCATTTACAAGGAGGAAATAGAAACCACCATGCCAAGCCCTAATTGTATTAGCCGTCAGACTGCAGAGCAGATGGTCCACTACATTCATTCAAAATGTATTTGCTAGGCGGTGGTGGCTCACACCTGTGATCCCAGCACTGTGAGGGGCCGAGACGCAAGGATATCGAGTCTGGGAGTTCCAGACCAGCCTGCGCAACATAGTGAGACCCCGTTCTCTACAAAAAATTTTTAAAAAAATTAGCCGGGCGCGGTGGCCTGTGCCTGTAGTCCCAGTTACTCCCAGCTACTCGGGAGGCTGAGGTAGGGGAATCACTTGAGCCCGGGAGGCAGAGGTTGCAGTGAGCAGAGATGGCGCCACTGAACTCCAGCCTGGGTGACAGAGTGAGACCCTGTCTTAAAAAAAAAAATATATATATATATATATATATATAAATATACATATATTAAAATTAAAAATTACCCGAGTGTAGTGGCGCGTGCCTGTAGTCCCAGCTACTCGGTAGGCCGAGGTGAGGATCGCTTGAGCCCAGGAGGTCAAGGCTGCAGTGCGCCTCGATCACACCACTGCACTCAGCCTAGGCAGCAGAGTGAGACTCTGTCTCGAAAAAATAAAATAACAAAATTTATTAAATACCTTCTATGTGCCAGGCACTATATTAGGGACTGGAGCCACCACCACAAGCTAGAGAAGACCCTTGCCCTCCAAGAGCTTAGACTCTAATGAGAGAGTAATACAAATTACAGACTACATGAATGCAAGAAATACACAGAGCGTTGTAGAAAGAGAAAACCAAGGTTACAGAAGGACTCTGAGGAAACTAGCATTTGAGATCTACAAGACAGACCGGGATAAAAGTTGGGGAAGAGTTTTTACAGGTCAGGAATCCTTACCCCAACTTTCCCAAGAAAAGGCCCTAAGGTAGAAAGAACTAGGTTGCATAAGCAAAATGTGCCAAAAGCCTGAGCGACCGAAGCACTTTTGCAGAAGCCCCCCGCTCCTCATCTCCTATCACATCTTCTGCTCAATCAAGCTGGGCCTTGTCGACTTCGGAAAGGCGTTTGGATTTTGTTCTAAAAGCACTGGGAGCCACTCAAGAGTTTTAAGCAGAAGCGTATCTACACTAGGCTTACGCTTTTACAGGACCACTCTGGTTGGCGTGTAGTGAATACACGACTCTCCAATTACTCAGAACAGTGAGTGGCAAAGACAACAGGTCTGGCAATCAGAGAACTCGTGGCCCAGTTAGGGGTGCGATGGTTGGAGCTACTGCGGTCTCTGTGGCTGAGGGGAGGCGCCAGGCACGAGTACTGCGACAGAGCCCCGCGAGTGGCAGGCACCCGGCTGCACTGCAGAGCCGGGGCCAGCCTAGAACCCCGCTCTCCTGCAGGCCCGGGTGTCCCGAGCTGCCCCACGCGGAGGAGTCCAAGTAGGCCCACGCTAGGCTCCTCTGCCGAAACCCTGGTGCCAAGGACACCATGCTCGCTGCACACAGAACCCCAAAGCGACCCCACCTTCCCAGCATACCCAGCGCCTCACCCGCCGCGGGAAACCCTCCGCTCGCCTCCGCTGCTACCACTTTTACCGCGGCCAGCACGCGGGGCGGGACCTCGCAGCGTCGAGGAGCGTGCTGGGGGGCGGGTCCTAAAGCAGAACTGGAAAGCTATCCCATCACACCCCGCGAGCTCCCACAGTGCTCAGCGGCAGCCACTATGGAGGCCGCCAGGACCGCTGTACTCCGGGTGAAGCGGAAGCGCAGTGCGGAGCCGGCGGAGGCTCTTGTGCTCGCTTGTAAACGCCTCCGGAGCGACGCGGTCGAGTCAGCGGCACAGAAGACGTCGGAGGGTTTGGAGAGAGCGGCGGAGAATAATGTCTTCCACTTGGTGGCCACTGTGTGCTCCCAGGTATTGGGCGTGGTGCAGCTGGTGTGGAGGGCATCTTCGGGTGCAGCCGGTACGAAACCCGATCCCTGACCCGCTCGCGAACTCCTGCTTACGCTGGCCTCCGTCCCCTGTTGCCCCCTAGGAGGAACCAGTCCAGCCTCTCCTGCGGGAAGTTCTGCGCCCGTCACGGGACAGCCAGCAGCGTGTCCGCCGTAATCTCCGCGCCTCGGCTCGGGAGGTCCGGCAGGAGGGCCGCTACCGGGTGCTTTCCAGCCGCCGATCCTTGGGGACCACCTCGAGCGGCCAGGAGTCCGAGTACACGCCGGGGAACCCAGAAGCCGCCGGGAACTCGGGCTTTCAGTTGTTAGACCTTGTCCACGAGGAGGGAGAACCTGAAGCCGCCTCTGCAGGCTCCTGCAAAGTGAGTATGCCCCTGAAGGTGGTCGCTGGGCTTCTCAGGATGGTAATGCAAGAAGACTGGGCCCAGTCGCAGCACAGTTTCATCTTAAGGGGATGGATGATCCATCCGGCGTGACGGCCTCATTTTACAGATTTGGTTGTTCATCCAACATGTGTTTACTACGTGCCTACGATATGCCAGGTATTTTTTTAGATTCTGTGGATACAGCAGTGAGGACCTAACATGCAGGTAGACAGAAACAGTAAACAAGTCTATTCAGTGTCAGATGATGATAAGGGATGTAAGGAGGCGGGGAGACAAAGCAGGAAGAGTGGTGCCACTTCAGTGAGAGTGTCACTGAGGAAATGACATTTGAGTGAAGACTTGCAGAAGGTGAATGGCAGGGTATTCCACATATCGAGAGGACTTCTAGGCAGAGAACCTGAAAGTAAAGAGGCCCTTAAGCCGTTTCTTTGCTCCTTGCAAGGTGCCTGGAGCCCGGTGAGCTAGAGGAGAGCAGTAAGGAATTTGAGGGGAGGATGCCTGCTAGGTACTTGCAAGGACATTGCCTTTCACCCTGACTGAGATGGGGATCACTGGAGCAAAATAGAGATAGAGCAGGTAGGAAAATTGATCAAAGAGAGGTTAAAGGAATAGTCCTGGATAGCATATCAAGTTTGAGGTAGATTTAGGTCTAGAATGCAAGTTTTCTCACATTTAATCCAGTGCTTTTCTTTATATTACATTTGCTAACTTCATTTGCAATCACTTCCAAAAAAAGTCTACTACATGCAGCAAAACTACAGAAATGGAAAATTCTCCTTGAGGCTGGGCACAGTAGCTGACGCCTAATCCTAGCACGTAGGGAGGCCCAGGCGGGAGGATCACTTGAGCCTGGGGAGGTCAAGGCTACAGTGAGCCATGATTGTGCGGCAGTGGCATTTCAGCCTAGGTGACAGAGTGAGACCCTGTCTCAAAAAAAAATAAAATACTCCCTGTAATCCCAGCGCTTTGGGAGGCTGAGGCAGGAGGGTCGCTTGAGGCCAGCCTGGGCAACAAAGCAAGACCTTGTCACTACAAAAAGGAAGAGGAAATTAGCTGGGCATTGTGGCACGCGCTTGTAGTCCTAGCTACTGGGGAGGCTGGGGCAGGAGGATCACTTAAACTCAGGAATTAGAGATTGCAGTGAGCTGTGATCAAGTCACTGCCCTCTGGTTTGAGCAACAGAGCAAGATACTGTCTCTAAAAAAAAAACCAGAAAATTCTCAACATAAAGTGTGCCCTCTCTTTTTTTTTTTTTTTTTGAGTCAGAGTCTCACTCTGTTGCCCAGGCTAGAGTGCATTGGCATGATGCTGGCTCACTGCAACCTCCAACTCCCGGGTTCAAGCAATTCTCCTACCTCAGCCTCCCAAATAGCTGGGATTACAAGCGTGAGCCACCACACCCAGCTAATTTTTGTATTTTTAGTAGAGACGGGGTTTCGCTATGTTGGCCAGTCTGGTTTTGAACTCCTGGCCTCAGTGATCCGCCCGCCTCAACCTCCCAAAGTGCTGGGATTACAGGCATGAGCCGCTGCGCCTAGCCAATATGCCCTCTCTTGATAAACATTTTTATAGAACTCATTTTAATTATTTTTGCAACTTAAAACAATTATAATTCAAAATGAATCCACAAGCAACAAGCAAATGGTACTAGTGTAATTGTTTATTGTTGTTTTTGTTTTGTTTGAGATGGAGTCTCGCCCTTGTCGCCCAGGCTGTAGTGCAGTGGCGCGATCTCGGCTCACCGCAGCCTCTGCCTCCTGGATTCAAGCAGTTCTCATGCCTCAGCCTCGCGAGTAGCTGGGATTACAGGCATGAGCCACCACACCCGGCTAATTTTGTATTTTTAGTAGAGACGGGGTTTCGCCACCTTGGCCAGGCTGGTCTTGAACTCCTGACCTCAGGTGATCCACCCGCATCGGCCTCCCAAAGTGCTGGGATTACAGGCGTGAGCCACCACGTCCAGCTGGTGCTAGTGTAAGTGGATAGCAATTTGTGTATGATGTCCATAGCCACATCTTTCACCAAAACATTCCAGACTAATGCATGACTTACAAAATGTGTAAAGTAAACCAATGCTCCGTGGAATTGAATCAAGTAAATAGTTCACTAGGCCGGGCACAGTGGCTCATGCCTGTAATCCCAGCACTTTGGGAGGCTGAGGCGGGTGGATCACTTGAGGTCAGGAGTTCAAGACCAGCCTGGCCAATATGGCAAAACCCCATTTCTACTAAAAATACAAAAATTAGCCGGGCGTGGTGGCGGGCGCCTGTAATCCCATCTACTCGGGAGGTTGAGGCAGGAGAATCGCCTGAACGCGGGAGGCAGAGGTTGCAGTGAGCCAAGATTGCACCACTGCACTCCAGCCTGGGCGAGAAGAGCAAAACTCCATCTCAAAAAACAAGAGTAAATAGCTAATTTAATTTTATAAAGAAAACTAGGAGATAAACTGATGACCGATATGAACAGAGATTTTTCCAGTAAAGCAATACCGACTCTAAACATACCAAAAATGTTTGCACAGAGTAATTATAGGGGAAAAATGAATTTAAGCTTAAAGCATGCTTGAGGTTTTATGCATACTAGACTAGCAGGAAAAAAGTAGTTGATAGCAATGCTGGCAAGGCAATGATTAAAAGCGTACACAATTGTAGGAATAAAATTGATGCAAGCCTTTTGGAAAACAGGATGGCATGGGAGCCATGTTTTACATATGTAAATTTATTATTGTTTGGATCTAAAGCCATGCATAATCTAGGAAAATTTTAAAATTAAAAATTTCTAAGGAAATTTAAAAATGACAGCATTTCTATGTTATGTTACAATGAATTTCTCCTTAAATTGACACAATTTACATTTTAAGCAAATAAATTCCTATTAGATAAATTTAATAGGAAATTTAAAAATTAAAGGACTTCAGTTCCTTTTAACTAGTAGTCTCACCTCCAAGATTTATCCTAGGGAGATAATTCAGCAGAAGCAAACAGCTAAGCTAAGCTATGATATTAACAAATGCTACTGTTGATTGACTAAGTAATTATGTCAAATAGCGTGCTAGGTACTTGTTATATTTTCTTTTAATTTAACTCATTTAATCCTCACAAAAACCTTATGAGTGAGATACTTTTCAAATGCAGGAAATGGCACATTCATTGCAACACTATACATGGAGGTTAAAAATTATATCCAAGAGGTTGACACATACAACTGTCTGGACCCTTAGAACTGATAACCATGAAAACTGATTGTGGGCGAAAATATATATGTTTAACAGTACAAAATGCTGTGTGTAGTGAAACTGAAAATATGGGCTGGGCTCAGTAGTTCACACCTGTAATCCCAATACTTTGGGAGGCCAAGAAAGGAGCACTTGAGCCCGGGAGTTAAAGACTGCAGTGAGCCATGATCATACTGCTGCCCTCCAGCCTGGGCGACAGAGCAAGACCCTGATTCTGAGTGAATGAATGAATGAATGAATGAATGAATGAATACACATGGACATAGACTTCAAAATAATTTTCAGCAAGGGTACGGTGGGTTACTCCTATAATCCTAGCACTTTGGGAGGCTAAGGCAGGAGGATTGCTTGAGGCCTGAAGTTCAAGACCATCCTGAACAACATAGCAAGACTCCATCTCTACAGAAATAATAATAATTATTTTTCTTCTAGCTAGGAGGAGTGGTGCACACCTTTAGTCCCAGCTACTCAGGAGGTTGAAACAGAAAGATCATCTAAGGCTAGGAGTTCAAGGCCAGTTTGGGCAACATAATGAAAACCGCCTCTTTAAGCAATAATAGGCCGGGCGCGGTGGCTCATGCCTGTGATGCCAGCACTTTGGGAGGCCAAGGTGGGTGGATCATGAGGTCAGGAGTTTGAGACCAGCCTGACCAACATAGTGAAACCCGGTCTCTACTAAAAATACAAAAATTGGCCAGGCATGGTGGTGCGTACCTGTAATCCCAGCTACTCAGGAGGCTGAGGCAGGAGAATCACTTGAACCCGGGAGGCAGAGGTTGCAGTGAGCTGAGATCACGCCATTGCACTCAAGCCTGGGTGACAAGAGCGAAACTCCATCTCAAAAAAGAAAAAAAATAATTTATGCTCATTATGGGAAATTTGAAAAAATATAGCAAAGGAGGAAAATCTCCCATTTTACCATCAACCCAAAAGTAGGTAGAATAGAACTGGTTTATTTCCTTCTGAGTACAAAATTCTGTATCTGTCATTTTTCTGTATTGCTAGTCTTGTACCTTTTTTTGAGACAGCGTCTCGCTCTGTTGCCCAGGCTGGAGTGCAGTGGCATGATCACGGCTCGGTGCAGCCTCCACCTGGGCTCATGTGATCCTCCTGCCTCAGCCTCTCAAGTAGCTGGAGCCACAGGCCTGCGCTACCACACCCAGCTAATTTTTGTATTTTTTGTAGAGACGGTTTTGCCATGTTGCCCAGGCTGGTCTCAAACTCCTGGGCTCAAACATTCCTCCGACCTTGGCTTCCCAAAGTGCTGTGATTACAGGCATGAGCCACTGTGCCCAGCAATCTTATATTTTAATGGCTGCATAATTTGACTGAGTGGAGGGACTTAGGGGTTGGAGCCAGAACTTTTGTCATAGGTAACTTTAAGTTTGCTCAAGGTTCTGCAGAAAAACTGGCATCTCTAGCTTCTTTTTGACTTTGGAGCAAGGAAGAATTCCTTAGTCTGTAAATTATAGCATTGGTCTCCCCTTGTCTGCCTTGGCCATGGGATCTTCCCCATTTTCCTGCGTGGTGTCTGCTTGGAGCTGTGCAGTGTCCTGTGATGAACCTATCAAGAGGAGCCATCTGCAGCATGTCCCTGTGGTTAATAAACTGACCCATGCTACCAGGCCCCTGGATAATACAGCCTGTCAGCACTGGAGCACATCTTACCTGGGCCATTTCTATTCTGGGGCATTGCATTTCAAACTGTTCTTTCCAGTAGAAAGACTATAGGTGAGCCCATTCCCAATTTGTGGTTAAAAGTAGGATGTCAATATATGGCAAGCCAAATGATGGGCAATGGTAGAGGTCACCAGGAAACACCTGTTGGCTTCTACAGGAGGCCACACAAAATAGAGACTCATTTCAGGTTCAGCCATAGGGGTGCTACGGTGGACCTACTGATCCCCAAAGAGAGAACATTGTATAATACCAAAGGATCTCAGAAGACCTATAGAAGCAGGTCTGACTCAGAGCTTGGGGTCAAGACTGGCCAGGTCTTCTGTCTTTCCCCTCTCCTTAGGCCAGTCTTCCCATATTTTTTTTCTTTCATTGTTTTGAGATAAGTCTTAATCTGTCACCCAGGATAGAGTACAGTGGCATGATCACGGCTCACTGCAGCCTCAACCTCCTGAGTACCTGGGACTACAGGTGCACACCACCACACCCAGCTAATTTTTGTATTTCTTTGTAGAGACGGGGGTTTTGCCATGTGGGCCAGGCTGGTCTTGAGCTTCTGGGCTCAAGCAAGCTGTCCACCTTGGCTTCCCGAAGCATTGGGATTATAGGTGTGAGAGCCAAGCACAAAAGAGCAGGAGCCTATCTTGTACGTTTCTATCTTAAAGTAAGAACTACACATTAATTTTACAGAGATTCTTGATTTTTTAATGTAATAATTAATTAAAAGACTAGGAATTCATGGGGATAAGAATCTTGACCACAACACTATGGAACTGTAGCTGAGCAAGGTGGCTCACACCTGTAATCCCAGCACTTTGGGAGGCTGGGGCGGGCAGATTACTTGAGGTCAGGAGATCAAAACCATCCTGGCTAACACAGTGAAACCCCATCTCTACTAAGAATACAAAAAATTAGCCAGGCATGGTGGCACGCACCTGTAGTCCCAGCTACTTGGGAGGCTGAGGTAGGAGAAACGCTTGAACCTGGGAGGCGGAGGTTGCAGTGAGCCAAGACCACGCCACTGCACTCCAGCCTGGGCGACAGAGTGAGACTCCGTCTCAAAAAAAACTGTAGGGAGCCTTCCTTCACCCAACTCATAGGTTCCTCCTCTTGGAACATCATGTTTTGGGTCATGCGTGTGTGTGTAATCTGTGGTTTCTTTACAGACATCTGACCCAGATGTGATCCTCTGCAATTCTGTAGAGTTGATCCGTGAGCGATTGACTGTGTCTGAGGATGGACCAGGAGTCAGGCGCCAGGAAGAACAAAAACACGATGACTATGTGTATGACATTTACTACTTGGAGACGGCCACTCCAGGCTGGATTGAGAACATCCTCTCCGTGCAGCCCTACAGCCAAGAATGGGAGCTGGTAAGGGGGCCCATGAGCAGACGGGGCATGAGGCATCCTAAGCTCTTAATCTAATCAGAATGCTTTGCTTCCCTGGGCTCCACTCCCGAACAACATTGTCCTTAGTTCTTTTCCTCCTGAAAAGGAAGAAATTATTCTAAGTGCCTTTTAGGAACCTGACTTTATAGTACAGGGAATTTGGGGAAAGATCATCTTAGATTGATCATTTTTACATTAATGAATATTTTACAAGGTTTGCAACATCACCTTTATTGTTTATAGCTATCCATTCTTAGGGGGGAAATATGTATATGGGGCTTATGATAAGATAAAGACGATAAAATCAGAAATTCTTAACATGAGTGACAACAAAATCTATTTTTTAATTCGTACCTTAGAAGTAGAGAAACCTCGGATGAAGAAAGCTAACGTCCTGACATTATTCTTTTTTTTTTTTCTTTTTTGAGACAAGGTCTCACACTGTCACCCAGGCTGGAGTGCAGTGGTGCTATCTGAGCTCACTGCAGCCTCTATCTCCCAGGCTCAAGCAATCCTCCTATCTCAGCCTCCCAAGCAGCCAGCCAGGAGTACAGGCATGCACCATGATGCCCAATTTTTGTTGATTTTTTTGTAGAGGCAGGGTCTCACTATGTTGTCCAGGCTGGTCTTATGGTCTTGAACTCCTGGGCTCAAGTGATCCACCTTGGCCTCCCAAAGTGTTGGGATTACAGGTGTGAGCCACCACACCTAGCTGACACCATTATCTTTTTTTTTTTTTTTTTTGAGATGGAGTCTCGCTCTGTCACCCAGGCTGGAGTGCAATGGTGCAATCTTGGCTCATTGCAACCTCCGCCTCCTGGGTTCAAGCGATTCTCCTGCCTCAGCCTCCCAAGTAGCTGGGACTACAGGTGCATGCCACCATGCCTGGCTAATTTTTGTATTTTTAGTAGAGACAAGGTTTTACCATGTTGCCCAGGCTGGTCTCAAACTTCTGACCTCAAGTGATCCACCCACCTCGGCCTCCCAAAGTGCTGGGATTACAGGCGTGAGCCACCGCGCCCAGCCTATTCTCAAATTCTAAAATGCTTAACAAGAAAACTTAAGGTGGCACCTAATGGTCATGCTCAGACTATAATCAAGAAGCACTGCATCCTGCACCTGCATTAGGACAGATTTGCAGTCAGGTACCCACCTTGGACCACTGCATGGCCCTTCCTCCTGCCTTTCCGCACCTCTTACGCTTGGGTTTTGGTTTTGACCTTTGGAATTTGAAGGAATCGCTCAGAGCCATCACTCCTCTTTTCCCTGTGTTCCCTTCTCATGGGGTCCAGCATGTCCTATCATTGTGGAGCTGGGCTCTGAGTGGAAGGGGGCTATTATCTCCCTCTCATAGCCTCTTGTGCAATGGAGTCAAACTACTAGTCTGCAGTTTTTTCACAGGGCACTTTTACATGATATCTCTTCAAGCTGGTATGCTAACAACTTCCCCCAGAGCATAACCTTAGAGGTTTTGACTTGGACTCATGTTTGTGTTGAGATGTGTAGGTGAATGATGATCAAGAACCAGAGGACATTTACGACGATGAAGATGACGAGAACAGTGAGAATAACTGGCGCAATGAGTACCCAGAGGAGGAGAGCAGTGATGGAGATGAGGATTCCAGAGGTGGGTGGCAGCCCCAGACCGGGAGGGACTGGTAGGATCTGAGACTGAGGTGCAGGCATAGTTGACAGGTGCATCTTAATTGCCTTTCCTTCTCTGTCATTGAGCGCCAGCAGCCCAGCCGCAACTGAGCCATGCTGTAGGAGACCCAAAGACCAGTGTTTCCCAGGGGCCTCCTGGGGGTGTAATAATCCATCAGGCCTGGATTCAAATCTGTAGTTGTCATTACTTTGCTGTGGCTCTTGGGCAGTTACTTCACCTCACTGAGCCTCATTTTCTCTCCAAATGAGATGGTTCTGCATGAATTTTAGTGGTTGAGATTATGTAAAATATGTAGCTCATTGTCTCTTCCCCTGCCCCAGTCAAGAAACCAATGAAGAGAGAGGTTTGCCAGTAGGAATAAGCCCAGAGTTTTCACAAATCAGTTATCTAACTTCTCAAAAAACTGCTGCATGTACAACTGTTTTGAGAAAGATGCAACACAGACATAATACCTGGGGGAAGAAGAAAGATGCTCTGACAACATAATTCCCGTAGTAACTATATTAAAGAAGAGAGAAGAAGGCCCAACAAAAAGAATTTATTGGTGTCTGATAACAGAGAAATGAATCAAACAATTGCATATTCTTTTGGGGAGGTTTGTCAATAACACGTTAAAAGGAGAAAGGTACAAAAATATTTACAATATGACTACAACTCTTACAACAACAAAAAATCCTATACGGAGGGGAGAAGTGACAAAATACTCCACGGAGGGGAGAAGTGACAAAATACTCCAGTGTGAAGGAACTTGGTTTAGATGATAGGAAAGTGATTCCTTCTTTAAAAAAAAAAGAATTCTATATTCTTTTTTATTTATTGAGCAAGGATTTTGCATTACAATCGGGAACAAAAACAGACCTTTCTGAGAAGAGAAGGGGCTCCTGCAGTAGCCTAGGAAAATCACATTTAGAATCCACTCCCGGGATGTCATTCTAGGCTCTGCTGACTACAACAGCCTGAGTGAGGAGGAAAGAGGCAGCAGCAGACAGCGGATGTGGAGCAAGTACCCTCTGGATGTGCAGAAGGAGTTCGGCTATGACAGCCCCCACGACCTGGATTCAGACTGATGGTCTTGTGATGTCCATGAGGTTCTGCCACATGCCCTTGAGGGCTCTGAGTCCAGAGTTAACTGCCCTGCTGACATCCTGTTAGGTTTCCTAGCTTAACATGTGGAAGGAAAAGCATATCAAGCATATCGGGCGGCACCATCCCACCACAGTGAAAACTTATGTTAGGGGAGTGAGTCTTTTCCACTTACAGTAGGACCCCTTTGCCTCAATCAAAAGTGACCCTACAGTTTGAAAGAAAAAAAAACGTTGAAAAAAGGAAGGTTTCTTTAGCTTTAGCTTCTTGGCCCAGGAATTTTTCCTGGCATTCAGGTTCTGTGCTGAAACCACAAGGGAGGGGGAGGTTCCCATTTCATTAGCAGTAAGCTTCTGCTGTGCCATACCACCAGGCTGCCTGCCTCTAGGAAAACCCTGTTCCTTTTGATAGAATCTAAAAGGGGTACCAGTGGGTCCCTTGTAGCAATACAGACTGGATAGTAATGGCCATTAGGGCAGAAAGTAGTCTGAGCAGTGGGAGATTTTAGTTAACAGCTATTTCTGCTTCCAAACTCTGATAACGGTTGTGAAATTACTGACTGACTTCCTTTGGCAGTGGGGCCAAGAAACAATATATATGAATGTGATACATGTGTTTAGTAAAATCTAGCTTTGAACATGGAAGAAAGTAATTCTTTGAAAACCTTTTAAATCTGAATATCTAAAACAGGGAGCGGTAGTGAAATAGAAGGTTCAGCATTGATTATAAATACCAAGGACTTAAGGCAAGGGAGGAAAAACAAAGTACCTTCTGAACTTAGCTTTCCACTGAGTAATGTTTACTCTTCACAGCACCCACCACAAAAACAAACTACTATCAACAGGATCAATTTTATTAACAACTTGTATCTCTTCTAAGCAGACTCTGTCCGTATGCCTTTCCAAACCATAGCTGCCTTAACTGACTGCCTTGGTGTTTATTCTAGCGTAACATTGTCCAGTAGAACTATCTGCAGTGATGATATGTTCTGTGTCTGCACTGTGTAGTAGTAGACACGGGTGGCTGCTGAGCACTTGAAATGTGATTAGCGCAACTGAGAAACTGAGCTTTTAATTTTATTTCATTTTAATGTAATTAGCTACACGTGGCTAGTAGCTGTTGCAGCGGACACCACAGGTCTAAGGAAACAACACAGAACATTCAGCTAGGGGTGTACCCTCATAGCCTGTGAGTGTCTCTTACTCACTGTCATGGGGGAAGGTGAGTTACACAGGGAGGTACCTTCTTGCCGCCTCTTTTAGGATTTCCTAAGTATCTCTCCTTCATCCTACCTGCCATCATTCTTTGACTTTATGTCCATTTTCTAAACCTTTGCCTACACTTGCTCTTATCTACATGGAGTTGTTCAACCTGCCGAAGTGATTAAATTCTGTGTACACAGGCCGTATATATTGCAGCTAATTAAAACAACAAACATCCTAGGCATGCACAAAGGTATAATTCACCGTTATAACAGGCAGCAACTTGTATGTCTAATATTAGACATCTTGCTTTCTGTCTGTAGGCATAGAAACAAAGGATTGAAAGCCATTCTCATACAGCAACCGGGTGAAAAAAACAAAACACTGTGCTGTTACAATGTGCTCCCTGCTATTTATACTCATTAAGTTTCCCCAATATTAAAGGGCTGACAACTTAATAAACTGTACTCACTGCAAAAGGGATAATAAGCACACCAGGAAAAGGATTTAAGGAGACAGACAACAAAGAGCTGGCAGAAATTAATTCCACCATGAAGCTTGAGTGCTGTAGGGATCCTCTGGCTTCGCTCCCAAAGAGAGGATCCTGGGAGAAGTCTGTATCCAGCACAGAGGGGAAAAATGCTGTCACCATCCAAAAATGAAAGGAGGATGACATGGCTCACTAAGCAAGTACTAGGGCACCTGGCATGTGAGGTCCTTGCTTTCCCTAGAAGCCACTGGTGGGGGGCAGCAAATTCCTGGGATTAGCTGGTTATCTGGTGGAGAAAGCTAAAGCTGGGGTCAGGGATCTTTAAAAGGCAAGCACATTTTGCTTAAAGGATTAGCTCCAGAGGAGCCCTGGGATGGGTGCCAGCTTAGCTCAGACAGAAGTCATGTTCTTAGCGTTCAGGCAAGTCAGCCTTTGCATAAGACACCCTGTCGTCGGGCAGGAATTTGCCGTTACAAATCCCAAACCCATGACAGTAGGAATGTCACCCCATGCTTCACATATGCATTATGCTCTGAACCCAGGGCAACTATGACCATGCTTCCTTCAATCTTTATTGAGCAAATATATGGCCAAGGTTATTCCCTTATCTGTGACTGGGTGGAGAAGAATGGTCAGGAAGGGAGACTGCCTCACTGTTGACCAATTCCAAAACCTAAGGATAAGCCCATGGGGTATGTCAAGCTAGCAGGTTCTTCTCGGCCCAGGATGACAGTGTCTGGGGGCATCACAAAACAGTTGTACAATCCAATGCAGCCGTCCTGCTCATACAGTAAGATCCATTAGGCCAGAGCAGGCCTAACTTGGGTGGAGAGCCCAGCCTGAGCACCAGAATTAGTTGCTTCCACTTGTGCAGCCTGCTGAAGAGCCGGACTCAGGTTGAAGCAGCTTTCCTCCCAGTCTTCACTGATCTCCACAGGGAGAAAACAGAAGTCCCCACAAGTACCAAGCTCTTCCTGAGACTGCAGCCACCACACCTCGGGGAAGGGGAGGCTGGCAGGAGAGGAGTACACTGTCCCGGTGACCCACACCAAGGTGGCTCCAAGTGTAAACAAAGCCTGGTGCCAGGGACAGAAGAGGATGCAGCCTGATGTGAGGTTTTCAGAAAAGTGAAATGACCTAGCACCAGGTTGGGATTGCTTGGGTCTGCACAGCAGTCCCTCACACTGCCCTTACAGAGAGGAACAGGTTATTTGATGACTTGGGCCCATGAGATGTTCTCCAAGCCATTGACAGCTGAGAGAATTCAGGTGATCCACCTGAATATCAGAAGTTTCAGCCCTCTTAGAGTTCGTAACAGAAACCCAGAGATTTACTGTCAGCTAGAACAAAGATGTAAGGTCTCAAGTAAAATAAAGGATTGTCCTTCAAAACAGCAATATTAACAGACTTCTGACTCAGGAATTTGTTCATCTGTCCTTGCTGGACCTGAGCCAAGTGCTTGTAACGTGATCTATGATCTATCTGTATGCTAAAGTGTAACAGGTACGTGAGTAAAAAAATCTTTAAGGTTCATTGTTGCAGGTAAGACTCAATAGAAATTGTGCTAAACAGCATAAAACCTGTGGTCAGAGTCTGACCCAATACCACAGACATTTCTGAGCCCAAAGGGACTCAGTTTTGGGTACTTTGATTTTTAAATACAATCAGCCTATTGCATCCTGTAGATGAAGAGACACGCATGCTTCGTTAGAACTGGTGTTCTGGACTAAATATCAATAAATAAGGGAATATAACTCTCTCCCCAGGGAAGAATTTTGAGCCAGAGGAAGAAATGGTAGCATTTCAGGCCTTTAAAGTCAGGTGTTGTACCTGGTCAGAGAAAAACTTCCCATAAAGCAGCCCCTCTATAGGGACTCCTAGTTCA
Organism: Homo sapiens; assembly: GCF_000001405.40. NCBI lineage: Eukaryota > Metazoa > Chordata > Mammalia > Primates > Hominidae > Homo > Homo sapiens. Next base: position 68,297,681 of record NC_000016.10, on the reverse strand, counting down.
AATACCAAATTCAGAAGCCACCAGCCCTATCAACCTAGCATTCCCTCTTCCCCACTGCACTTTACCAAGTAAATATCTGTAAGAGCTGCATCTACCTATCAGGAGTAAAACTAAATGACCATTCCCCCCGTTCCCCAATCTTCCCCCCACCCTCTGAAGCCCCCACCTTGAGGTTGGCCCAGATCCTGAGTCTCCTATAGCTTACCAATAAGAGTGAGCACTGGCCCTGAGCCCCACTATATGATTGGGTCAAAAGGCTCCTTTAATTCAGGAGAGTTGGGCCCACAGAGTCTTGTTATCAGGATTTTGCTGGTTGGCCTGCCTTCCAGGCCTCAGAAAGCCACCTCTGACCTCTAGTCAGTTTTCCTCTCATCCTTTTTTTCTTCGGCTACATCAAGCTCAGTCAGGACACAAAAGCAAAGCTGCTGGGTGCCTCTGGTGATAGCAGCTAAATGAAAATAGAGCAAGCACAGGGTTTAGTAAACATCTAGCTACAGCCCTAACCTGAACAAGGCTGACTAGTAACATCTATGGCTCCCTCGCCACCTGCCCCTTAAGTACCCTATATCAGGCTTTGCCCCTGTCTCCCAACAAGCCTCATCATCCTCTGTCCCATGCCCAACCAGAGTCTGATGCACAACTCATCTTCCCAGGTGATTTGTGTTGTCAGGAGGTAATGTTTTAGCCCCAAAATAGGACACTAAAATTAGAACTAAAGTGATCATGTCAAAATCAAAAGGGAAGTCGTGGACAGCTGGGTCACATGGCCTCCAGCAAATTCTGAGTATGGGGAAGCTGTTAGCCACCCCCCACCTCTGCATGCGCATGCACACATAGCCGCCAGTGAGTAATGGGGCACAGAGAAGCTCACCCAGGACATTCCGAATAAACAATGGCCTCCGGGACTCTGGCAGGTAAACACCCATGAAGTAGAAAGGGACTCCAGAAAGGGCAATCCCGATGCCAATGAGGGAATTAATGGTGTCAGTGAAGAGGGGCACTATCACCAGAAACACGGAGCATATGCAGAACACGATGGGGAAAAACACGCTCAGCTGAAATAGAGGGGGTGAGAGATTAAGTAACGTGGGAAGAGGAAACAGCTCGTGGGCAAGAAGCCACCTTAGGGAGATGGCCCACCCCTCCTAGTCTGGCCAGAGCTGCTGACCTTGAGAGGCCGGGGCCGCTTGGGCTCCTTCCAGCGGAGGTAGAGCTGTCCAACAACAGACAGGCCCACGAAGAACCAGTAGCTGAAGCTGAAGTAGTTGATAAGCTGGAAAACATCCTCCACGATGAGGTAGATGAGTGCCATGGTGCACTGTGGGAAAGGGGTGGGGAGACAGGTGAGCATCGTCACCACCTGCGCCCCCAGGAGACTCCCCCACCCAGCAGTCAGTACTAGATCTGATGCCACTTCACCAGATTACCTCTGGCTCTTTTCATTGACCCCTTGGCATCAGATAGGTCCATTCCTTGATGTACCCTGAGGTACATTAACCCTCAGGGTAGCATCTTTCCCCCTTCTGTTGCAGCCCTTCCTCCACTCAATGCCTCCCCCTTGTTGCAAGCACTTTAGAAAAAGGCAGACGCTGAGGCCCTCCTCACTTCAGTGCAGCAACCTTAACATGGATTACACGGTGTCCTAGAGAGGGGTTAGACCTGGGTCCCGACTGCCTGGCATACAAATGGGGGAAACGCCTTCAGAACCATCTCACTGTCCTCAGGCCTGAGAAATGCTAACTAGCAATTGGATCCCTACCCATCTGGACTAAATAATGTCAATAAATAATGGAATCTAACTCTCTCCCCATGGAAGAATTTTGAGCCAGAGGGAGAAATTGTAGCATTTCAGGCCTCTGAAGTCAGGTGTTGGACCTGGAAACTAGCAAAATGGATCCATCCAGACATAAGACAGCATTAGCTTCTGGAACAAAAGAATCCTAGAAGGCAAGGATTAGGGCCTAGGGTCCTGGGACAAGGTCAAATGTGTTTAAACTTCAATAATCTTTTCATTACAAATTATCAACAAAGGATTTAAAACCAAATAGCTCATTCTGTGGAGATAAGGGAGAACCCTGTATTAAGAAGAGAAGGCTGGGCGTGGTGGCTTGTGCCTATAATCCCAGCACTTTGGGAGACTGAAGTGGCAGCTCACTGGAGCCCAGGAGCTCAAGACCAGCCTGGGCAACATAGTGAGACCTCATCTCTACAAAAAATAAATTAGCCAGGCCTGGTGGTGTGTGCCTATAGTCAGATAACCTCCTAAATTTATAAATTCAATGCTGGCCCTGTCAAAATATCAAGAGAATTTTTCTCTTACTTTGATGAAATGATAGAAAAGTTCATCAAGACAAATAAACGAATATGAGAATTGCTAGGAAAATTCCAAGGGCGGGGGGACTAAAGAAGTACCCTTGGTCCCTCTTTAGTTTTCAGATAGTCAGTATAAAGCTAAACTAAGGAGACTTGGTGCTGATGGGGAGGATTAGTTGAGATGGCACATTTAAGGGGCATACAATAATAATTGGCACATATTAAGGACCCTAAAAAAATTAGCTATTAATTTTCTGTGATAAAAGTTTGAAAACTGTGGGAAAATGGATTGTTGAGTGAGCGATATTGGTATAGCTGGCTGCCATTCGAGAAAAAATTAAGTGAATCCCCACCTTTCTCAATACTATGCTATAATATAAATTCCAGATTAATCCAAAATTAAACGTAATAAAACCATAAAAGAATTAAATGACAACAAAAAATGAACTGTTTTTCACATCTTAGAGTAAGGCCTTTCTCAGGGTCCCTCTTATTTAACAACTTAGCACAAATCAGAAGGAGCAATGCACAGATCCACCTGAGCCCCGTGGTCCCAGCAAAGCTTACATTGAACAGTAAAGCAGGGATAGGTGTAAAACGCTCAATGTGGATCATGGACAGAAGGTCCGGTAGGTGGCCCTCCCGGGAGCCCACGAAGAACAACCTAGAAGGATGAGAAATGTGTCAGCAGGATCCTTTACTCCTTTTACTCAGCCATACTCACTCCTCACTTGGACAAACTCAGCTCAGAGCCCCCGAGGAAAGCAGGATGCAGCCTCCCAGGAGCATCCCAGGTCCTTAGTGCATCACCAGTCCAACCTCCCTGCTCCCCCCTTCCCTACAGATTTTCCCTCCCTCTTCATCCCCGGGCACCTCACCACTACCCAGATGCCCCACCCACCATCACCCAGATACCCCCTCTTCTCTCAGCCACAGATACCTCACCAACATCCAACAGATGCCTCACCCTGCTGTCACCCACTAACAGACTCACCCAATCCATGCCAGATTCATAGCTAACATAATAGCTTTTAAAGGGCAGCCAGATTTCTGTTCATGCCCTCCATATATTTTCCCTGAGCTGATGTAAGGCAAGACTGAGGGTCAGAGAGACAACCCAGGCTTCCTTTCTACACCTAAAGAGCTCTACCGACTGGGAAAAAGACTGGCACAGCGTCCAGGCATGGTGGCTCATGCCTATAATCCCAGCACTTTCGGAAGCCGAGGCAGGTGGATCACCTGAGGTCGGGAGTTTGAGACCAGCCTGACCAACATGGATAAACCCTGTCTCTACTAATACAAAATAAGCCGGGCGCGGTAGCACATGCCTGTAATCCCAGCTACTCGGGAGGCTGAGGCAGGAGAATCACTTGAATCCAGGAGGCGGAGGTTGCAGTGAGCCGAGATCGCACCATTGCACTCCAGCCTGGGCAACAAGAGTAAAACTCCATCTCAAAAACAAACAAAAAAAGACTGGCACAGAAATGAACTGTCCCCAGCATGGTCAGCATCACCTTGGAGTACACGACACTCACTCGCTAGGCTTGAGGCTTGTGCCAAAATGCTTTGCAAGAGGAGAGATGCAAAGAAGAGTTTCCAGAAGCAAGTCGGTAGGTGGAAAAAACGAGCATGTGCATAGGCAAAATGTGTGGAGGTATGAAAGAGCGTGGCCTCTTTGGAGGTTGATGTAGAATGCCTAGAGCCCCAGGACAAGCTGTGTGAGAAGAGGGTGCTGGGAAGAACCTGCATACAAGGCCACACTGTGGAGTCTGAACAAACACAGTCAGCTGTGGCTTTGAGGTAAGGGCCTGACGGGATTTGACACCAGACTGGAGAGCAAACTAGAGCAGGGGGAGGCTAGGGTGTCAGGGAAAGGCTAGAAAAGAAGTCCATCTATCACAACTAGGCTGAGCAGAGGGAAGGTGACACTACTTTTTTTATTTTTGAGATGGAGTCTCGCTCTGTAGCCCAGGCTGGAGTTCAATGGCGCGATCTCGGCTCACTGCAACCTCCGCCTCCTGGGTTCAGGCAATTCTCCTGCCTCACCCTCCCGAGCGGCTGGGACTACAAGCACGTGCCACCATGCCCAGCTAATTTTTCTTTTTTTGTATTTTTAGTAGAGACAGGGTTTCACCATATTGGTCAGGCTGGTCTCGAACTCCTGACCTAAGGTAATCTTCTCGCCTAAGCCTCCCAAAGTGCTGGGATTACAGGTGTGAGCCCCACGCCCAGCTGGACACTATGTTCTTTTACAAGGCCTTGACTTCTCTAATTCTTTGCTTGCCCCAGGGAGGCACAACACATGGACTGGTGTGTGAAAACCAGTAAAAAGAATGAACGGGACAAAACTCTCTCTTATTTTTCATGCTTCTGTGTGTTCACATGGCAAATATTTATTGGATGACTATTATACCCCCGGCCCTGGGGACAACACCAGTTATAGAGTGAGTGGAAGAGAAATCAGGAAAGAAATTTTCTTCTCATGTATCTTATGTCATAGAAGCCATGGGAATTGTTTCAAAATTGGAAAGTGGTCAGCATCACTTGCTTCAGAGGTCCAATAGGATGAGGACTAAAGACAGGCTAAGAAAGAGATCGCCTTAATAAGAATATTTTTCAGGTAGTAGAAGCCAAACTCTTAACAGATGGGAAAATGAATGAAAGTTGAAGCCCAGACTGCTGTCTCACAAGCCCTCATGCCTCCAGGGCCAGGTATGGTGGCGCATGCCTTTAATCCCAGCTACTCGGGAGGCTAAGGTGGGAGGATCACTTGAGACCAGGAGTTTGAGACCAGCCTGGGCAACATAGTGAGACCCCAATCTCTAAAAAAAATTAATTTAAAAATAAAAAGTAGTACATCCAGTAAGTGGGAAGAGGAGAGATGCGAAACGCTATTTTGTGTCTCTCCTAAGTGGAGAGGAGAGAAGCTATTGGAGAGCTGGCTCCAAGTGAGCACCCACCAAAGAGAAGGGCCAACTGATGGAGCAAACTGCTGAAGAAGAGGGGAAGTGCTGGAACCCCGAGCCCAAGTAGCAGAGTCTGCCAGGAAAGGCACACCTGCTCCTTCCTCTTCAACAACAGGAAGGACCAGCACGCTTATAGATGTCTGCACAGAGGAGATCAGGAGACCTGATGGCCTCGGCATTTTCTGGGAAGTGAGGGGGAAAGTCTTTCTGTACATAGCACCAATACCTGGTACACAGCAAGTGCTGTTATCATTTACTGAAGGAATGAATCCTGGGGCTACAGCATAACCCACAAGGAGCCTAGAATCTGGTCCCTGCCCAAGTCACCACTCCAAGCTGTTGCCTTTCTCCCCTATACCTTTCATCAATCTGTCCTCATCTCAGATGGAAACATGAGCTACCAGCACACAAAACATGAGCTACCAGCACATAAACATGAGCTACCAGCACACAAAATATGAGCTACCAGCACATAAATATGAGCTATCAACACATAACATGAGCTATCAGCACACAATCTGTCCTCACCTCAGATGGAAACATGAGCTACCAGCATACAAATGTGCTACTTGCACAAAGGCAAGTACATGCCCACATACCAAACACACACACACACACACACACACACACACACACACACCCTATATGCCCATGAGAAGGAGGGAAAAAAGGAACTCTTATGCCTAAGCCCCAGAGAATGAAATATTGTGGTCTATTATCAGTGACACAGAGACACAGTACCTTGATGAAGCAAAGATGGATGCATTGAGGCCCCCAAAGCAGGACAGGGCAACAGCAATGGGGATGGTCCAGCTGAACATGCCAAACGTCTGGTCAGCAAATGTCTGGGGGCAGGGCACAGAAAAGGCACTTAAACGCACAGGGTTTCATAATCCTCCTGCATCTATGATCTCGGAACAAATGCAATCACTGCTAAGCAGCCCACCCTCTGGCCTAGACTCATGACCTCATCCTGCAGAGCTGAGGAGGGTGCAGTAAGACAGACTGAGCTGTGCAGGGTGGCTCAGTATCAGGAGATGATGAACAAATGGGGATCCCAAGAGACTCACCACAGCCACAGCATCACTGCTAAGGACATCTGAAATGTTCAGCACTGTGTAATAGGCCACATTGGTCAGGATGTAGATGAGCGTCACAATTGGCATAGAAATCCCAATGGCCAAGGGCAAATTTCTGTCAGGACAAGTGAGAAAGGACTACCTAGAACCAACCTCTCCTTGGGAACAAAGTTTATCAAGTCTCCACTGGGATTTTCCTAACATTTAACAGTTCACTAGCCTCCAAGTCTTTGAGGGAGGCTCACCTTCCCCTTGACCCTGGGTTCTTTCTATTGAGAAAGACCCAACTTTCTCTGTGAAGATAGCTCATGATCAATATTTAATCTTTGCCACAGTAGGACCAATGGGTCCTACTGGGTTTCATAATCCTCCTGCATCTGTGATCTCAGAGGAACAGTGCAAGGAACAGTGTCCTGGGGACTGGATGCCAGGCTGGGGACCCAGCTGGCCAGAATAAGTTTTGGTTCTGCGGGCTGTAGTGTCAGCACCAGAGTCCGAGGTCCTAATTCCTTTGCCCCAGCTGGGCCTGCTGCTCCCCACTGAAGGCCCTCTCCTCTAGGAAGGCCCTATCCTCCAGTGCGAACGTGAGGACAGGGAGCCGAAGGCTTTCCTACCTTCACTCACTCCCATTCTAGCCCTCAGCCCCTCCTAGCTGGAGAAGGGGGAGTAGGGAGAAGAGGGGAGGAGAGTCGGAGGGAGGAGGAGAAGGATGAGGGCAGGCACGCCCACTATCAGCAGGAGTTCCAGCCAAGCTGGGGAGTGAGAGTGTGATCCCATCTTTACCTTTCTGGGTTTTTGATTTCTTCTGTTACAAAATTAAGGGTGTCCCAACCTGAGTAAGAGAAGAGGGCAGAGTAGAGGGCAAGAGAGAGGTTTCCCATGTCCCAGGAGGAACCCTCAAAGGCGTCCTGAAAGTGCTCAGAGTGTCCTGTGGGGGCAAAGGCAGGTGAGGGGTTCAGAGAGAAGGAACAGGCCAAAGGAGAAAGGAAGAGGAGATGGGAGGTGTAAGAGAAAGATACGAAAGGAGAATAGGAAAGAGGAAGGGAAGATGAAAAAAAGGAGGAATGGGGAGGAACAAGAAAGAAAAAACAAGAAGGCAGGGGAAAGAAAAAAAAACATAATTTAACACCAAAAGATCAACAACCACTAGCTCCCTACACTTTACCACCCCACCCACTTCCTCAGGAAAGCTCACATTCCTTTAATAAAACTAGACAATAAAAAACCAAAGACATTCTTGGCCGCCCTCTGATGTGACAATACTTCTTCCAAAACCCTAAAGAATTTCCATTTCCTGCAAATGATCTCACAGCAAGCCCCAGCTCTTCTACCTATTTATGTCAAGAACCCCATTTCACATGAAGGAGTCATTTTTCATTGAAAATTATACCTTCCTGTGAACTACCTCTCTTGGACCAGACTACTGCACAATTTGGTCAATGGGTTTATCAGCCTCATGGGAAGGACTCTATGCTGCTCTACTTGCGGTAGCTATGGTTGCATGGGGGAGATGACATGCTATAGAGGAACTGAGACCTTATCTTTCACTAGGCCTGAGCCACCCCCACCCTCCGGGGAGCCAGCCCAGCCTGTCATTCTCCTCAGAGGCCTCAGAGACTGCAGACACAAAAGCCCAGGGGACAGCACCCAGCTACCCAGATCAGAGACCCTCTGGACATACTGGGGTCTTTAACAAGACCCAGACTTCTAAGGAAGCCCATTGTCACACCCTGAAGAAAGCCTAGACCCAGCTCTCATGTGGTAAAAAGAGCTGGCTATGCAGCAAGAGAAGAGAAAATAGAGACCCCTGTCCTCAGGGGTGTCCATTCTCATACACAGCAGTGGTTCCCTAAGGAACAGATCTTCAGGGGAGGATTACTCAAAACCCAATTTGACCCCAGGATGCTCCTGAGCCTCCAGGGACATCCACATGGCTAGCTCTACTAACTTGATATAAGTACACAGGCTAGACCAGCAGTCTAAGAATCAACAAGGGCAATTCTTTTTTTCTTTTTCTTTTTCTGTTTTTTGAGACAGAGTTTCGTTCTTGTTGCCCAGGCTGGAGTGCAATGGCAAGATCTTGGCTCACTGCAACCTCTGCCTCCCAGTTTAAGGCGATTCTCCTGCCTCAGCCTCCCGAGTAGCTGGGATTAGAGGCACCCACCACCACCCCCGGCTAATTTTTTGTATTTTTAGTAGAGACAGGGTTTCTCCATGTTGGCCAGGCTGGTCTCAAACTCCTGACCTCAGGTGATCCATCTGCCTCAGCCTCCCGGCCTCCCAGAGTGCTGAGATTACAGGCATGAGCCACCGCGCCCAGCCCAACAAGGGCAATTCTTTTTTTTTTTTTTTTTTTGAGATGGAATCTTGCTCTGTCACCTAGGCTGGATGGAGGGCAGTGGCACAATCTCGGCTTACTGCAACTTCCGCCTCCTGTTTTCAAGCCATTCTCCTGCCTCAGCCTCCTAAGTAGCTGGGATTACAGGCGCGCACCACCATGCCCAGCCAATTTTTGTATTTTTAGTAGAGACAGGGTTTCTCTATGTTGGTCAGGCTGGTCTCGAATTCCTGACCTGCTGATTCGCCCACCTCAGCCTCCCAAAGTGTTAGGATTACAGGCGTGAGCCACCGTGCCGGGCCAAGGGCAATTCTTAAAAGCACAGCTTTTTAGACTCCACACCAACCAGAATGTGATCCAACAGATTTGAGATTAGGGTCTCAGCTCCCCGGGTGACTGTACACAGCCACATTTAGGGACTGATGACCTAGAGAACTGGGCTGTGAAATGATTGAGATATCTGTGGCTAAAGACACCTCAAGACCTCTCTAGGGCTCATGAGATCTTGGTAGGCCTGTTACCCTCACTGCCAGTCCTCTCTGATCCAGGAATGAAAAGCTTTCTAAAGCCAACATTTAGGAAAGACACTGCCAATTTCACAATATTTTAATATTTTTCTGAGAGCTGACTTGGGGAGGGATTGCTGAATACAAGTCCAGATGAAAAGTAAAGGCTGCAAAATAACCACCCATTTCCATACCCCACTTCCAGCTCCATATACCCTGCCACCTGTCTCAAGGAGGGCCCAGTCTTCCTACTTGTAGCTTGGCAGTCACAGACCACAAACAGGAGCCACTCTATCCCCACAGATTACTTTTATGACCCAATCATGACCCAAGCTTCAGGAGCTCCTAGGCCCTTGGCTGGCTTCCTGCAATGCTCCCAGCCTCCACCAAAGGAAACCAGCCCTGAGGGACAGGCTGACTCATGTCCACTTGGCCAAGCCAGCCTGGCCCAAAAAGCCCAGAAAGAAATCTACTCCCATCTCTTGCACTCACTGACACATGCTAGCATGTACATAGAAACAGCCGAGCAGTGAAGCTAACAGAGTCGCCATGTTCTCCTCAGGGAATCCAGAGGAACTGTTGGTGGTACCCCCCTTCCCACCACTTACCCTGGCACAGTTTAACAAGGCCCATGACAATGATGGCAATGAGCGCTACGACCTTGGCGTAAGTGAACGTGTCCTGCACACGTGTGCCCCACTTGACATAGGCACAGTTCACAAATGTCAGCAGACCTAGGAGGAAAACCACAAAGTCACTGGCAGGCTTGAGTTGAGGGCACAGGGGCCCAACCCCTCTTTACAGAGAGCACTCTTTCTGCCCTTCCTGCCTAAGGCAAAGGGGCCAATGGACCAGTCAGAACAAGGCGAACTGGCAAGCGAGGGGACACCCTGCACCCGCCCCAGCTGACAGCACACAGGCACTTCCATCACTACTGGTGCTCAAGGATATGAAGGCATGCGTGAACACATACTTATACATCCTGATGGCTAGCACCATTTCTGGGAATTCCCCCCAGGCCCAGGGATGGGTGATTTCACCTACTCTTTCCCACCCAGACTCCCAAGGTTCCAAACCACAGGAGACACAAGACCTCTTCATGGCCAAAAGAAACTCATCAGTAAGTGAGGTAAATTTGAATGCAGATGGCAGGTTACCTAAGAAATTAGAGAGACAGTGTTTTGCATTAAGTGTAAAAATGAGGCCAGGTGCAGTGGCTCACACCTGTAATCCCAGCACTTTGGGAAACTGAGGCAGATGGATCATGTGAGCCCAGGAGTTAGAGACCAGCCTGGGCAACATGGAGAAACCCTGTCCCTACAAAAAATACAAAAATTAGCTGGGCGTGGTGGTGCACACCTGTAGTCCCAGCTACTCAGGAGGCTGAGGAGGGAGGGTCGCTTGAGCCTAGGAGGTTGAGGCAGCAGTGAGCCGTGCACTCCAGCCTGATGACAGAGTAAGACCTCGTCTCAAAAAAAAAAAAAAAAGGAGAAAAAGAAAAGTCTGTTATATGCCTGACAATTTCACATACACCTCTCCATCAATTCTCACGACTCCAAAATACAGATATTCCTATTCCCATTTTATGGATGAGGAAACTGAGGTGAGAGAAGCTAACTACCATTTCTAAGTTCACATTCCCAAGCCCACTGATCGCTTCCACCCTCATTCCTACCCATACCTCCCAATTCTCAATGAAGTCCATGGAGAAGCGCACCCACTCGAGTACTCCCTAGGCTCACGTGGCTTTAAGTTCTAGCTCCTCACACACTTCAGTGACATCTGGGCCCTGTGCTGAGAGCCCCGGCACTTTGCTCCTGCTAAACAATGACTGATCCATGGGGACGACATAAGAGCAATATCCAGCAGGAAGGAACGCAGTGACATCTGTGAGTACTGCCTCTAGCATACAAAAACAGAACTTTTATGTGCACCTCAAATCTTACTACAAAATCTTTTGGGCCCATCCTCTAGGCCAACTCCACTTACTCCTACCCACTTTGCACTCTCTCCTTCAGCCAGACTCTCTCTCTTACTCGTACCGTACACACACATAAAAAGAAATGTCCTCCCCTCCTCTTCCTGCCATAGCCAACAGCAACTCCCAGTCAAGGTCTAGTTCAGCCCCCACTTCCTCTTCCTCTGTAAAACCTTCTCTGAATACACCACCCCACCCCTCTCTGAGCTCTTTCTCTCCTGAACCACATGGCATTCCTGCTTCTTAGCACAGGTTAGTGTCTATGCTATCATCATGTAGACACCTGTCTCAAGTCTCTCCCTCAGGTGATTGGGTCATGCTTCTCCCAAGATCACAAATTCTCAGAAGGTAACAGCAGTATATCATTTTATTTTCCTTCTTTCCTTCTTTTTTTTTTTTTTTTTTTTTTTGAGACAGGGTCTTGCTCTGTCACCCAGGCTGGAGTGGGTGCGATCACAGCTCACTGCAGCCTCGATGTCCAGGGCTCAAGTGATCTTCCCACCTCAACCTCCTATTAGCTGGGACCACAGGTGCACACCACCACACCCAGCTAATTAAAAAAAAATTATTTTGTAGAGACAGGGGTCTTGCTGTATTGTCCAGGCTGGTCTGGAACTCCTGGGCTCAAGCAATCCTCCTGCCTCAGCCTCCCATATTAGGATTACAGGCATGAGCCACTATGCCTGGCCACGTTGTTTTCTTAAGCTCATCACCAAGCAAAGAGGGGCACTGATAAACCCTGGTTGGAACCAAGGTGGTAAGATTTTCACTCTAACTTCCAATTCCCTGGAGCAAGGCAAATTGTCAGAAAGTTGGATATTCTTCCATTCAAATGGAGAGAAGTGCCTATGGCCAGCCTGTGAAAATGAACACAGGTGGCAGGTGCCAGGCTCAATGGCTTCAAAGAGCTTTCACTCAGTACACTGGCCAGTAACACAGGTGCTTACTAGTCAATCATGATGTGGGAGTAGGGGGACAGTGGTCAAATGGGAGGGGAGAAGCAGCCCAAAGAAATGCATGCTGCTGGCAGGTCTTCCCAGGGACCTACCCTGATGATCAAAGCTACCTGTATGGGGTTAAGCCTCAATCAGCTAACATAAGGATTACCTAGTTAATAGGTACCAGTAATCCATAGGCCCCTACACAGTACAGTAGCCATGTTTTGAAGTACCTGCCCAGCTCCTTCTTGGGAATTGCTCCCCCTTCCCTATCATGACTGATGGAGCCAGACACTGGACCCAAGTTGAGCCTGTTACATTGCCTCTCCCAGAAACACAGAGTTGGAATACCAAGAAACTGAATCTAACAGTAATGGGCAGAAGGGTCAGGAGCTACAGCAAGTGAAAGTCACATACAAGCCCTTAGTAACAAAGGGACAGAAACCATAAGTAAATAGAGGAAGGAAGCAGAACACAAAAAGAAGCAGAAGTGGGAGGGCATGCAGCTTAGACAAAAAGACAGACAGGGGGCCGGGGCAGCGGTGCACACCTGGAGTCCCAACTGTGTGGGAGGCTGAGGTGGGAGAACTGCCGAACCCAGGAGTCCGGGCCTATAGTGCACTGTAATAGCATCTGTGAATAGTCACTGCACTCCAGCCAGGGCAACAGAGTGAGAACTTGTCTCTAAAAAAAAAAAAAAAAAAGACGAGAAAATACACAGAAGAGACAGAGGGGTGAGAGATAAGAGACAAGGAGGCAGAGACAGAAGAGGATAAAAGGAGAGAAACACAAAAAGGTGGAAATAAACATGGAGAAAGAGACTGTCTGACAATATCCTGGCAGTGCTAACTGTGCTTCTGGTTTGCAGCTCCAAGGGGAAGAGAAGCTGATACACTCCTCAGACCCACTAACTGGCACTGGGTCTCACTTCTGATCCTTCTCCTTCCTTCTATCCTGCCATAAATGTCCTACAGGTTTGGTCCTCTCTGTGCACAGGTAAATATTACACACAGTGGAAATTCAACTATGTGCTAAACTAATGAATAAAGAAGGCTGCTTGTGGAAATGCCTGCAGAGTCCATTCCAATAGACCAGCTGGAAGGATACAAAAGCACCTGGTCAGAGTGGCTCCTCTGGGGAGAAAGACTAAAGCTGTGGAGAGGGAAGGAGACTTTTTCCACTCTGTGGTTTACCATGGTTTACCGTGAACATACGCCTCTTTCTAGATAAAAATAAAAATAGTTCGTGCTCACTTCAGCAGCACATATACTAAAATTGGAACGACGCAAAGAAGATTAGCATGGCCCCTGAAAATTTTTAAAAGAATTTGTTTAAAAATAAAAATGGTTCATTAGCAACAATGTAGCACCAGAAGGCAGAGCCAGGGTAGTGTGAAGCTAGGAGGCACCTAGGGCACAAAATTTAAGGAGGCACTCACTCTCAGGGGACCACATGCCGGAACCTGAGAGTGAGTACGCCCTTCAACGCTGACCCCAGGCACCTCGTTTGCCTCACCCTACTATCAGCCCTGCCAGAGAACAGAGAGCTCCTAGAACAGTCTGTCAAGCAGAAGCCAAGTCCCTTGACTGTTCTCCTGATTCTAATTAAGAAACAAAATTTCACCATCTGATCCTTACTCCTCTATTGCTTCCCAGAACTCCCAGCCCCCCTAGCTTACCATAAACTATCAGAGTTCAAACAAAGTCAACAACTGGGCCTTAAAGCCAGATGCTAAGATTCAGCTACCACAATTAAAACATCCAAGCCTTCCCTCTTCTCCTGATCTCATTTCCTTGCTGGACAAGCCTGCACCAAGGAGCGTGGGACCCACGTGAGGGTCTTCAAGGCTCTCTGGGAGCTTATTGCTGAGAAAGGAGTACTCAAATGGCAGATCCAAACTGAAAGCCAAAGCAGAAACAAATCCCCAAAGTCTCTGTGGCAGACATGGCTAGTTATCTTCCTCTATCTGTTCTTCCCTTTTTCATTCGTAATAGAAATTTTAGCTGAAGGCATGGCTGTCCAAAATAAAGCTGACATTGCCCAGCCTCTCCTGCAGGTAGGTACGGCTGTGCAACCAGGTTTTCTCCCGGGATGTATGCAAATATTTCATATAAGACCTCAGAAAGTGTCTTTAAATGGGGGAGGCAGTGTCTTTGTCCTTCTTGTCAGTTACAGTGCAGACATGACAGCTAGAGCTTCAATAACCATCCTGGACCACCAGCTAGAAGTCACAGGCTGAGGATGGCAGGAAGACAGAAGGAATAAACCTGGCTCCCTGAAGAACTGAAGTCATCCAAACCACACTGCCTCCTTTTAACATGTGAGAGAAACAAACATCAACATGTTTGAGCCATGCTGCTAAAGGTTTTCTGTTGTCTGAAACCCAAGTTAATAGTGAATAACATATGCACCCTCTCGCAGAACTGTGCCTTTCATACTCTCTTTCTGATGAGGAGATTGCCTGGCAATCTGAAGCTGTACTCCCAGCTACGCTGACAGTAGTCACAACTCTCTTTTCCCACAGGCAACAGAGAGCGGAGGGAAACCTTCCAATTCCTCCCAGACAGGCTGAATGTTATAAAGGGGCATTCAAGGACAAAGGAGTGCAACCGTAAACAAAAAATAACAACAAAAATGTGGAAGAAAGGCCGGGCGCAGTGGCTCACACCTGTAATGCCAGCACTTTGGGAGGCCGAGGCGGGCAAATCACAAGGTCAAGGGTTTGAGACTAGCCTGGCCAGTATGGTGAAACCCCGTCTCTACTAAAAATACAAAATAATTAGCTGGGCATAGTGGCGTATGCCTGTAGTCCCAGCTAATCAGCAGGCCGAGGCAGGAGAATCACTTGAACCCGGGAGGCAGAGGTTGCAATGAGCCAAGATCACGCCACTGGACTCCAGCCTGGGCAACAGAGTGAGACTCCATCTAAAAAAAAAAAAATGTGGAAGGAAGAAAGGAAGAAAGGCAGGGTAGGGAGGGGACAACTACAAGACATTCAGGAGTGAAATGCTCTCCAACACTCCAGGGGAGGTAAACCCTTCCAAATGGGGATCCCAGAATCAGTGGCTACCTCCTGGGATGTATATAAATATGTAATGTATGTGTCTTTTTTTAAAGTATCCTTGTTTTTTTGTGGTTTTTTGTTTTATTTTGTTTTTTAAGAGACGAGTTCTTGCTATGTTGCCCAGGCTGGTCATGAACTCCTGGGCTCAAGTGATCCTCCTGCCTTGGCCTCCCAAACTGCTGAGATTACAGGCATGAGCCACTGAGCCTGGCCAGTGTCTTTGTTTTTAATTACACAAATACATTTAGTCCCATTATGAAAGCATTCGAACTATATATAGGGTTGGAGTCTTGAAACAACTATGATCAAGACCCAGTCCTCCCTAGCCCCGTATCACTCTCAGAACAAGAAAGTTGTCTGTCCATAGCAACTAGCCAAAATGAGGAGCGTATCTTTTCTACTGAGAACTCTGACCAGGCCTGGGTCCAAGAGAGCAGGAAAGCATGGAAACAATGGATACTCAGGGATCATACAGTGTTTCTTCTTCCCTCCAGTCTCATCCTTCCCAGTCTCCCTCCTTCTCTTCCTCCTGCTCACTGTCACCCTTGCCAAACAAACTCAGGGGGAATGGAGTCTCAGCTGTGAGCAGGCGCTGGGCTTTGATGCCGCTGTGTCAGCAATGAACTACTTCCATGTTGAAATCTTCAAAGCAAATACTTTCCATTGATGTGTATAAGCCTACACAAGAGGGAGGATCCCGAGGTCAAAGCCCACAAAGCTAAATGGGCTGACAACACCCAAGGCAGAAACACCACCCTTCTGCAGTCAAATCAAGTACTCTTATAATACTGGGCACCTGGGTTACTGTGAATCCTGCTGGTCACCTAGGCAAAGAGGAGACCCTATGTACCTACCTCAAGAACCAACATTTCTCCCCATTAGTCCCACAAGTGAGTATGAGCCCCTAAACTTACTGAGTTCAGTCAGCAGCCTGTGGCCCTGCCTCACCACATAAGATTCCAAAACCCCAGAACACATATGAACAGAGTGCACCCTTAAGACAGAGTTTCTCAACCTCAGCACTATTGACATTTTAGGCCAAGTAAGTCTTTATTGTGAGAAGCTGTTCTGTGCATGGTGGTATGTTCAGCAGCACCCCGACCTCTACCATTAGAAGCAAAAAGCACCCCCTTCCAGGAGTTGTGACAACCAAAAGTGTCTCCAGATATTGCTAAATGTCTCCTGGAAGATAAACTCCCCTCTGGCTGAGAACCACTGTTCTAGGATAATTAGTAGGTAAAATAAAATAGCCTGAAATCTGCAAAAAGCTGCTTGGATCTCCTTGCCAGTATAACCTGGGAAGGGGATGGGGTACAGCCAGAAAGCCAGGATCTGAAAGTGCAGTGCCTTCAGAGGCCAGGAAAGTAATATGAGTGAGCAAAGGCAAGAAAGTCTGGGGATAATACAAGAAGTGGAGGACTACAGTGGACTGGGGAGTCCATACTCCATTTAAAAGGAGCCACAGCCGGCTGGGCGCCGTGGGTCACGCCTGTAATCCCAGCACTTTGGGAGGCCGAGGTGGGCGGATCACGAGGTCAGGACATCAAGACCATCCTGGCTAACATGGTGAAACCCCATCTCCACTAAAAATACAAAAAATTAGCCAGGCGTGGTGGCAGGCACCTGTTGTCCCAGCACTCAGGAGGCTGACGCAGGAGAATGGCGTGAACCTGGGAGGCGGAGCTTGCAGTGAGCCGAGATCGCGCCACTGCACTCCAGCCTGGGTGACAGAGCAAGACTCTGTCTCAAAAAAAAAAAAGGAGCCAGAGCCCTCCACAGAGGCTCATGCCTGTAATCCCAACACTTGGAGAGGCTGAGGCAGGAGCATCACTTGAGCCAGGAGTTTGAGACCAGCCTGGGCAACATAGGGATACTCCTTTTAAATAAACAAAAAAGAAATTTTTTTTTTTTTTAAAGAAGCTACGACTACTGAAATCCAGCTTATTTTATCGGGCAGGAATTTGGGTCCAATGATGCCTGAACTTTTGATTTTTCAAGAGAAAAGGCAAGTCCTGATTTTCAAATGTTGGCAACTAATTCAAAATTATTTACAACACCACAAACCAAACAAATCTATCTCTGGGGCCCAAGTCTGGCTCACGGGCCACCAGCTGGCAGCCTCTGCCCTAGAGTTGGTTATATACAGACTTCCTGGGCCCTCCCTTCTAGGATGGAAGTGTCTAGAATGGCGTGGCTATAACTTGTTTAGGCAGTCTCCCAACCAACAAGCCGGACCCCTCTCATGCCTCAATTTCAAGACCAACTTAATTCTCCTATCCTACCGAAGTCTTACCCTAGATTCAGTGCAGACCTTTCATTTCTTTCCCCTAAATAACCTAATTGGTTTCGTGCAATTTATGTCTCCTGAAACCACGTTGTTCCCACTGCCGCCTCTACTCAAGGAGACTCAGCATATCCTAGCTCTGTTGAAAGCCTGATACTGCAACCTAAGTTCCAAGAAGGGAAGTAAGCTGAACCCTAAAGCCTACCCTAGTCGGAAGAGAATATGGTTTTATGACTTGGCCACTACTATGACAAGCAAGTTCTTGCCCTCAGGCCTAGATTCTGGAAAAGCCAGTGCTTCTAGGATAGAAAGCCTGCAGGAATTCAGATCCCGAGGAATCTGGATGAAAGTACATGTTGAATGAAAGAGGCTGGCGGGCCCACACTTACAGGCTCACACCTATGATCCCAGCACTCTGGGAGGCCAAGGTGGGCAGATCACTTGAGCTCAGGAGTTCGAGACCAGTATGGCCAATATGGTAAAACCGCATCTCTACTAAAAATATAAAAATTAGCCAGGCATGGTAGCTTGCACCTGTAATCCCAGCTACTTGGGAGGCTGAGGCAGGAGAATCACTTGAACCTGGGAGGTGGAGGTTGCAGTGAGCCAAGATTGAGCCACTGCCCTCCAGCCTGGGCAACAAAGCAAGACTCTGTCTCAAAAAATAAAAATAAAAGAGAAAATCGAGGCAGCAATTAGTTAACTCCCCAAGATCAACAGTTGGTCAATGATAAAGCTGAAAATTAAATCCAGTCTGGCATGGAGGCCTGCAATCCTAACCACTATACTATACTGCCTGGAGATTGCTTATGTATCTTCAAACCATGTTTTCTAAGAGTATTTGATGAAAGAGATTAAATATGAAATTTTTTTTGAGACAAAGTCTCATTCTGTCACCTAGGCTGGAGTGCAGTGGCATGATCATAGCTCACTGCAACCTTGAATTTCTGGGCTCAAGGGATCCTCCCTCCTCAGGCTCCCGAGTAGCTAGGATTACAGATGCACACCACTGCCACTGCCACCATGCCTAATTTTTTTTTTTTTTAGAGGTGGGGTCTTGCTTTGTTGCCCAGGCTGGTCTCAAACTCCTGTGCTCAAGTGATCCTCCCTCCTCAGCCTCCCAAAGTGCTGGAATTACAAAAGCCATGAGCTACCATGCCCAGCCAATATTAATTTTTTTTTTAATTTTATAAAGCAGTCAGCCGCCCCATCCAGGAGGGAGGTGGGGGGCAGCCCCTGCCCGGCCAGCCGCCCTGTCCGGGAGGGAGGTGGGGGGCGCCTCCGCCCGGCAGCCGCCCTGTCCGGGAGGTGGGGGGCGCCTCTGCCCGGCCGCCCCTTCTGGGAAGTGAGGAGCCCCTCTGCCCGGCCGCCACCCCGTCTGGGAGGTGTACCCAACAGCTCATTGAGAGCGGGCCATGATGACGATGGCGGTTTTGTCGAATAGAAAAGGGGGAAATGTGGGGAAAAGATAGCGAAATCAGATTGTTGCTATGTCTGTGTAGAAAGAAGTAGACATAGGAGACTCCATTTTGTTCTGTACTAAGAAAAATTCTTCTGCCTTGGGATGCTGTTGATCTATGACCTTACCCCCAACCCGGTGCTCTCTGAAACATGTGCTGTGTCCACTCAGGGTTAAATGGATTAAGGGCAGTGCAAGATGTGCTTTGTTAAACAGATGCTTGAAGGCAGCATGCTCGTTAAGAGTCATCACCACTCCCTAATCTCAAGTACCCAGGGACACAAACACTGCAAAAAAAAAAAAAGGCCGCAGGGTCCTCTGCCTAGGAAAACCAGAGACCTTTGTTCACTTGTTTATCTGCTGACCTTCCCTCCACTATTGTCCTATGACCCTGCCAAATCCCCCTCTGCGAGAAACACCCAAGAATGATCAATAAAAAAAAAAAAAAAATTATAAAGCAGTATACAACCTACAAGAAAAGATGACCTCAAAAGGTATTTATGGCTGGGCATGGTGGCTCATGCCTGTAATCCCAGCACTTTGGGAGGCCAAAGCAGGCGGATCACGAGGTCAAGAGATCAAGACCATCCTGACCAACATGGTGAAACCCCGTCTGTACTAAAAATACAAAAATTAGCTGGGCATGGTGGTGCGCACCTATATTCCCAGCTACTCGGGAGGCTGAGGCAGGAGAATCTCTTGAACCCGGGAGGTGGAGGATGCAGTGAGCCAGAGGTTGCAGTGAGCAGAGATCGAGCCACTGTACTCCAGCCTAGGCGACAGAGCAAGACTCGGTCTCAAAAAAGAAAAATAATAATAATAATAATAATAGGCCAGGCATGGGGGCTCACACCTATAATCCCAGCACTTTGGGAGGCCGGGTGGGCAGATCACCTGAGGTCAGGAGTTCAAGACCAGCCTGACCAACATGGAGAAACCCTGTCTCTACTAAAAATACAAAATTAGCCAGGTGTGGTGGCACATGCCTGAAATCCCAGCTATTCGGGAGGCTGAGTCAGGAGAATCGCTTGAACCCAGGAGGCCGAGGTTGCGATGAGCTGAGATAATGCCATTGCACTCTAGCCTGGGCAGCAAGAGCGAAACTCCATCTCAAAAAAAATTTTTTTTAATTAAAAAATAATACAAGGCCGGGCGCCGTGGCTCACACCTGTAATCCCAGCACTTTGGGAGGCCGAGGCGGGCGGATCACGAGGTCAGGACATCGAGACCATCCTGGCTAACACGGTGAAACCCCATCTCTACTAAAAATACAAAAAATTAGCCGGGCACGGTGGCGGGCGCCTACTGTAGTCCGGGCTACTCGGGAGGCTGAGGCAGGAGAATGGTGTGAGTCGAGATAGCGCCACTGCATTCCAGCCTGGGCGACAGAGCAAGACTCCGTCTCAAATAAATAAATAAATAAATAAATAAATAAATAAAAGTACTCTTCTCGACCAGCTTGACCAACATGGTGAAACCCCCTCTCTACTAAAAATACAAAAATTAGCTGGGCGTGGTGGTGGGCGCCTGTAATCCTGGCTACTCGGGAGGCTGAGGCAAGAGAATCATTTGAACCCAGGAGGCAGAGGTTGCAGTGAGCTGAGATCATGCCATTGTACTCCAGCCTGGGTGACAGAGCAAGACTCTATCTCAAAAAAAAAAGTACTCTTCTTTTGGTGGTAGATTTTGGATGACTTAAGAGTAATTTAATTTTCTAAATAAACATGCTTTGTGAGGTTTTTTTTTTGTTTTGTTTTGTTTGGAGACAGGGTCTTGCTCCGTTACCCAGGCTGGAGTGCAGTGGCGTGATCATAGCTCACTGCAGCCTCGACTTCCCGGGCTCAAGAGATCCTCCCATCTCAGCCTCCTGAATTGCTGGGACCACAGGCACACACCAACATGCCCAGCTAATTTGATTTTTTGTAGAGACAGGGTCTCACCATGTTGCCCAGGTTGGTCTCAAATTCCTGAGCTCAAGCAATCCTCCTACCTCAGCCTCCCAAAGTGCTGGGATTACAGGCGTCAGCCACCATGCCTGGCCTAATAAACATATTTTATAATCAGAAAATTATTCCCTTTTTTAGAAAGCTCAGTCAGACCAGAGTCTCCCTAGCCAAAGCCTATCAGACATACAGCTGAGCAGCCGCCTTCCCTAATCCTAAGGGTATCCGTTTCCCCCTCACTATCCCAAGGAATATGGAGCGTTTTCCCTTTAATTTGTCTTTAACAAATTCCATAAAGTCAAGAGGCATGGGTATTCTACAGTCCTTTATTGCTAACTCCAAGGTACTCTCAGGCTATTTTTAACACTGGATAAACTGCATATACTGCCAATGCTTTTGCAAGCAGAGATGTGGAAAGAACAGAATATTATTAAGTACCTCTGGCAGTACAGTGCTAAGGAACATAGAATTCTGGGTCTTTCTCATTTAAAACACTAGTTCTGCAAGGCTGGGTAAATTCACAGCAATCTTTTCTCCTTACTACCCCATAAGAGAAAAAGGAAAATAAAGAGGGATCAACTGAGATCTCTCAGGTTCTATCTGCAGAAACTCAAATGTGGCCGCAGGCAGAGCTTGTTTACAAAGTCAGTGTAAAGAAGTCTGATACACTAGGAAGAAAAGGTGTTTTGTTGTACCTGCTGCTCAGAGCAAGCCGCAAAGAGCAGCAATGGCAGACAGGAAAGGGTCCTGTGGGCCTGAAGTTTAACACCGTAGGACTCCCACAGTCTAGTGAAGCCTACTTTCTCACTGATGACTTTAACTGGTTTAAGATAAAAATCTGGGAAATAAAATAACTCTTTTTTTTTTCCTTTAGCAACAGAATAAAGGCCTCAACACTGGTGGGGTTTTTTTCTGGGCTTACAACTAGCAATGTTGACTTCAATCGAAACAGCTGTCAAGACAAATAAAAGACATGCCCCAACCTGTCACACAGACCACAAAACAGAACAAGGGCAGCCAAGAGAGGAGGAATATGAGGCACCAAAAGCCACGAACAGATTCAAACTTCTCCCATCCCCATCCTTTATGCTTACTTATCTCTCAGGACCAAATGACTGGTAAAATTACTTCCTCAAAAGGTAAGAAGCCTCCCTCCCCTCCAAAATGCAAAATATGCTATTCAAATATAAAGTATCTTTTTTTTTTTTTTTTTTTTTGGAGACAGAGTTTTGCTCTTGTTGCCCAGGCTGGAGTACAATGGCATGATCTCCGCTCCCCACAACCTCCGCCTCCTGGGTTCAAGCAATTCTCCTGCCTCAGCCTCCCGAGTAGCTGGGATTACAGGCATGCACCACCACGCCCAGCTATATTTGTTTTTTCAGTAGAGACGGGGTTTCTCCATGTTGGTCAGGCTGGTCTCGAACTCCCAACCTCAGGTGATCCGCCCGCCTCAGCCTCCCAAAGTGCTGGGATTATAGGCATGAGCCACCGCGCCCGGCCTAAAGTACCGTTATTATAGTACCCCCCACCCCCCAACATCCTCCCAATCTCAGCCCCCACTTACATATGCAAGCAGCAGCCAGGAGACGGCAGGCCAGGTATGGGGGATCACAGCTGGGGAAGGACGGCTGGATGATGTAGTTGGCAAAGGTGATGGCGATGATGGCCTGACCGGTGGGCTCAACAACTAGCAGTGAGACCCACAGGCGGATGAAGGCAATGAAGCCCCCAAAGGCCTCTAGAATATAAGCGTAGCTGGCTCCCGACTTGGTGATGGTGGTCCCCAGCTCTGCATAACAAAGGGCACCCACAACAGAGAAGAGCCCACCAATGGCCCACACAATCAGTGACATCCCATAGGAGGCAGTGTGTACCAGCACACCCTTGGGTGAGACAAAGATCCCTGAGCCGATCATGTTGCCCACCACCAGGCTGACCCCATTCAGCAGGGAGATCTCCTTCTTCAGCTGCATAGTTTCGGAGGACCTTTGAGGTGGCGAGCTGACATCTTCTTCCACCTGGGACTGGCTGGTGTTAGGGACAAGATGGTAGGTGGGTGTGGGCCTCCCAGGCTCCCTGGCTTCCATGACAAACGGTTCCTGCACACCTGTGTTTGCTGTGGCCTGGCAAAGAATACAAGTATGTCAGTCTAGGGCAGGAGCTGGTGAGGCTCTATTTAGACCAGATTTCCCTGCCCACTTCCTATTTAGGGACAGCATGCCATGCACACAGCCCTAACTACAATAGGCCTGTCTCAGTTCCCACCATAGAACACAGGGAAATAGAAGTGGGTAGACCTTCACTGCTCCCAAGAAAGACACCATGAGAGCTCACGCATGATGTGATAATGACTTCTGATGACAAATACCTGTCCTGCAGCCCAGAATAGGCTGGCATTAAATTTGTCCAACGATTGGATTCTCCTTGAGTTATAGATTTCTGCTCTGTTCTCACCAGCTTAAAACCCACAAACCTGCCCTGCAGAGAAGACCAGAGTCCCTGCACCTGGTACACAGTCATCACCAGCCTAAAAGGCTTCTCACTGTCCATACCCAGGTAATCCTGCCCAGTCACCTCTACCCAATGTAAACTGGGACTTCTGCAATGTCCAGCAAGACATGGAGACATCTGCAGCTACTCTCAGGCCAGTACAGAACATGAGGAGGTGATGGGAAGGGCGAGGAAGATGCTAAGACAGGTTTAGTCATTGTAGTGACTAAACCAAGGGGAAGTCCCTCATTAAAATACACACCTGGCTGGGCGCAGTGGCTCCCACCTGTAATCCCAGCATGTTGAGAGGCCGAGGCGGGCGGACCACAAGGTCAGGAGATCGAGACCATCCTAGCCAAAATGGTGAAACCCCGTCTCTACTAAACTTACAAAAATTAGCTGGGCGTGGTGACACATACCTGTAATCCCCACTCAGGAGGCTGAGGCAGGAGAATCGCTTGAACCAGGGAGTCGGAGGTTGCAGTGAGCCAAGATCACGCCACTGCCTGGCAACAGAGCAAGACTTGGTCTCAAAAAAAAAAAAAAAATACATGCCTGGGTATCACTGTGTCTGCAACACCTACCTCACTCTCCCATGTTGCTGCTTGCCCATTCCACATCTTTCTTTTTCCAAAGTACCCGAAAGAGAAGGGTTACGTAATAAGACAGGGTAGAGAAAGGACATCCAGGGGCATCCCAACCCAGGGCTAATTTGCCACTGGTGTATTTGCTTTCTTCCCCAGCATGCCCCTCATGTTGGATTCCACATTAACCTACCTATGAAGGACCCAGAATCTATCAAAGGAAAATAAGCACCTTCCTGACCCTGCACCCAGCGTGATCTTCTCCCTCCCTCAACTCCTGTGCCAGTCACACTTCTGATCCTTTGATCCCATCTCATCTTCAGAAGAAATCTGGTGGGCCATTTGATTCCCACCCACGTAACAGTTAGTCCTTTAAGGTCACAGAGATAACCTCCAAGAATCAGCAATAGGAACAGGATCGGCAAGCACATCATCTTTCCAGAAGTCTCTTATCTGTTCAACAAATGTGTATGTGATGTGCCCGAATCTGGCCTCATGGAGCTCAGAGCAAGGAAACCACAGAGAGT
The DNA here is from genome assembly GCF_000001405.40 of Homo sapiens. Taxonomy (NCBI): domain Eukaryota; kingdom Metazoa; phylum Chordata; class Mammalia; order Primates; family Hominidae; genus Homo; species Homo sapiens. The sequence goes on along the minus strand of NC_000016.10, from coordinate 68,273,212 downwards.
CAAGAGTGAGTAGTTCTTAGGGGAAATGCTGATCTCCACAGTCCCCACCCAAAACTCCTGCCTTCCCTGTCCCAAACCCCTTCAAGTCTGGACCTGAGACCAAGTAAAAAAGCTCCTCCTAGGCCCTAGTGAAGCCTTCCCCCAGTCCCAGGAGTGAAGGCAGCCTACCTCTGCTTCAGTGAGGCTGAGCTTTAAGGCAGCACCACTTTTGCTCTCACTCTGGCACCAAGCCATGCAGGTTTCCTGTGCAGGCACCTGGAAACATATTTGTTTTCATGTGCCTGTCAGGTGAGCCCAGGCATCCATTAGAACAAAACCAGTACACAGCTGGGGAGCCTATAGTCTCACATAAGAGTCAGGTGCAAAGAGACCTAGGATGCCTTTTCTACCCAAGTCAACATGGAGACAAGCAGAGAAATCTGACCCCAGTGACCAATACAGCTCGCCCTATTCCATCAGACTCTAGCTGGGAGGAGGGATTGAGCTTACTAGGTATTCCCTTTGTATTCATAAAACCTGGCACTGGTGTCGCTGATATGGCTTTATCAGGTTTGTCAAATACACTGGCGAAACTACCCAGTGGCCTTATTTAGAGAGGTGGGGCACAGTCACAGCCCCACAAGACCTCATGCCTAGAATTTCAGTCGCAGCACCTGAATGAAAGACAAAGTTCCTGCTGGAAGGTTAAGGACTCCTTCAGCCAAGGAGAGTAGCAGAATCACACAAAACTGAAGGCAGATAAGACTTTTTTCTCTTTCAGTCTCTCTCTCTCTTTTTTATTCAAGAGACAAGGTCTCACTTTGTCACCCAGGCTGGAGTGCAATCATGCAATCATAGCTCACTGCAGCCTCCAACTCCTAGGCTCAAGCAGTCCTCTATCTCGGCCTCATGAGTAGCTAGGACTAAAGGTGCTTGCCACCATGCCCAGCTATTTATTTATGTATTTTTTTTTTAATTTGTCTGTAGAGACAGTGTTTCACTACATTGCCCAGGCTGGTCTTGAACTCCTGGCCTCAACTGATCCTCCTACCTTGGCCTCCTGAAGTGCTGAAATTACAGGTGTGAGCCACCATGCCAGGCTTCTTTATCTTCATTCAGTAACAAAATGCATGCTGGGCGCAGTGGCTCACGCCTGTAATCCCAGCACTTTGGGAGGCTGAGGCAGGCAGATCATAAGGCCAAGAGATTGAGACCATCCTGGCCAACATGGTGAAACCCGGTCTCTAATAAAAATACAAAAAAATTTAGCTGGGCGTGGTGGCATGCACTTGTAGTCCCAGCTACTCAGGAGGCTGAGGCAGGAGAATCACCTGAACCTGGGAGGCGGAGGTTGCAGTGAGCCAAGATAGCGCCACTGCACTCCAGTCTGGTGACAGAGCAAGACTCTGTCTCAAAAAAAAAAAGAAAAGAAAAATGCAATTGTTATCAAGAGCCTGTCCTTGGCAAAAGTAGTTAAAGTTCCTACCTCTTTGCTAAACACCCAAGAGCAAAATTGTGATGTAACCCTAGCAGCTCCCAAGAGCACATGACTAAGTCCCAGGCTGGCTTGGCTACACATACAACCCCAGGGCCATCCCTTACCTTCTCTCCATATCTAAACTTCACCTTGGCAGGGCACAGTGGTGCACACCTGTGATCCCAGCACTTTGGGAGGCCAAAGCAGGTGGATCACTTGAGCCCAGGAGACCAGCCTGGGCAATGGCAAAACCCTGTCTACACCAAAAAACTACAAAAGTTAGCTGGGCATGGTGGCATGGCACACACCTGTAGTCTTAGTTACTCAGGAGGCTGAAGTGGGAGGATCACCTGAGCCCAAGAAGGTTGAGGCTGCAGTGAGCCATGATCACACCATTGCACTCCCGCCTGGGTGACAGAGACCCTGTCTCAAAAAACAAACAACAAAAAGCACAAATAAAATGGGAGCAGACATGATGACTCACGCCTATAATCCTAGTATTTTGGGAGACCAAGGCCAGAGGATTGCCTGAAGCCAGGAGTTCAGGAGTAGCCTGGGCAACATAGGGAGGTTCCGTCTCTATAAAAAAATGAAATAAGAAAAAACTAGGCCAGGCACAGTGGTCCACACCTGTAATCCACCACTTTGGGAGGCTGAGGCAAGAGGATTGCTTGAGCCCAGGAGTCCGAGACCAGCCTGGACAACACAGCAAGACCCCATCTCTACAAAAAATACAAAAATTAGCCAGGCACGGTGGCACATGCCAGCTACTTGGGAGGCCAAGGTGGGAGTATTTCTTGAGCCAAGGAGGTCAGGGCTGCGGTAAGCCATTATCATGCCACTGCATTCCAGCCTGGGCAACAGAGCAAGACTGTTTCAAAAAAAAAAAAAAAAATCCAATATAAAATGGAAAGTCCTCAACTTCCAGCTTCCACTCAGGATGGATAGCACATTCCCACTCCAGTGACAAACAACAATTTTTCTTGGAGCCATCAGAAAGCTGAAGTTACAGGGCAACCAACTAGATTGAAACTGATGGAAAGACAGCCACCTCCAGGGAGATAGAGAGATACAAGGTCTGGCTCACCTGTGGCAGTGGGAGAAAGATGAGACCACCATTTAGGTGAGTCAGAAGAATTCAAGTAAATTTTTTTAAAAATTACCAAATGTCAAGTGTGGGTTAGTAAGAGCCACAGACACTCAGGTTTTTTCCATAGACCTCAGTGGTTACTCAGAAGAAATACTGGGCAAGTAACCTGAGAAAACCGCTCTTGGTAGTGCTGGCTTATGGGAGGGAAAATACAAAGGCCAACCTATACCCTTCTCCTCTAAAGAATAAAAACCATAAACCCCTGGGAAAGGGCAGCAAACTCTGTCACTCCTGAGGCAGCTGGGGCAGGATAAAAGAAAAAAAAAACCTCTATGCCTGGAGGAGGGGTAGGAAATTCTGGGCAAGACCACCGGAGGTGTCTTTCTCCTGGGAAAAGGGCAGGAGCACCCAGAAAGATCCACTCCCAAGACCCAGGGAAACAAACAGGGCCTGCTTAAGACTGAGGCTGAACCAGACAACAGAGAAATCCCTACTCCCTACCACCAGGTTAGCAAGCACCCAGGAACAAGCAACAGTAGTCTACCACTGAGACTGTGCACTGAGGCATAGGTGCACAGAGAAATCCTAAAGCTGAGGGTGGCTGGACGCAGTGGCTTACACCTGTAATCTCAGCTACTCTGGAGGCTAAGGCTGGAGGAACTTGAGGCCAAGAGTTCGAGACTAGCCTGGGCAACATAGCAAGACCCCATCTCTACAAAAAAAAATTAAAAAGTAGCCAGGCATGATGGCACACGCCTATAGCCCCAGCTATTTACTCAGAAAGCTAAGAGGTAAGTTTGAGTTCAGGAGTTGGGAGGCTGCAGTGAACCATGATGGCACTACGGGCACTCCAGCCTTGGTGACAGAGTGAGATGACCGAGTGAGACCTTTTTTCTTTCTTTTTTTTTTTTTTGAGACAGAGTCTTGCTTTGTCACGCAGGCTGCAGTGCAGTGGTACAATCTTGGCTCACTGTAACCTCCACCTCCTGGGTTCGAGGGATTCTCCTGCCTCAGCCTCCCAAGTAGCTGGGACTACAGGTGTGCACTACCATGCCTGGCTAATAAACTGAGGGTATGGATGGAGGATAACCACTGAGAAAAAGCCTCCCTCCTGCAAACCAACCGTAAGCTGGCAAGGAAACATGAGAAGAATTTGAAGTCATTGGTGCACCTAACGTAACCATAGCAACAATAACACCCAAACACTACTGTCTCCTGACTAGGAGTTCAAACTCCCATACAAACAGTCTAGCAAAGAAGAGCTGTACCCAGTTCCCAAAATAAATACTATATACCTCAGTCTCTACTGTTCCACACACGGTATCTGGCAATCAGTAACAAGTTACAAGCAACATAAAAAAAGCAAGAAAAACAACCCACTATCAAGAGGAAAAGTAATCAATAGGACCATATTGAGAGATGACCCAGATAATGGAAACATCAAACAAGGAATTTAAAATAATTGTGTTTGATACATTTAAGGTTCTACTGAAAAAGTTGAACAGCATGCAGAAACAAATGTGGAACTTTAGCAGTGAGATGAAAACCAAAAGGGTCAAAATGGAGAAAGTGAAAAAATAGAACAGAACATCAACCTGTGGGGCAATATCAAATAGCCTAGGTAAATATTTTTTAATACGTATTTTTGCTCTTTTTTTTTTTAGACGGAGTTTCGCTCGTTGCCCACGCTGGAGTGCAATGACGCGATCTTGGCTCACTGCAACCTCCGCCTCCTGGGTTCAAGCTATTCTCCTGCCTCAGCTTTCCGAGTAGCTGGGATTACAGGCATGCGCCACCACACCCAGCTAATTTTTTGTATTTAGTAGAGACGGGGTTTCACCATATTGGTCAGGCTGGTCTCGGACTCCTGGGACCTCAGGTGATCCGCCTGCCTCGGCTTCCCAAAGTGCTGGGATTACAGGCGTGAGCCACCACACCCAGCCAACAAAAAAATTTTTAAAAATTTTAAATTCCTGCAGTCTCCTGCAGCAGGTAATAAAGGAATTTAACAGACTACCAAAATTTCCCCATGAAAATTTAACCACGAAACTGCCACAAGCAATTTTTGGAATAAATGAATTTATCACAATTCAATTACATCAGAAAACGGGATGAAAGGGGGGAAAAGCTCGATTACAAAGGAAGTTTTACAAAGTGGATTTGAAACCAAAATTTTTGTAATGACTAAAGGAAAAAATGCTATTGAGAATGTTTGGAAAAACTCAAAACCATTTTTACTGTGTACTCTCACACCACAATAATCAACACAGAAGAGTTCTGTGACCAAATGCCGGAGGGGGAGGGTTCCCCACTAACAAGCAATCATTTCTCCCCAGGGACACCAGCTGAGTGTCCTCCAGTTCAATCCCAACACTATCTACCTGGAGACAGCATCAGATCCCACAGCAGAAGGGCTCAGTTCCACAAGACTGCCCCTCCCCAACAGGATACCTGGCACAAATCCAAGCCTCCTGAACTTCTGACCGAACTGTTTCAAGTTGGGGCTCCCAAGACTCCTCTTTCAGTTCAATTAATTTGCTAGAGCGGCTCACAGAACTCAGAGAAACACTTACTTACCTTTACTTGTATATTATAAAGGCTATTACAAAGGATACAGATGAAGAGGTTTGCAGAGCCACATATGGGGGAAGGGTCACAGACTTTCCTTGTCCTCCCAGGGAGAAGTACCATCCAGGAACCTCCACATGTCCAGCTATCCGGAAGCTCCCCAAACCCCCAGCCTCTTGGGTTTTTATAGAGGCTTCATTACATAGGCATGAGTGATTAAGCCACTGGCCATTAGTGATCAACTTAACCTCACCCTCCTCCTTTCTCCCCTCCCCGGAGGTTGGGGGTAGGGCTCAAAGTCCCAACCCTCTAATCCTGACTTGGTCTTTCCAGTGACCAGCCCCCATCCTGAAGCTTTCTAGGGGCTGCCAGCCACCAGCCATCAGCATACAAAAAGACATTACTTTGATCTTTCTAAGTATTTTAGGAGTTGTATGCTAGGAAACGGGCTGAAGACCAAAAAATATTTTGCTATATCACAGAGAAATACATCAAAATCTTTTTATTCCCCCCTCTGGTTGAATCAAAATCTTAACTATGGTGAAAACACAGAGGACTTTTTCTTATAAAACTCTCTGAGTTATGGCCAGGCGCGGTGTCTCACACCTGTAATCCCAGCATTTTGGGAGGCTGAGGCGGGTGGATCGCCTGAGGTCAGGAGTTCGGGACCAGCCTGGCCAACATAGTGAAACCCTATCTCTGCTAAAAATACAAAAAATTGTCCGGGCATGGTGGTGGGCACCTGTAATCCCAGTTACTCGGGAGGTTGAGGCATGAGAATCACTTGAACCCGGGAGGTGGAGGTTACAGTGAGCCAAGATCGCACCATTGCACTCCGCCAGGGCAATGAGAGCGAAACTCCTTCTCAAAAAAAAAAAAAAAAAAAAAAAAATCCACCACAATTGGGAGGCTGAGACGGGCAGATTGCCTGAGCTCAGGAGTTCGTGACCAGCCTGGCCAACATGGTAAAGCCCCGTCTCTACTAAAAATACAATAATTAGCTGGGCATGGTGGCGGGCGCCTGTAATCCCAGCTACTTGGGAGGCTGAGGCAGGAGAATCGCTTGAATCCAGGAGGCAGAGGTTGCAGTGAGCAGAGATTGCGCCACCACACCCCAGCCTGGGTGACAGAGTGAGACACTGTCTCCAAAAAAAAAGAAAAAACCCACCACAATTACTCTTTATAAAGAATTGTAATATAAATAAATGTATAATTTATTTTTATAATAAATTACAGTGTTATTTAATATGTAATACTAAAGAGTTGTTAATTATGTGTAAGCCATTCTGTTTACTAGTATTGTATTCACACTGTATACAAGTAAAAACTCTTTGTAAATCACACAAACAAAAGAAAAGACAGCGCAACAATATTCACCTGTCAAGAAATACGCGAACATCACACTTTCATAAGCCACCTCCTCATAAATGGGTCCAGTACTGAGAAGGAAATGAAGTCCCCTGCAGCAAGGCCTAATTCCACTTGTCTGCCTCGGCCACATAAACTCTGCAACAAAGAGTGGGAGGGAACTGATCAAAAAATGAACTCTTTTAACCTGAGAAAGCTGATTTAAATATATATATATATGTAATTATTTTTAATTAACCAAGAAAGCAGCAGAATGATATTTCCTTGTAAAATCTAAATTTTACATGCCCGGCAGGGGCAGTCCTAATTACTAGCAGGTTCCATGACACCCACAGGGTGGGTATAACTGAAGTAGCCAGCCCAAACCTGTCAGAGAACTGGCCTTGTCACATTAAATCATGTAAGTCTAGGCAGCTCTGGGGCCCCAGGTCCCGTGGGCACCGTTTACATAACTTTTTTTCTTTTTTTTTGGAGATGGAGTCTCGCTCTGTTGCCCAGGCTAGAGTGCAATGGCGCAATCTTGGCTCACTGCAACCTCCGCCTCCCGGGTTCAAGCCATTCTCCTGCCTCAGCCTCCCGAGTAGGTGGGACTACAGGTGCCCACCACCACACCTGGCTCAATTTTTGTATTTTTAGTAGAGACGGGATTTCACCATGTTAGCCAGGATGGTCTCGATCTCCTGACCCCGTGATCCGCCTGCCTCGGCCTCCCAAAGTGCTGGGATTACAGGACTGAGCCACCGCGCCCGGCCTGCATAACTTTTTTAGAAACTAATATACATCCAAGAAATTACAGCAGGAAGCACAAAGGTCAGGAAATTTCTTCTACTAAGAAGTTCCAGGGAGATGGGGATCATAAAACCGGTATATGCAATAAAAATACATCCACGGCCAAATAGGGAAGGAGGACAAGGAGAGGAAGAGAGGAGAAAATCAGGCTGGTGGTTTTCCACACACTTGCCAGGAAAATAAACTCCAGTGTAACGACTTGAATAACGATCTGAGATCAAAGTTGGGAAGCAAAAGCCGTCTGCGCAGCACACATGGGACCTGAGTAATGCAGGCAGCCTGGGCAGGTCCCCAAAAGGCCTCACCGCCACCAAAAAGAGGTGGAACTGATATAAGGAAGTACTCACAGCCTTTCAAGTCTGCTCCTCCCAGATCTGAAATCTGGGAGCAGTTCTGAGAGACAAGCCCCGGATGGCTGGGCACTGAACAGCCGCCCTGCGAGATGAGCTGCCCTGGCTTTTTCCCCTATCAAGGGCAGAGACTGAATTCTTTTTAACTGTGTCACCAAGCCCAGGGCATACAAGAGGTACTCAAAAACGTGTTCGCCGACACCCTGATTCCTATTTATACTGACCATTACACAACATGTTTGCTTAGAGCCCAGCAAAGAATTTTCAGAATGTTTCACGTCTATCTCCCCACATTCAGGAGAGATAGTCACACAAGATGACAGGCTATAGGGACGCTCAAAAGAGCCATAATCACCAGGGGCACGCGGGTTCCCCAGCGCCAGCAGCCCAACGCTCCAGGCTCCAGCACGCCACAAAACCTTGCGGCATTCTCTAAAGTAAAAGGACTGATTTTAAAATGATAATCGTCATTCTTGCGACAGCCCCAGGAAGCCTGGCTCCTGAGGTCCTGAGCCCGCGTCTTTCTTTGCCCCACCGCGGCCGCCACACAGCACAGGTTCTCCGTCCTGCAGTCGGAGGCGCAGTCACAGCCCCACTCAGGGTCACCGTCGCACAGTCTCACGCTCGCGGCGCGGCCCGCGCACTCAGCGTCCCGGTCACCCTCGCACCTGGGGTTTCCCTCTCCACACACACCCCCGGTCTCCCTCACACTCGCCGCGTCGCCAGCACACCCCAAGACTGGCTCCCTCGCGGTCACCATCAGCCTCCGGGGCTCGCACCCATACAGCGTTTCTCCCACACTCGGCCCTCACGCTCGAGGTCCCTCTCTCCTCGTGGCGCCCCCCCTCACCCGCAGCGCCTCTCGCGCGGCCCCGATCGGCCAGCCCCGCGCTGTTTCTGGGCCGCATCCCGCTCCCGACGGCGGCAGCGAAGACCCACAGGGTTCGGCTCCCACAGAACGCGGCCCAGCCCCGGCCCCGCTCCCGGCGCGCCCGCCCATGGCCCAGCCCGTTACCTCCCAGTGGCCCGGCGCCGCCAGGATGCTCGGTCGCGCCGCCGCCGCCGCGGCAGCTCAGGCCCCGCCCCGCCACGTCACCCGCCGCCGGATCGCGACAGCGCGCGCCGCGTCGGGACACAGTTCCGTGCGGGGCCAGCTGGCGGCGGCGCTTCCGGGCCCCCGTGGCCGCCACGGCCTGGCCGGTACGGGGTCCGCCGGCCCAGAACGTGAGCGTGGACGCCAGACAGCCCCCAGCTGCCTCGTCAGGGCTCGAGCAGCCCGTGAACTGGGCCCGGCCACGCTCGCCGCCCTGGAGTTAGATGGGGCCTCCGAGGGCGTCCACAGCGGACATTCCCGCGGGGAGCTCTCATCGGCCCCCGCACCCCGTTCCTATCTCGCACTTGACCTGGGCCCGACGCCCAGGGCGCCCCCTACAGCTCACACAGGGATCCAAACGGCCTCCGCCGCCGGGCCACTGCCACTCGCAGTCTAGGAACCCCAGGAAGACACACACTCTGGGGACTTGTCCAAACACACGCACAGCTCAGACTCGTAGCCCTTGAGGCCCCCGCACCCACAAAGAAACTGCAGGCTCCCTTTGCCAACCCCAGGCCTCCCTGGGGCTCTGTCCTCATCTTCCCAAGAGGGCTGCCACCCCTCTTGGGGGAGCTGCACCTCCTGCCCCCCCTCTTGGGGGAGCTGCACCTCCTGCCCCCTTCCCCTCCCTCTGTTTGCTCCTCCATCTTTCTCTCGAGTTCCTTTTCCTCTGGTGGCTCTGGGGCTCTCTGTCTAGAGCCTCCTGACCTCATGGGCGCCTGAGCCCTCCTCCGAAATTTCCTGTCCACACCTCAAGCACTGACTTTCTCCAGGGCCCTGGAATCTTTTCCCCCAGCCTTATGACCACAAGTACACGTCCTCTGGTTCCAGACCATACCCAAGACCCTGCTCCCTGCCACCCAGTGACAGGGACCCAGCCAGAGATGGGTAGCACCTCAGACCCTTCCTCCCCACTCCTCCCACGGCCTATACCTCGTTTTCTTCTCCCCAGCCACAACGGCTTCTCAATCCCTATCCTGCTCCCCTTACCCCATCTCCACAGAGTAGGGGATGCTCCTAGAATACAGATTGCGATGACTTTGTATCTCCCCTGCCTAAAACCCTTCCATTCTCCTCTCTGCAGGCCTGGGATGACAATACTTGAGGAATCCTCGCTGGTGCTGCCCTCCTGCCCTCTGCTTGGAACCCCTCCCCTAAGTGTCAGTGAGTGGACGTATATATTTGGATCAATCGAGTTGCACCCTTTGCCTCCCAGATCAGTTCCTCCGGCCTCCCTGGCTGAGCAGAAGGACAGCTCTGGACACTTGTGTCAGCACCCAGCCCACGTGTCCCTGCCACAGCTTCATATAAGGTATGCCGGCTCAGCCGGGCCTGGTGGCTCACGCCTGTAATCCTACAACTTTGGGAGGCTGAGGCAGGCAGATCACCTTGAGGTCAGGAGTTCGAGACCAGCCTGACCAACATGGAGAAACCCCGTCTCTACTAAAAATACAAAATTAGCCGAGTGTGGTGGCACATGCCTGTAATCGCAGCTACTCAGGAGGCTGAGGCAGGAGAATCGCTTTAACCCAGGAGGCAGAGGTTGCAGTAAGCCGAGATCGCGCCATTGCACTCCAGCCTGGGCAATAAGAGCGAAAGTCTATCTCAAAAAAAAAAAAAAAAAAACACCATATGCCAGCTCCGTCTGGCTTTGCAGTCTCATACCCAGTTACGTAGCCCATCAGCTGAAAGCCCAATGTACACCACACCCTGAATCAGATGTTCTCCAACACCATCAGTGTTCCTCAGGACCACCCTGCAGGATACATTTATTTGTAACCATTCTTTTCTTTTGCTTTTAGAGATCTTGCTGTTGCCCAGGCTGGAGTGCAATGGCTATTCACAGGTGTGATCATAGCTCACTGCAGCCTCGAACTCCTGGTTTCAAGCGATCTTCCTGCCTCAGCTTCCTACTTGGGACTACAGATTTATTTCATCTTTTTTTTTTTTTTTGAGATGTATCTCGCTCTGTCTTGCTCAGGCTGGAGTGCAGTGGTGCCATCTTGGCTCACTGCAGCCTCCGCCTCCCAGGTTCCAGTGATTCTCCTGTCTCGGCCTCCAGAGTAGCTAGGACCACAAGGCATGTGCCACCACACCTGACTAATTTTGTATTTTTAGTAGATATGGGGTTTCACCATGTTGGCCAGGCTGGTCTTGAACTCCTGACCTCATGTGATCCACCCTCCTTGGCCTCCCAAAGTGCTGGGCTCACAGGCGTGAACCATGGCGCCCGGCCTATTTCACCTTTAGAGATAAAGTCTTGCCCAGGCTGGTCTCAAACTCCTGGGCTCAAGCGATCCTCCCACCTTAGCCTCCTGAGTAGGTGGAACTATAAGCGTGAGCCAATGCACCCAGATGTCCCCATTCTTTGGATGAGGAAACTGAGGGTCAGGAGGCTCCCCAGACAACTTGGCTGGAGCTAGTAGAGCTGAGATTTGAACCCTAGTATGCTGATCCTTAAGCCTCCTCTGATTCCATGCCCTTTCTCTCTGCAGCTATGAAACTGAGGGTGATGGTGAAGCTAAAATGGGTCAGGGATGAGTGGGGTGCCATGAGTAGGGGGGTGTCAGGGCCAAGCAGGGAGTCAGGTTGGGCAGGGCCTGGGGTGAAGCTCCCTTTCATGTTGTCATCCTTTTACTGAGGCCAGAGCTGCAGCTGGACCCCAGTATTTTTACCACAGGCATTTTTACCCCCACTCTGGGTCACCTCGTCCTTCCAGGTTTGGCTAACAGGTGGTTCAGTGAGAGGGTTCAGGGCGCCCTCTTGTGGCCCCTGGTGTATCAAAGTCTGGCGCCCCAGCTTGTGGGGCTGAGTTAAGACAGAACTGGGTACCGGCTGGGCTCTGGACTACAAAATTCAGGCTGGGACCCTATCCCCTATCCATGTTTCCTTGGCTCTGTCTCTGTTTCTGTCTTTGTCCATACCAGTCTCAGCCTAGTAGTCTCTTTTCCTCCCTTGATCTCTCTCATCTGTACCTCCCCAGGGGTACAGATGGCAGGCTGATGAGCTGAAGATGCAAAGAAGGGTGGCATCCTAAAAAGAACTCTAGGTTCAAAGGATGCTGACACTTGCAAGCTGAGGGAGGACAGAGGCTGGGAAGGAGGGTGTAGCCAGGGTGACCTGCAGGACTGTCCTTGCTCCCAGCTCCTGGGTGGCATGTGGGGCCTGCTGACCAGGCAGGAGCAGGGGGAGGACAGGACCCCATTTCCACAGGAATGTTTCAGGTTCTGGTTCTTAGTCCCAGGAAGGGAACTGGATTCCAGGAGAGAGGACAGGAGGATGAGGTCCACAGAAGGGCACAGGAACCATGCTTTGATGCTGAGACAACCTGTCAAGGCTCCTGTAAAGGCCCAGCCCCTAATTTCCTGCCTCTGTAGCCACCTTGTACCTCCACCACCTCCCTCCCCTCATGCTCAGAGCAGAATGTAGGCCAGGGCACCTTACAGCATCCAGAGTACTTTTATTGCCAGAATCCAGATACAGCCTGCTCAGAGCCCCATGTGGGGCCACTCAGGAACAAGGGGAGACAGATGCCAGGCATGTATGCAACAGAGAAAATCCAGCTGCACAGAAACCCTGTGGGAGAGCAGCTCAGTCCAGCGTGAAGGCGTCTTTGGGAACCCCACCTAGAGGCTGTACCCTTTTCTCGGCCTGTGGCCAGTCACCCACTTAGAGCCTACTGCCATGAAGGCAGCCCTGACTCTCCATGCCTGCTGCCACAGGGAGATCCATGGAGCACCCTGGGGCAGACAGAAAGCCCCTAGGGGGGCCTCAGGGGACCCCTGGCTCTCTCAGGGTCCCATTCAAGTTTCTGGGCTAGTCCCAGCACTAAGCTGGGTGCTGGCCAGGGTGGATAGGAGCCCCATCCTCAGCCCTGTGCTGACCCACTTGGTACTAGTGAGACCCTAGGGCAGGGTGGCAGTGTGATGGTGGGGTTAGCAAGAGGTGCAGCTCAGGGAAGCTGCGAGCAGCCTTGGCTGCTTCCTTGGATTCCCTTTCTCCATAGGTTCCCAGAAGGCCATGGCTCCAACCCCTGCTCTCATCCTTGGAACCACAGTCCCAGGGTGAAGGGAGGCAGCTTCAGTCCTGGGGCCAATAGCACATCCGAGGAAATCAGGGCCCCTGGAACACAGCCTGCGGGACTGGGGGCACATCTGCTGCCCAATCCAGAGCTTGAATGCTCCTGGTGGTAAGGGAGGTAGGAGTGGAGTGAGATGTCCCAGGGCCTGGGAACCACGAAGAACGCAACAAACTGCCCCTGCCTGCAGGAGCTACTAGGCTCGCCCAGGAAGCCAGTCAGGCTGGCCACCAGCTAAGCCACAGGGAAGCCAGCAGCTCTAGCTACCCATGACCAGTGGCAGGCCTATCTGTGGCTGGTGTGTGGGAAGGGTCACCCGAGGGGCCAGGAGCCGATCCCTGGGACCTCTGGGTACAGGACCACAGCCCAGTAACATCCCTCATAGGAAGGCTGCGGGGCCAGGGCCCAGTAGGCAAGTATGAAAAGCCCACAGGAATAGGGGGGACACATGGCCCCAGGCAGGGACTGGGACCAGGGCCCAGCCAGTCCACCCTGTGGAGCCAGTCCTAAGGTCACAGCAGTTCCACCATCAGCAGCATTCTTGCCATCCAGTGTCCCTTGAGTCTAGACTCTCATTTCTTCCTTCTTCACTGCCACAGAGAAAGGATAACAAACAGCACTTCCCCATGGCAGATGCTTCACAGTCCAAGACTCGGGGCCTTGAATGGTGAGTCACAAACTTTGCAAAACGCGTGGGCCATGACAGCCCCAGAGGCCAACAGCAGGTCCACGGCCGAGCCACAGGAGTCCTGTGGCACAGGAGTCAGGGCCCAAGGAGCACACGTTTCAGATAGGCCAGGGTGGTGGCGTTGGCCAGCATCTCGATGTGCTCGCTGCCTGGCAGCTCCTGCAGCAACACTTGGTGCTCCTGGCGGCTCTGCCAGGCCTGGCACTGCAGGGCACTCTTCAAGTTCACAGTACCATCGCCGTCACCAAAGCAGATTTTAGGGTCACGGTCAGGGAAGCTCTCATAGTAGAAGGAGTCTGGTGTGGGGACGCCAGTACCATAGAGGCAGTGCAGCTGCACGCCAGGTGGCATCGTGGCTTCCACCAGCCCTTCTGTGTCCTGCCGCATGAGCCAGCCATCTTCAAAGCCGATGTCCTGGAAGAACTTGCGGTAGTCCCGCAGTGTGTAGTTGATTGTGGGTGTCTGCACGAACACCTTCTCAGGTGACCATGTGTAGTTGTAGGGCAGCAGCCAGCTGGTGGAGACAGCTGACCGCTGCTGCTCCCGGATCTTCAGGGGCCCGATGACTGGGATCCGGTTGTTGTCTCCTGCAGGGAGAAGGCTCTGGTCAGTCTGTGCTTAGGAATGCCAGCTGGTTGGGCAGCATGTTCACCACCAGGCCCCTGCCAGACCCCAGCCAGGGGCCCAGTCCACAGTCCCGCATCTCTACCCGGTTATCATCATTGTAATCACTGTGACTCCCATCCCTGCCTTGGCTCTTTTTTTTTCTTTTTGAGACAGGGTCTCACTCTGTTGCCCAGGCTGGAGTATAATGGCATGATCACGGCTCACAGCAGCCTCAACCTCTCAGGCTCAACCAATCCTCCCGCCTCAGCCTTTGGAGTAGCTGGGACTACAGGTATGCGCCACCATGCCTCATGCCTGGCAAATTTTTCCTTTTTTTTTTTTTTGAAGTAGGGTCTCATTCTGTCACCCAGGCTGGAGTGCAGTGGTACAGTCTTGGCTCACTACAACCTCCACCTCCTGGGTTCAAGTGATCCTCCTATGTCAGCCTCCTGCATAGCTGGAACTACAAGCACGTCCCACCACGCCTGGGCTAAAAATGTTTCCACTTTTTATACAGATGGGGTCTTGCTATGTTGCCCAGTTTGCTTGCCTTGGCTTTTATTGTTTCTCTTTATTTTTGCTACATCTGGGAACCACACATCCAAGCTATGTTTTGTTTTTTTTGCTTTCCTCACCAGGGAGTAAGGCGGCACATACCCACAGGGTGATTTATGATGCTTCCTTGCCTGTAAACTCTACCATCCTCCAAGTGCTGATCAGGCCTGTGGGCACTGACCTAGTCTAAAGTGAGTCAGCAGGTTGGCAACTCGGAGATGACATGTTCTGCTTTCCCTTTTATGACACTGAACTGTGTACCAGTTTTTCTTTTCCTAAGCTCAGACCAGCGTTCAGCCAGCCGTGGCCTCATTCCACCCACTTGCATGTGCGCTGACCTGGGCAGCCAGGCGTGCTGGAGACAGGGCACGAGGGGAGGCTGCAGATGGAGGCGGAGTCCCTATACACAGGAATGTGAACAACACAAACACCCGGCAGTCAGGGAGGCCTCCAGGAAGTAAAAGCTGCAACTTGGGAACAGGGGCCTCTGGCCTGTTCAGGATCCATGGTCACCCATCACCCCACCCTGTATCTGAAAGCAGGGAGGCCTCTCAGACTGACTGTAGGGCCTCAGCTCTGCCTGCTGTGGCCTGGCTGGGGGACCCCTGAGGCAAGGAAAGCCCCTAGGGGTGCACGGACTTCCACCTCCCCGCACCACACACCCAGTCCTGGACTGCCAAGGCAGGACAGAACAGCTTCCCAGCCTTTGAAACAAAGCTCTAAGGGGACTCACAGAGAAACTCTGAAAGGGGCCGGGGCTACCTGTCTAAACTCAGGGTATGCCCACATCCGTCCCTCCAGGCCCAGGCTAGACCGAAGTGGTGGCTATAATGAGTCCTCACTAAATCTGAGTGTCTTCCAGCCAACTCAGAGTCACTGGGCCTGACCCAATCACAATGCCAGTAGACCAAGCAGGTCAAGCAGTGGCAGGCACTTGAGCTCATGAGATGCTTGGCACAGCCCTGGCTCATAGCTCCCAAAGTGAGGGTCCATAAGCCTCCCCCAAGTCCTAGCAGAGGGAGGAAAGCTCCCTTCTAGAGGAAGAAGCTCTACTCTACAGCTGCAGCTGGTGAGCTGCAACAGTCATGAAAAGACGGGGGAGGAGCCATAAAAGGGGTGGCTTTCCCAATTGCCAGGCAAGCAGGCCCAGCCAGATCTGCACCTGCTTCCTCCCTGTGTTGCCTACAGAGGCTCCGTGCTGCCCACAGATGGAGGCGCAACTCATAAATAAAAAACTGTAGTCTAGAGGCCAGGTGCAGTGGCTCATCCTTGTAATCCCAGAACTTTGGGAGGTCAAGGTGGGCAGATCATTTGAGGTCAGGAGTTCAAGACCAGCCTGACCAAAATGGTGAAACCCCATCTCTACTAAAAATACAAAAAAATCTGGCCGGGTGCGGTGGTTCATGCTTGTAATCCCAGCACTTTGGGAGGCTGAGGCAGGCAGATCCTCCTGACTTGAGGTCAGGAGTTAGAGACTAGCCCGGCCAACATAGTGAAACCCAGTCTCTACTAAAAATACAAAAATTAGCCGGGTGTGGTGGTACGCGCCTGTAGTCCCAGTTACCCGGGAGGCTGAGGCAGGAGAATCACTTGAACCTGGAAGGTGGAGGTTGCATGAACCAAAATCACGCTACTGCACTCCAACCTGGATGGCAGAGTGAGAAAGACCCTGCCTCCAAAAAAAAAAAAAAAATGCTCTAGCCTTCCTCCTCTGCGGTGAAGGTGGGGATGAAGAAGTAAGGATGGGGTAAGAGGGAGGGATGGCCAGGCACAGTGGCTCACACTTGTAATCCCAGCACTTTGGGAGGCCGAAGCGAGTGGAACATCTGAGGTCAGGAGTTCAAGACCAGCCTGGCCAACATGATGAAACCTCATCTCTACTAAAACACAAAACTTAGCCAGGCATGGTGGCGGGCACCTGTAATCCCAGCTACTCAGGAGGCTGAGGCAGAATCGCTTGAACCCGGGAGGCAGAGGTTGCAGTGAGACAAGATTGCACCACTGCATTCCAGTCTGGGTGACAGAACCAGACTCTGTCTCAAAAAATAAAAATTAAAAAAAAAACAGGGCTGACCCAAGAGAATAGTCATTGTGGAGACCAAAGCAACTCCATTTTGGATACTAATCCACCATGTTGGCTTCTGATTAACCCCAGATCCAGGAAGGCCACTGAGATTTCCACTTTATCTACTGTTTCTTGTGCACGTACTTAACCATAAATCAAAACAGCCTCTGTGTTATCATCCTTCAATGTTCAACACATCGCATCGGAGTCGCCCTTTCCCTACAGAATATAAGCTCTGGGTCTGGGGGCTAATAGTGTGGGGATCCACCATCTTGTCTTGCCCCCACCTGAGACACAGATGTGGCTTCTATTCGTATGTCCCTATTAAATGCTTTTCTCTGAGAAACTAGATTTGTCAGCCTCTTTCTTCTTTGGACTTTTAGGGGTAGATTTGCATAGACCCCACACACCGTGGGACAGACACGAGGCATGCTGGCCCAGGAGGACACTTAGGAAGGGAAGAGAGGGCAGAATTCCTGGCAACAGCCCCCCACGCTGGGCCAGGTAGGGTCTTACCTGAAGCCAGGACGCGCAGGGTCTTGGCCACGCCCCCCCAGGGCGCACCCAGTGACACGAAGGCCCGGATATACTTGTCCTTCCAGGCCTGCGGCTGCCGCTGCAGAAAGTAGAGCGTGTACATGTTGCCCATACTGTGGGCAACCAGCACCACGGGGCCCCCATACAGCTGGTACATCTCCTCGATCATCTCGCGGAGGGCCAGGAAGTAGGGCCCGTTTTCATCTGCAGGCCAGAGCCAGGCAGGGGTCAGGTGGGAAGGGTCCTGGAGCCGGAACCACTGAGCTTTTCTCAGGCCAGACACAAGACGAGAGGGGGAGGGGAGGGTGCTCACATTCAAACAGAGCGGTCTGGGTCCCCCCGCCTTCCATGAAGGGAGGAAGCCTTATATTTCTCCCCAGGGCTCACAGGCCCAGAGGTCCCAGGGTGGGAAATGGAGGACAGGATAAGACTGACCAAAGGTGGTGGCTGTGACCACTAGACTGGATGCCAGAGGCCCAGGGACAGGAGACAGCCAAGGACAAGGGGAGAGCCCAAGGTCTGTGGTGCCCATGATCACCTCACCCCTACCTCCCGAGACGTCAGGGAGGGAATGAGAGTGCCTGCTTACTTGGGGCTCGGCGCCAGTCATAGGGAGCCCCTCGGACATCCTCACCCCGTGTGTAGCCCCAGCCCACAAGGCTCTCCACCATGGTGTGGAAATAGGAACCTGTAGACAGAAATACAGAGGATAAGAAAAGATACAGCTAGTGCCGGCCACCTACACTATGCCCAGCATGGAGACTGTGACAGCTAGCAGGTCCTTGGAAGAATGCTACAGGGCTCTGTGCCCACGCTGATCAGAGACAGCTCACAGGCTGTCCCTACAAACCAGCAGAGTTCCTCCAGCTCCAGCTCCAGTCCGGCAGAAACCCCATCCCAGCTCCCGGAGGCCTTGAGTAAGGGCTACATACCCACGCTGCTTTTGCTGGGGTCCAGGAACTCCAGTGAGAAGGTCTTCCCAAAGCCAGGGACACGTACATCCACACCATCAGGAAACTGGGTGGCCCTGGATGTTTTGTTGTAAACCAGCCTGTTGTGAGAGGATATTGAGCCAGTGACCCGGAGGGGACACTGAGCTTGGTGTGTCCCAACAGTGCATCATGTCCTGAGTCATACTCCCTTCTCATGCCCAGGTTTGGTCAGATGGATAGGAGAGACCGAAAAGTAACAAAGCAGGTTGATAAAGCACAGATCACCTGTAATCCCAGCACTTAGGGAGGCTGAGGTGGGAGGATCACTTGAGGTCAGGAGTTTGAAACCAGCCTGGCCAATATGGTGAAACCCTGTCTCTACTAAAAATACAAAAATTGCCCAGGTGCAGTGGCTCACGCCTGTTAATCCCAGCACTTTGGGAGGCTGAGGCTGGCAGGTCACCTGAGTGAGGAGTTTGAGACCAGCCTGACAAACATGGCGAAACCCCATCTCTACTAAAGATACAAAATCAGCCGGGTGTCGTGGGAGGCGACTGTAATCCCAGCTACTCAGGAGGCTGAGGCAGGAGAATCGCTTGAACCTGTGACACGGAGGTTGTAGTGAGCTGAGATCACACCACTGCACTCCAGCCTGGGCGACAGAGCAAGACTCTGTCTCAAAAAAATAAATAAATAAATAAATAAATAAATAAATAAATAAATAAAAATAAAAAGCACAGATCAGAGTAATTACATCCAAATGAGGACCCCACCAAGGCATACTTACTCCAAATACTGACCCCAGGACCCCTGTCAAAGCAACATTCCCCTCTCCCCCGTGACCCTACTCTAGAATGAGGGTCTTGGACCTGGTTGGGAGAAGGAAGTACCAGTCCTGATTCTGCCGTGAACTTCACACTGGACCCCAAGAGGCAGTCTACCCTCTTTCAGCTTTCCATCGCTCCATCTCCTTGCATCCAGCTCCTGCCAGCCCAACGTATCCCAGGTGAAGGAGGTGGTGAGTGCAGTACACAACAGAACCAGACAGGGGCCGGGTGCAGTGGCTGACACCTGTAGTTCCAACAATTTGCAAGGCCAAGGTGGGAGGAATGCTTGAGGCCAGGAGTTCAAGGCCAGCCTGGGCAATACAGTGAGGCCTTGTTGCTACTAAAAATAAAAAATTAGCCAGGCATGGTGGTGCAGGCCTGTGGTCCCAGCTACTTGGAAGGCTGAGGCAGGAGGATGACTTGCACCTGGGATATTGAGGCTGCAGTGAGCCGTGATCATGCCACTGCACACCAGCCTGGGCAGCAAAGTAAGACCCTGTCTCAAAAAAAAAAAAAAAACAAAACAAAACACACTAGGCCAGGCACAGGGGCTCACGCCTATAATCTCAGCACTTTGGAAGGCTGAGGCACGTGGATCACTTGAGGTTAGGAGTTCGAGACCAGCCTGGCCAACAGGGTGAAACCCCATCTCTACTAAAAACACAAAAATTAACCAGGCATGGTGACGTGTACCTGTAATCCCAGTTATCCGGAGTCTGAGGCAGGAGAAGTGCTTGAGCCTGGGAGGCAGAGGTGTAGTGAGCCGAGATTGCGCCACTGCACTCCAGCCTGGGCAATAAGAGCGAAACTCTGTCTCAAAAAAACAAACAAACAAACAAAAACAAACCCTAGAAAGGCACCATGCCTCAGGGCTGCTGTATGGGTGGGTAGGCAGGTAGGAGAAGGAGCAAGGCCCAGAGAAATGATGGGAGCTGGTGGGGAGAGACAGGAGGAAGGCCTTGTGTGGCCCCAGGTAGGTATAATTGGGTCCCGCTTCCTCTGCGCATTGGACACAGCAGCCAGCCAACCTCCAAACACATCCTCCATGGAGGAAGGGAATGAACCATGCTCCTATGACCTCCCAGTACCCCAGGGCTGTATCAACTGTCAGACTGCAGCCACAAGGCTCAGGGCTTGCCCAGCAAATTCCTAAGCGCCATGACATAGGACATGGACCACCAGCTACTGACTTAAGATCCCTAACAGCCCTTTCTTACTTTTCTTTCTTCTTCTTTTTTGAGACAGGGTCTCACTCTGTTGCCCAGGCTGCAGCACAGTGAGGAGATCATAGCTCACTGTAGCCATAACCTCCTGGGCTCAAGTGATCCTCTTACCTCACCCTCCTGAACAGCTAGGCAGGCACCACCAGGTCTGGCTAATTTATTTATTTATTTGTTTATTTATTTTGTAGGGACAGGGCCACACTATGTGCTCATGCTGGTCTCAAACTCCTGGGCTCAAGCGATCCTCCTGCCTTAGCCTCCCAAAGTGCTGGGATTATAGGTGTGAGCCACTGCACCCAGCCTATTAGTTTTCTAGAACTGTGTAATAAATTACCACAGACTCAGCAGCTTCTAACACCACACACGTGATCTCATAGTTTCTGTAGCTGCAGTGCCAAACAGAACCAGACAGGACAGACCCCGCCTCAGGGCTCAGTACACAGCTGCTGCACCATCTCCTGTGGGAAGAGGGTTGTCAAGGCCTGAAGAAATGATGGGAACAGGGTGATGGGCCAGGGGAGACACCTTATACCAGGAGAAAAGCCTTGTGCCTCTGTGCGAGGCTGGGAACCTTGCTCTGGCCTCGCCACACACTGAAGAAGCAAATGTGCCCCCAAAACACAGGAACCTGGAGTTTCTGGTGGTCCTGAGTCCCACTTGCCCACTTAGATATCAGCCACTGAAGCTGACAGGATCCCCACAACTGACCCAGATAACAGGTCCTGGAGGCCCATTCTCTCCAGGGCAATTTGTAGATTATCCCAATGACCACATAGCAAAGTAGCTTGTTGCTACTAAAAATAAATTATCAAACAGCAAAATGCAGAAAACTGTTCTGGAAAGCCAAAGCAGTTCTGCGCTGGGTGAAAATCTAAACGGGTCAGAGAAGCAGTGAAGGCAGACAGGCCCCTCTTGGTATCAGCTGGCACCTCCAACTGGCAGCACCTGAGGCTGTGTCCCCAGTATAAAAATAGAAATGCACATCAACAGCCCAGAAATAACCCCAGTCACACAACACACAGAGGAGGAAGGAGTCATCAAAATGGGCATCACAAACAGCCGGCAGGCCAGGGCACCTGGAGGAGCAGCTAGCGGGTCTCTGGGAAAAACTTTTTTTTTTTTTTTTTTTTGAGACAGTCTCGCTCTGTCACCCAGGCTAGAGTGCAGTGCCCCCATCTCTGCTCACTGCAACCTCTGCCTCCCAGGTTCAAGTGATTCTCCTGTCTCAGCCTCCCGAGTAGCTGGGATCATGGGCGTGTGCCACCACGCCCGGCTCATTTTTGTATTTTTGTATTTTCTTTTTTTTGAGATGGAGTCTTGTACTGTCACCTGGGCTGGAGTACAATGGCACGATCTCAGCTCACTGCAACTTCCACCACCCAGGTTCAAGCGTTTCTCCTGCCTCAGACTCCTGACTAGCTGGGATTACAGGCGTGAGCCACCATGCCCGGCCTTAATTTTTGCATTTTTAGTAGAGACAGGGTTTCACTGTGTTGGCCGGGCTAGTCTCGAACTCCTGACCTCATGATCTGTCCACCTCAGCCTCCCAAAGTGCTGGGATTACAGGCATGAGCCACCGCACCCGACCAGGAAAAACTTTTAATTTGGGAGACTCCATTCAGCTCAAACATTTATCAGGCGCCAACTGTGTTTCTGGTTCTACTGCTATAAGGATAAAACAGACACACACTCCCTCCCTTCACGGAACTCAGCCTGGGAGGGAACCTCAGCTCAACGCCACACATTCTGGATTTGAATTCTGATTCTACCACTTATTAGCTGAGTGAGCACAGTCAATTTTGTAACCTCATTGAGCCTCCAGATTTCGCAGTTGTAAAGCAGGTTTAAAAACCACCTGTTGGCAAGTAACACTGGTGAAAAAAAAAAAAAGAAAACAGCACCTATTTCAAAACGGGGTTGCTGTAAGACTAACTGAAAGAAAGTATATAAAATGTACAGTGCCTGTGCAATTTGGGCAAACATGCCTGCAGACAAATTCGGGCACATGATGATGTTTAGAGGAAGCAAGCATGGGGCCTGGGAGGAGAGGCAAACCGCTCTGGGGAGTCAAAAGGGACATGTCACAAAGGGACCAGGGTCAGGTTTTTGTTGTTTTGAGACAGGGTCTTGCTCTGCAACCCAGGCTGGGTACAGTGGTCTGCTCACTGCAACCTCTGCTTCCCTGGCTCAAGCAATTCTCCTGCCTCAGCCCCCTAAGTAGCTGGGACTACAGGTGCATGCCACCATGCCCAGCTAATTTTTTTGTATTTTTGGTAGAGATGGGGTTTCACCAAGTTGCCCAGGCTGGTCTTCAACTCCTGAGCTCAGGTGATCTGACTGCCTCAGCCTCCCAAAGTGATGGGATTATAGCAGAGCCACCATGCCTGGCCTAGGGTCATGTTTTAAAGAGTGAATGGGGCTGGGTGTGGTGGCTCACGCCTGTAATCCCAGCACTTTGGGAGGCTGAGGCAGGCGGATCACAAGGTCAGTAGATGGAGACCATCCTGGTTAACACGGTGAAACCCTGTCTCTACTAAAAAATACAAAAAATTAGCCGGGCACTGTGGCGGGCGCCTGTGGTCCCAGCTACTTGGGAGGCTGAGGCAGAAGAATGGCGTGAACCCGGGAGGCGGAGCTTGCAGTGAGCCGAGATAGCGCCACTGCACCCAGCCTGGGCGACAGAGCAAGACTCTGTCTCAAAAAATAAAAGTTAAAAAAAAAAAAAAGAGTTGTGAGCCGAGATCGCGCCATTGCACTCCAGCCTGGGCAATAAGAGCAAAACTCCGTCTCCAAAAAAAAAAAAAAAAAAAAAAGTGAATGGAAGCCATTTATCAGGCAAAGGGTGTAGAAATAGATTCCAGGCCAAAAGAACAGCAGGTACAAAGACATGGCATGTCCCAAGAAGAATAAGCAGCTGGAGAGGTAGGGGAGGCCGAGGCACAGACAAGGAAAGGGGTGGGGGCCATGCCGAGGCTCTGAATAGGGGCTGGGACACAGAAATTTTGTGTAGGCAGGCGTAGTGGCTCATGCCTGTAATCCCAGCACTTTGGGAGTCCAAGGTGGGCAGAACACTTGAGCTCAGGAGTTCAAGACCAGCATGGCCAACATGGTGAAACACCATCTCCACTAAAAATACAAAAAATTAGCCAGGCATGGTGGCGGGCACCTGTAATCCCAGCTACTTGGGAGGCTGAGGCACAAGAATCGCTTGAACCTGGGAGACGGAGGTTGCAGTGAGCTGAGATGGCGCCAGCCTGAGTGACACAGCAAGACTCCATCCCAAAATAAAAGAAAAAAAAAATTGTGTGTAGGCATGAGAGGCCAGGACTGGAGAGTAGAGGAACAAGGGCAGCAGGAAGGGAAAGTTAGTTCTGCCTGGGAGTGCAGAGGTGGTGCCAACCAGACCAGACCAGACCAGACCGAGGACCTGGGGAAGGAGAGAGGTCAGTGACCTCGAGATGAGGATAGAAGGAACAGACTCTGGAGGCCTCTCAGGCACTGTTGGTGAGCAGCACCCCCCTCTGTGTGCCCCAGCCCCCACCTGATATTGTCAATCCAGCAGTCAATGATGACAGGCAGCAGCAGTTCCAGGTTCAGCCAGATTGTGAAGTAGCTTTCGGTCTTCTTGGAGCAGAGGTAGTGCACCACTGTCGGCTTGTCCAGCTTGGCTTCCAGTTGGTTACCCAAATCACCAGGGACTGCAGGGGGCACAGGACATGTGTGAGCCCTCAGCCCGGCAGGTTCAAGACTCCCAAGAACTTTGATGTCTGCAGCAGACCCCCTGAAGAGCCACAGATAATATGGCAGACCTGTGCAGTTCCACATCTCAAATTAAAGCACAGTGCTGGTGGCAGGAAATTCAGAGAGCAGGGACCTTGACCCAAAGGCCAGGGAACCATCTTTGTGCAGAAAAGCTGCTACTGCTGTGTGGTGCAGAGATGCCTGTGGGGGGCTTGGGAGAGGCCTGACATGTTTGGGGAAGGGCCCTAACATTGTCTCCAACTCCAGATAAAGTAAGTCTCCTGGATTTTCACTGGAACATCCTCCTGGGCCATTCAGATTATTGGAAGGGGGTTCAGGGTGAAGTCACTCCCCACACTAGGCCTCAGTTTCCGTATCTGTTAAATGAGATCTTGGTCTGAATCACCCCCAGCAAACACAGACACACCTCTACACATGGTTTCTATGGTTAATGGACCCCGATGGGAGCTCTGCCTGGGAGGAGGGGCTTGGAGACCCCTTTGCATTCCAGAACCTCCAAAGTTTGGCCAAGGCCCTTGTCATTAGATATATACCTTCGAGGCAGGGCGCAGGGGCTCATGCCTGTAATCCCAGCACTTTGGGAGGCCGAGGTGAGTGGATCACTTGCGGTCAGGAGTTCAAGACCAGCTTGGCCAATATGGTGAAAGCCCATCTCTACTAAAAATACAAAAAATTACCTTGGTGTGGTGGCACACACCTGTAATCCCAGCTACTCAGGAGCCTAAGACAGGAGAATTGCTTGAACCCGGGAGGCAGAGGTTGCAGTGAGCCAAAATCGTGCCATTGCCCTCCAGCCTGGGTGACAGAGCAAGACCCGGTCTCAAAAAAAAAAAAAGATATATACCCTGGAGGCTTGAACCCAAAAGTCTTCCACCCATAGCTATCCCAGGCTACATAGAAGACAGGGTCCTGTTCGCCCTGAGAGAGGAAGAAGGAAACAGAACAGAGCCCTGGGCCACTCAGCTAAAATTCAACCAGACAAAGTATGCAGGACAGGCTGGTGGGAGGGAAATGAACAGAAACACAGCTGAGAGAAGCTTACATTGGCACCCGCCAGCCTACCAAGGGCCCAGGCCTTACTAAAGGCCAGAGTCCAGTAAGGTGCCAGAGAGCAGATCATCTGGAGGGCCCTAGCATGGCTGGGAGCCCGTATTGGAAACAGCCACCCTGAACCAGCACCATTATCACCACAGTCCAGGCCCTAGGGTGACTTCTCTCCATCCCAGCCATCCTATTCAGTGTACTCAGAACTCTGGGGCCCTGGTGACACCCAAATCCCTCCCCACTGCGTCAAAGCCCTTCACAGTCTCGTTACTCCCATTGACCTTTCGGGCCTCACCTGCCCCCACATGCCATGCTCTCGCCACTTCCCAAACACATCCCCGTTTAGGGTCCATGATCATTGAGTGAAAAACCAGCACTTGGCTCTCCTGGACATTCACTGGGAACTGACCGTAAATCCACCCTGAACAGGGCGTGCCCTCCCTGGGCACCATCCCAGTGTCTTCAGGGTGCCATGAGAGGCAGGGGCGGCACATGCCTTCACCTCCCTTCATGGTATGGGTGCAGAGGGAGGGAGTCCCTGTCATGACAGCCTCTGGATGACATGCCTGTGGACTGGGCAGGGCAGGGCAGAGACCCTGGTCACTGTCTCTACCAAAGGGGAAATGGTAAAAGAGGAAGTCACCAGATCTGCTTTGCTCAGATGCTCCTTACCCTGGTCAGGCTGTGTGGCCCCTAAAAATAGCAGTGGCCACTTCCTGAGCCCATCTGCGCCTGGAACTAGGAAAAGAGCCATCCACATGCCTTTCACCTCAAGTAACACTGGGAGGGGACAGCCTTACTATTTCCACTTAACAGATGGGGAGACTGAGGCTGCAAGAGGTGGAAATGGCCTTGCCTATGGTCCCTTCCCCTTGCCCAGGGTCTTCTGTATCACATCGCTGGTCTCTCTTTCCTCCACCACCATTTCAGGATCCACCCCTAGAGGATTCTGATCTTCTGACAGTCAAGGTCAGATCCCTGCTCTGTGCCCAGGAGCTGCTTATCCAACTGCCCACCGTGAGGTCTCCCAGGGCTAAGGCCAGCAGCCTCACTCCCTGAGAAGCTGGGCATGTTAGGACTCCTGCTGCTCTGTGATTCTGGGTGGGGTCTGAGGCTCTTCTGCTGTGACCAAGGATAAACAGACTGACTGAATTGATGAGTGCGGTTAGCATCAATCCAGGCAAAATGGCTATGTGCCATTTTGTGTGCCACAGACCACATGCTTCCTAATGCCACGCCCCTCAGACTTAGAACTCTGCAGGCCAACCCAGGACTCCCTGAGGCCCTCAAGATAAAGTTCAGATGACCCAACCAGTCACAAGTCCTGTGCAGTCCACTCCTCCTGTGACTCGATCCCAGGCAGCCTGAGATGCTCACGTCTCTCCCCGACCCATTACTCTCTCCTGGCCTTAGCTCCAGCTATATACTCCAGGAAGCCTTACTTGACACCCACCCATCCAGGCTGGGTTGGTGGATTCTCTGTGCTTGCCC
Source organism: Homo sapiens (assembly GCF_000001405.40). Taxonomy (NCBI): domain Eukaryota; kingdom Metazoa; phylum Chordata; class Mammalia; order Primates; family Hominidae; genus Homo; species Homo sapiens. The sequence continues at coordinate 68,246,690 of NC_000016.10, read as the reverse complement.
CACACAGACTTCCTCTCTGGGGATCACTGTTATTCCTATCCTGCAAGCTTTGGGGAGGCAGGGCCAAGTCTGCCCAAATCCCATGGTGAACCTGGGCCTAGTATCCCCCTGGAGCTTTTCCTGGCTGGGAACTCCTGGTGGGGCCTGCCTGGCACCACCCTACCTGCCAACTCTACCCTTCTGTGATTTGCATCGTCCCCATTTAAAGTACTCTCAGCAGAAAGAGCATGGAGATCATGCTGCACTAGACTCCACGTGTAATTCATGCCTCAGATGCCTCTGCTTTCAGGAATCCTGGCTGGCCACGGACACACCAGCTCTGGATGGGAGTGACGGCCTCAATGAGGCACCCAAGGCCCCCCAGACAGAGGTCTCATCCCTGCCCATCCCTGCAAGGAAATACAGTGGCCGTTGTAGAGTTGCCAGGGTTGTGATCAAGGAGCGGGGTGAGCAGGGGAGGTCACCGAGCCTCCACATAGTCTAGTCCAAGCATGTGTGGCAGGGTAAGAGTACAAGCATGTTGCCTGACACAGGTTCATGGCCATTGTCCCAACCCTTTCCCCTGACTTCAGTTGTCTTCAGTTTCCCTTAGGCCTTTTCCCTCAGGCAATGCCACACATCTGATAAGTTGTGGGAGTTGGTGGCCAGCTAGGACAGCAATCCTTTCCCTAAGGAGGTTCCTTTCAGCAATGCCTTCTGGCATATGTGGCATTGGAGGGGTCGAGGGTGACAGCCTCCTAACCAGGCCCAGGTCGATGCAGAAGTCAACTCAGGAGCCACTCTACACACCCCCACCATCCCTCAGGAGTGGGGCTGAAGCACCTGTCTTTCCAGCTTAAAAATGGGATAAGGGGAGGCAAGGCTTGGGAATGATGCGGACAGGTGGAACTATGAATAACCAGATGGTAACTCTCCCACTCACCCCCATTTTCTACCAGGACAGGAGGTGGGGAGCTGACCACACCCGCGCCCAGCATGGCGGGAGGTGAGCCGGCAGATCTAGATCACCTAAGTGACAAGACAGATACCAATACGCTCCCCCATTTCGTGACTGGAACAGAAGCAGACCGGGAAGGCAGCCCCGCCCGCGGCCCGTCCCGCCCGACCGACAGATCCACCACGAGACCCGTGCCTCACCCAGCACCACTGGGGGGTGACGTCCGGCCGGGAGCGCTGGGTCCGCGAGCAGCATTAGCAGCAGCAAGAGGAACAGGAGGCCATCCGGGAGCAGCCCCACACGGTAGGGGCGGAGGTGGAGGCCCATGGTGTACGACGGTCGCCGCAGGTCCGGGATGCAGGTTCAGCTCTCTGGGCTCTCGCCTAGGCGGGGGCGGTGGCGACGCGCTTAACCCCGCCGCCCGCATCCCCCGCATCCCCCCGGCCAATCAGGGCCCGCCTCCCGCAAATGGCTGGCCAATAGGGACTCGCCGCCATATACGCCCCTCCCAGTCGGAGGTCGCCGCCCCGCCCTTGCCCAACCCCCTGCTTCCTGGACCACGCTGAGCGCCGAGCGCATCGATGGATCGAGGTATCGCCTGGCTCCGGGCTGTCAGTCGCCCACCCGGGAACCCAGCTCGCCGCTGCTGTACCCCGCCCAGCCCTGGGTACCCGAAATCCACGCTGCGCAGCTCTCACTTGGCGACCCCCTGACCTGGAGGATCTGGAACGGACAAGACCGGGAGAGGATAAGGGGTGCAGCGCTGGCCGCTGCTGAGCGACCCCGGTTAAAGCAAGAAGAGAGGAAGTGAGTCCCGGACAGTTCTTGGGCCTCAGGTGACCAGGAGCTGACCAGGACCTTTGTGCAGCCCCCACACCAATTCTTAGCACACCCTGCCCCGAGGGCACCTGGGTGCGGCCAGTCAGCCCCTGTAACTCTGCCCCGGGGTTACAGATGCGGGGGGAACCGGGAGAGGCCAGGTCAGCATGTTCAGTTCCCAAGAGAGGGGTTAATCTGTTCGTTTTAGGGGCGCAGAGTGCAGCGTCACCCCGCCAGTCCGGGCAGTTCGGGCGCGGGGTTGGGAGTGGGCTTGAGTCTCGACCCTGCGCCATGGGCCATCTGCAAGTTCCCCTGCAGAGCAGGAGAGGCATCGGGAGCTCGTGGTCCCCCTCCACTCTCGCAAACCTGGGGAACCAGAGAGGACATGGACTCCCTGCGCCAGGAAGCAGGGGCGAACAGAGTGGGCAAAGACCTGACAGCTGGTTATATGCCAGCACCATAGGTCACTGTGGGATAGAGGGACGAGAGTATTTGGGAAATAGAGGTCTTGATCCTCCACACACCCACCCCTTCGAAGGGGCAGCTGCACCCTGGTCATCCCACCTGGTCCCAAGAAATTTGTCCTGCCCCTTCCTTCCTTCTTCTTGGTAAGCAGCTGACCTGGCTATGAAGCCACTATCTTGCCCTGCCCTTCTCGAGTTCTTATAGTGAAACATGTTGGTGACTGGGCTACCACCACCCTCCCTCTTTCTTTTTTCTTTTTCTTTTTCTTTTTTTTTTTTTTTTTGAGACAGAGTTTCGCTCTTGTTGCCCAGGCTGGAGTGCAATGGTGCAATCTTGGCTCACCGTAACCTCCGTCTCCCGGATTCAAGCAATTCTCCTGCCTCAGCCTCCCGAGTAGCTGGGATTGCAGGCATGCGCCACCACCCTGGCTAATTTTGTATTTTTAGTAGAGACGGGGTTTCTCCATGTTAGTCAGGCTGGTCTTGAACTCCCAACCTCAGGTGATCCACCTGCCTCGGCCTCCCAAAGTGCTGGGATTACAGGCGTGAGCTACTGTGCCCGGCCCCTTTTTCTTTTCTTTCCTTTTTTTTTTTTTTTTTTTTTTTTTTTTGAGAAAGGGTCTCTCTGTCACCCAAGTGCAGTAGCACAATCACGGCTCACTGCATCCTTGACCTCTCAGGCTCAAGCAATCCTTCCCACCTCAGCCTCCTGAGTAGCTGGGACTACAAGTGTACACCTCCAAGCTCAGCTAGTTTTTTATTTTTTGTAGAGTTGGGGTCTCACTATGTTGCCCAGGCCAGTCTTGAACTCCTGGCCTTAAGTGATCCACCTGCCTCAGCCTCCCAAAGTGCTGAGATTACAGATGTGTGCCACTGTGACCAGCCCCACCCTCTCTTAAGGTCCAGCCATCTCCCGCTAAGGCCCTGGCTCAGAACTCCCACTCCCAAAGCCCCTGCCTCCCCCACCTTCACCCGTGACCCAACAGAAGATCAGTGAAGACCCATCTGGTGAAAACCCAGCGTGGGAGACCAGAGACTCTTCTGCAGGCCTAGGGACGGGCAGAAGTCCAGTCAAAGGTTATGTGGAGGAAGAGAAGGATCAAGAGGTGCTGGGCCACCTTGGACTCTGGCCACAGTCTAAATGTCTTGCCAGCCCAGCAGCATCCGGTGACCATGGGCCCCTGGAAGGGTAGCCCTGTCCTCAAGAGGGGTTCCTTGGTGCTTCAACCCCACAGGCCCTGCATGTGTTAGGAACCACAGCCATTAGGGGCAGGATGGCAAGGCCTGGTCAGCAATGACCCATGCTGGCACTGTGGAGAAGGGTCAGAAAGTGAGGGTCCTCCCTTTTCACAATGACTCTGCCATCCACCTGATCCCCCAGGCTGCAGACTTGGCATCATCCTGAGCTCTGGATGCTTCCATGCTTCTCAGAACCACAACTCAGGTGGTCATAAGGGCTTGCCAGCTCTACACTCCCCAAACCACACTACCCTATTCCCACAACAGCCTCGTCACTGATGTCCCAATGCACGCCCTCGTTCCTGTGGGTCGTTCTCCACATGCCAGGCTGACACCTTTTTTTTTTTTTTTTTGAGACAGAGTTTTGCTCTGTCACCCAGGCTGGAGAGCAGTGGCGTGATCCCGGCTCACTGCAACCTCTGCCTCCTGGGTTCAAGCGATTCTCCTGCCTCAGCCTCCTGAATAGCTGGGATTACAGGCACCCGCCACCACGCCCAGCTGATTTTTGTATTTTTTAGTAGAGACGGGATTTCGCCATGTTGGCCAGGCTGGTCTTGAACTCCTGACCTCAGGTGATCCACCCACCTAGGTCTCCCAAAGTGCTGGGATTACAGGTATGAGCCATCACACCCGGCCCTGATTTTTTTTTTTTAATATTGCTCAAATTACTATCTCAAATTGTATGGTTTGCCCTACAAACCATAAATTCTCATTAGATGGGTTTTATTTAATCCTATATATCGGAACTTACTTTGCAATCTGACTCTGGCATAACATTAGGTGACAAGAAAGTCAAAATATTCCAAAACAATGTTTCTTTGCCATACTTGGAAATGGTCCTGCAAAACTGTCCTTTGTGGAGGAAATTTTGCATCTGTAAAGAATCTCTATTAACATAGCTAGATTTTCTTCCAGGCCCTCCCAAACCTGAAGAGATTAAGAGTTTAGCACCTTTCACAGGTCTGAATAGGGCCGGGCACAGTGGTTCACGCCTGTAATCCCAACACTTTGGGAGGCCGAGGTGGGTGGATCCCCTGAGGTCAGGAGTTTGAGACTAGCCTAGCCAATAAGGCGAAACCCATCTCTATAAAAATAGAAAAATTAGCTGGCCGTGGTGGCGGGCACATGTAGTCCCAGCTACTCGGGAGGCTGAGGCAGGAGAATCACTTGAACCCGGGAGGCGGAGGTTGCAGTGAGCCAAGATCATGTCACTGCACTCCAGCCTGGGAGACAGAGCAAGACTCCATCCAAAAAAAGCGTCCAGGCTGGGCATGGTGGCTCACACCTGTAATCCCAGCACTTTGGGAGGCCGAGGCGGGCGGATCATGAGGTCAGGAGATCGAGACCATCCTGGCTAACACAATGAAACCCTGTCTCCACTAAAAATACGAAAAATTAGCCAGGCGTGGTGGCAGGTGCCTGTAGTCCCAGCTACTCGGGAGGCTGAGGCAGGAGAATGGCGTGAACCTGGGAGGCGGAGCTTGCAGCGAGCCGAGATCGCGCCACTGCATGCTAGCCTGGGTGACAGAACGAGACTCTTGTCTCAAAAAAAAAAAAAAAGTGTCCAAATATTTTACAGAGTTTGACTCTTTTCATCAACAGAATAAATCCAGAGACTTAGGAGCCAGTCTAGTTGTGCTATCTTCCTTGGGTGAGCACACAGCCAACACCCTTCGCCCCTCCTGCTACCTGGCCCTTTGCACTCCCTCTCGCTGGCCTAAGCTCCAAGCTCCCCTACCTGAACTAGGTGGATCCCAGGCTTGAGGCAACCAAACTAAGCTCAGGGCTTTCGGGCTGATTTGGTGGCCAGAGCTGAGTCCATTTAGAGGCCGGTGGAATCTCCCTAAAGCTCATGGCTCAGCAGTCCCCCATTCCTCTGCAGCCAGTCTCCCTGCAGCCCCGAGATGCCTAACACTGATCCAGCCACAACAGAACCCTGGAGGCAAAGGGCCCAGAACAGAGATCATGCCACTGCACTCCAGCCTGGGTGACAGAGGGAAACTCCGTTTCAATAAAATTTTAAAAAATAAAATATAAAATAAAAGCCCGGGCATGGTGGCTCACACCTGTAATCCTAGCACTTTGGGAGGCCGAGGTGGGCATATTGCCTGAGTTCAGAAGTTCAAGACCAGCCTGCGCAATGTGGCGAAACCCTGTCTCTACTAAAAATACAAAAAATTAGCCAGGCGTGGTGGTGTGGGCCTGTAATCTCAGCTACTTAGGAGGCTGAGGCACAAGAATCACTTGAACCTGGGAGGTGGAGGTTGCAGTGAGCCGAGATCGTGCCATTGCACTCCAGCCTGGGTGACAGAATGAGACTCTGTCTCAAAAATAAATAAAAATAAAATAAGCCTGGCGTGGTGGCTCACGCCTGTAATCCCAGCACTTTGGGAGGCAGAGGCGGGCGGATCACGAGGTCAGGAGTTCGAGACCAGGCTGACCAACATGGTGAAACCCTATCTGTACTAGAAATACAAAAATTAGCTAGGCGTGGTGTTGCGTGCCTGTAATCCCACTACTCAGGAGGCTGAGGCAGGAGAATCGCTTGAACCCGGGAGGCGGAGGTTGCAGAGAGCCAAGATCGTGCCACTGCACTCCAGCCTGGGCGACAGAGCAAGACTCTGTCTCAAAAAAATTAAAATAAAATAAAACAAAATAAAATAGGTCAGGCGCAGTGGCTCACGCCTCTAATCCCAGCACTTTGGGAGGCCGAGGCAGGCAGATCACTTGAGGTCAGGAGTTTGAGATTTGCCTGGCTAACATGGTGAAACCCCGTCTCTACTAAAAATACAAAAATTAGCCGGGCGTGGTGGCGAGCACTTGTAATCCCAGCTACTCAGGAGGCTGAGGCAGGAGAACGGCTTGAACCCGGGAGGCGGAAGTTGCAGTGGGCCGAAATCGCACCATTGCACTCCAGCCTGGGAGACGAGACCAAAACTCCGTCTCAAAATAAAATTAAAATAAAATAAAATAAAAACAAAGCCAAAGGGTATTGGCCTGATGGGGGCATCTAGGGGACCCCCTTTTCACCACTGTACTGGTGCTTTGCTCGACCTCGGGCGCACGCCCCTGCCCCCCTGGTTCTGGCAACGGAGTCAGCGCGCCCTCTGGCGGGTGCTCGGCAGCCACTCTGCACAGGTGCGGGGATCCCAACCCGGGAGGTGGGGCCCAACGCGCTGGCTAGTGGGGTGGCCCGGGACATAAGGAGGGTCGCTGAGAGCGGGGACGGGTCTGGGCAGACGAGTGTGGATCTCCGCGGTGATCCCCAGCGTCGAATCCTCTTCCACTGCGAGATCTTTCTTGGTAGCGAAGGGAAGGAGGGAGGGCGTTTTCGCACCACTCCTAGACGCCCTGGAGGTTCCAGGAGACCCGCCACGCTTCCCGCCTCCCACCCTGTATCTGCCCGGGCTTTCATGTCCCCGAGGCAACAGCGCCGGCTGCCTTTAGGAGTGCAGCCCAGGCAGGCCTGAGGGCCAAGGTGAGGGTAAAATTTCGCGAGTATGAGGCCCACGGAACCCAGTTCTTTCTTCCAAATATCTGGCACGCGGTTTTGAGAAAGGCGGCTGACCTCAGGCGGCCTGGGCCGTCGGGGCCTTGCTTACCTCTCTGCCGTACCAATCTCCTATTCATTAATTCATGAACCCCAGGGGAGCGAGGAGTGGGGTGGGGGTGGGGGACAATTTTTAGAGAAGTACAGAAATCTCAAACTACAGAAGGGACCCCTGCGGAAGGTAGAAAATCTGGAGGAAGGCCGGGAGCGGTGGCTCATGCCTGTAATCCCAACACTCTGGGAGGCCGAGGCGGGCGGATCACGAGGTCAGGAGTTCGAGACCAGCCTGTTCAATATGGGGAAATCCCATCTTTATTAAAAATACAAAAATTAACCCGGCATGGTGGCGCGCGCCTGTAGTCCCAGCTACTCGGGAGGCTGAGGCAGAGGCAGAGGCAGAGGAATCGCGTCAACCCAGGAGGCGGAGGTTGCAGTGAGCCGGGATCATGCCATTGCACTCCAGCCTGGGGGACAGAGCGAGACTCTGTCTCAAAAAAAAAAAAAAAAAAAAAAAAATTCTGGAGGAAGAGCTGGAGCCCTAGATAGAGAAGGGGTAGGGCTGGAGAGGAGGAAAGGGCACAGATGAGACCCTACTGCAAAGGCCTGTGTCTTACCATTGCTGAAATACCCTGTGGCAGAAGAAGCTAGCCTTAGACAACAGTTCATTCATTCAGTGACAGGCGTTGGGGGTAAGCCTCTATCTTCGAGGATAGGATGATGGAGCGGGGAGACAATACACGATTAATAAATCGTGTTATAAGTTGGTTAAGTTGGGGGGTTGGGGGGCAGAAAGAAGCAATGAGGGTCGGTTGGGGTCAGGAGTGTGGGTTGTTTAGTAATAATGGGGTCATCTGGAAGGACTCATCTGAAGATGAGTAAGGGATCTCAGCAAAACAGGACCCCACCCTCCTGCCCAGTATTTAAACGAATTTGGTTTTTAAAGAAGAATGCAAGGGTTGGAGCTGAGTGCACGGTAGCTCATGCCTATAATTCTAGCCCTTCGGGAGGCCGAGGTGGGCGGAGTTCGAGACCAGCCTGGTCAACATGGCGAGACCCCGTCTCTGCAAAAAATACAAAAATTAGCCAGGCGTGGTGGCTCACGCCCGTAATCCCAGCACTGGGAGACCGAGGCGGGTGGATCACCTGAGGTCAGGAGTTCGAGACCATCCAGCCTGATCAACATGGTGAAACCCCGTCTCTACTAAAAAAATACAGGCGTGGTGGTGCACGCCTGTAATCCCAGCTACTTGGGAGGCTGAGGCAGGAGAATCGCTTGAACCCAGGAGGCGGAGGTTGCAGTAAGCCGAGATCGCGCCATTGCACTCCAGTCTGGGCAACAAGAGCAAAACTCCGTCTCAAAGAAAAGAATAATAAAAATTAAAAAAATAAAATAAAATAAAAAGAATCTAAGTTGCAGGAGTTGTCTTGCTATGGGGGCAGCCGGATGGGCATCCGGGGTAGTTTAGGGGAGCCGCACTGTGCTACCAGCCCGTGCCTCAGGTTCACGACCCAGCGGCGACTTGGACACGCATAAGCGCGTCTTCCGTGGGAAAGCGCTCAGGACTGCCAGAGACGCCACAATGGAGCAGTCACCTCGCGAAGGTGGCTTCCGGGAAGAGCGGGCGTCGAGACTCAGGCTGAAGAGGAAAAAGGGCCTAGAGGCTGCACAGATGAGGTCGCCAGGAGGGGCGAGAAGGAGACCGAGTAGCGCCCAGACCTTCGGGCGGGGACGCTGTGACCCTGTGCTGTAAGAGTGGAACCCAGACAGGAGCCAAGGAGGAAGCGACGTGCTTCTGTGGAGCTTTAGGAATGCGGCGGTTAGGGCCACTGGTTTAGGGGAGTTGGCTGGAAGGGCGTGGCCGGAGGAAGGGCCGCCTCCACCAAGCGCAGGCGCCCTACCGGGCGGGAGGGGGAGGAGCGTTACTCGCGGTTGCGCCCCGCCCCGCGAACAAATATTTGACATTCCAGGCTTATCGGGAGGAGGGGCCCGAGGAGCAACGTTCTCCCTTCCCCCGCGCCTGATTCGCTTACCGCTTCCGGGGGAGGAGACGCATGGGCCAGTGCCCGGGTGGGCGGTCCGGAGATGGACAGCCGCGCACCAAGGCCCGCCTCCACCTGTAGGGAAAGTAAAGTGCTACTCGCTCGAACCCGCCGGGCGAAGGAAGCACTTCCCATGCTCTCCCTGTCGCCGTGTCCGGGCGCGAGTCATTTCCGTCCCGGGCGCCTGTTTCTTTAGCTGCCAAGTGGAGCTACGCTGAGCTCTCTCCCCCCGGGCCTCGCCCCTTTCCCGGGCATGAGCTCTGGTGATGCGCCCGGGTGCCCCGCTCTCTCCATTGTCCAGGGGCCGGGCCGCAGCACCCTCCTTGTCCGAAAGCGCGTGGTGCGGCTCCCGTCTCAGTCTCGAGTCGGGCTAGGCAACCGCGTGACTCAGTTCCCGCCACGCTGGAGCCCCCTCCTTCCTGCTGGATTATTCAGTTTCTCAGTCACTTATTCAGTTTCTCAGTCACCTCCCTGGGAGAGTTTGGGAAAGTAAGGAACGGCCGGGAAACGCGCCATAAAGGAGCCTCACCAAGCTCCACTGGGCAAAGGGAGGAATGGGAGCCCCAAATGCGGGGCTGTCAATTGGGTTGTAGGTGCGGGATGGAAAAGGGAGGATCTGCAGCCCGCATGCGCGCACACACGCTCAACGCTAGCCCCCCATCGGCCAGAGCGCTCGCAATCTCCAGGCAGCTTCTCCACCGTCCAGAAAGGGACGAAAGCAGGCAGGCCCCCACACGTGGGGTAGGAGTGAGGCTCCAGGCCCGTTCTACCCCTCTCAGCCTCGTCTAGGGTGCAGCTCTCTGCGATTTGGGGGGTTCCTTTCCCCAGCATTGAGGCCTGCCCACTCCCAACCCACAACGACCGCGCTCTGGCACTTCTCAGTGCCAGGCTAGCGCTCGGCCCTAGCATCTGCGTGGACAAGCCCTTCCCTGTGATCCCTGGTGACCACCCCACAGCTCTAACAACGCTGATGTTCCCGCCGCCCTCCCCTTTCCCAGGTGACTTCTGGTGATCCCCCTACAGGGTGATACCCGGCAACTCTCACCGCCCCCTTGACCCTTTGACTTCCATCAACCCCAGACCTGCCGTGTTGACCCCCACAGCCCCTAGACTGCCTCCTGGTGACTTCCATACTGGAGAAGGCCTCTGTCTTGCACGCTCCTTTGCAGAGGCCTGACGACCCCTGGGGAAGAGTGGGGGGAGAGCGGAAGAATGGGTTAGCCCCCAAAATCAGGCAGGACCAGCCCTGGAAGTAGGAATCCGGATCCTAAGCGTGCGCCCAGGCCGGGAGCGTGAGCTCTTGCGTCCTGGGTTGAGTTCTGGCGGCCCTCCCCCAAGGTTCCCGGAGCCGCCCCGGTCACGTGGCCGGCGGGGCCGGCAGGTAACTCGCCTGGAGAGGGCGTGGGCCGGTAGCCGCCCCGCCCCGCGGGGCGCCACGGGCGGGTCTTGGCAGCGCCCACTGAGCCAGCCGGGCCGCAGGTGCCGCCCCCGATACACGGTGTCCCGCCCAAGCTGATCCGCGTCTGCGGTCGGTCGGTGCGTGCGTGCGCCTCGTCGGTCCGCGTGTCTGGCCGAGAGCCCCCTTCCTCTGCGGCCATGACTCCGCCGCCGCCGCCGCCCCCTCCCCCGGGCCCTGACCCCGCGGCCGACCCCGCCGCGGACCCCTGCCCCTGGCCCGGATCACTGGTCGTCCTCTTCGGGGCTACGGCGGGTGCGCTGGGACGGGACCTGGGCTCGGACGAGACCGACTTAATCCTCCTAGTTTGGCAAGTGGTTGAGCCGCGGAGCCGCCAGGTAGGGTGGAAAAGAGGCGGTGAGGTCCCCAGGGAGCTTCCGGGGTCGAGGGGCGCGGCTGATCGGTTTCCCCCGCCGCTCACAGGTGGGGACGCTGCACAAATCGCTGGTTCGTGCCGAGGCGGCCGCACTGAGTACGCAGTGCCGCGAGGCGAGCGGCCTGAGCGCCGACAGCCTGGCGCGGGCAGAGCCGCTGGACAAGGTGCTGCAGCAGGTGAGCGCCGGGGTGGGTGGCGGCATGGCCTGGACGTGAGGACATTTCTGGGCGGGATTGGCGGCCGGAGGCTAGGCCTGGCGTGCCGCAACCAACCGGTCCAGGCGGCAGGACTGGGCTCTTGTTTGAAACTTTGAGCGACTCTCGCGTGTGCGTGCCCCTTTCATCCGCGCGTGCCAGCCATTCCCCTGGGCTCCTTACTTTTCAACCATTGCAGGAACCTACTCCTACCGAAGGGATCGGGACGCAGGCTTTGGGATCCATCCCCAGTTCCCGCCCGGGGAGCGAGGCCGAGACGCCTTTGGGAGACCTGCTGGGTCAGGTCTCCCTGAGCCGCAGCCGGAAGCGAAAGGGGTCGAGGGGCCCATATAGGTCACCTGTCCTTGCGGCCCGCGTCTTCGGCCTGCTTGGGAGCTGCTGGAGCGGAGGCGTAGGGCGGTGTCGGCCCTAGAGGTAGACGCCGCCAGGTGTAAACTGCTCGTCTAGGCCTGTCCCGGCCGGCTGGCCAGGCGTGGGCGCTGTCCCGGCCTGGCCTGGGGGACTATCTGCCTGCTGAGTGCAAAGGCCTGGGGTGCCTCCTGCCCTAGCTGAAGTGGGAGGTGGTTTCCATTGCTGTTTTCTTTTCCTTATCTTCACTACGGCGCTCATTCTATGTCTGACTCTTGAGTGTAATTAGTGTAAGTCCTTTTTATACACTCACGTTCTTTCATCTTCCAACAACTCTTGTGGTTCCTGATGAGGAGGCACCACGATGATGATTCCTTGTCTGTTCCAGAAGGGCTCCCGGCCCTTCACTTGGGGAGTTTGCTGGAGGAGAGCTGGGTTGCCTTGCTCTGTCAGCCCCAAGTTGTAAAGTGTCACAGAATTGGCAGGGAGGGTTCGTGGGTCACTGATTAGTGTTTATACTTCTCCAGCAAGGATGGAGGCTGGGGGAGGGCTGGGCAGCCTCAGGAGTGCCACCCCCTCTATGAGCAAACAGCTCAGTGCCAGCCGGTCAATAGGATGTGGGTCAAAGCTCATGCTGCCCCTGATGTCCAAGTGTGGAGCTCTGTCCTTGGAGTTTCTCTGCCCCTCGGTTGGTCAGACCTGGAGGCGGGGCTGCCATTGACCATGAGCCTTCTGGGCCTCAGGCAGGCCTGGGCCTCCCCCACCTGTCTGAGGGTGGTACCCGGTCAAAGACAGGTTTAACCTGCTTTGCCCCGCCCCTTCCCACCTGCTTGTCCCACTCCAGGTGTTTGCTCTGGCCCCACTCCAAACTCCTGGAGTGTGTGTGTTGAGGGCTTCGGTTATATGTGATTGCCCTCATTTGGCCTGGAGGAGGTGACAGTGGACTGGAACAGGGTTGGGGGGTGAGGGGAAGGGACATAGGGCTAGGCTCAACAGGCGTGGCCTCTTATTCCCAGGCAGGATAGGGCTGAACATCTGGCTGAACCAGCTTTGCAGCCTGCCTCCTTCCTCCTACCCTCACTTCCTGCCTGCCCAGCTGTGAATCTGTGTGTTTCTCTCTCCCCATTCCCTATCCCCAGTTCTCACAGCTGGTGAACGGGGATGTGGCTTTGCTGGGCGGGGGCCCCTACATGCTCTGCACTGATGGGCAGCAGCTATTGCGACAGGTCCTGCACCCCGAGGCCTCCAGGAAGGTATGCTCCTGAAGGAAAACCGGGTGGGGTGGGGTGGTCAGTAAGGTTCCCAGAACCCCTCTTGTCCTGAGGGTGGGCAGGGCGCTCATCCTCAATCCTATGTGCCCCCAGAACCTGGTGCTCCCCGACATGTTCTTCTCCTTCTATGACCTCCGAAGAGAATTCCATATGCAGCATCCAAGCACCTGCCCTGCCAGGGACCTCACTGTGGCCACCATGGCACAGGGTATCTGTGACCCAGCAGGGTTAGGGTGGAGAAGCCACTGTGGGTACATGTGTCTGAGTATGTGCATGCTGTGGGTGGGTAATATGGACACATACAAGACTGCGTTATCTGCTAAGTCCCTGAGTGTACTGTGTCTTCGTGTCTGTGCTAGGATGAGTTTGGAATGTGGGTATGTGTCTGTCTATGTCTGGACTGGGAATCTGTATGTGCACACATGAACTGGGCCAAAACAAATGTGTATGCTGGTCTCCAGCATGTGTCTATGGAGGGGAGTTGGGCCCAGGAGTAAACAGGATTAGTGCTTATGCTAAGATGTCTTCACTGTCACTTCTCTGCCCATAGGTTTAGGACTGGAGACAGATGCCACAGAGGATGACTTTGGGGTCTGGGAAGTCAAGACAATGGTAGCTGTTATCCTCCATCTACTCAAAGAGCCCAGCAGTAAGGTTTCCCTCACTGCCTGTCACCTGTTCTCAGGGATGACAAATGCCTATTGCTCCTCCCCACTGTGACCTTCTCTAAGAGACCACGGGGGAATCCTCTTTGTCATTTCTTTTTTTTTTTTTTTTTTGAGACAGTCTCCCTCTGTAGCCTAGGCTAGAGTGCAGTGGCACAATCTCAGCTCACTGCAACCTCCACTTTCCGGGTTCAAGCGATTCTCCTGTCTAAGCCTCCAGAGTAGCTGGGATTATAGGCGCCTGCCACCATGCCCACCTAATTTTTGTATTTTTAGTAGAGATGGGGTTTCACCATGTTGGCCAGGCTGGTCTGGAACTCCTGACCTCAAATGATCCACCCACCTTGGCCTCCCAAAGTGCTGGGATTATAGGCGTGAGCCACTGTGCTCGGCCTGTCATTTCTTCATCTCTCTCAATTGTCCACTTTTTGCAGAACTTGGTGGGGACACCCCTCTCCACCAGACCCTGCTGACCCCCAGGCCATCTTTTCTCAGGTCAATTGTTTTCGAAGCCCGAGGTGATAAAGCAGAAATACGAGACGGGGCCTTGGTGAGTGTGGGAGCAGGGGCTGGGGGTGACAACAGCTGAATAGCTCTGACAGCACTGTGCCCTGCCCCTACAGCAGCAAGGCTGATGTGGTGGACAGTGAGACTGTGGTACGGGCTCGTGGGTTGCCGTGGCAGTCATCAGACCAGGACGTGGCTCGCTTCTTCAAAGGGCTCAACGTGGCCAGGTGGGTGTGGCAGGGTGGGTGGGCCCAATTGGACAGGCCTACCCAGGAGGCACTAACAGCACTGGCTCCACAGGGGTGGTGTAGCACTCTGCCTCAACGCCCAGGGCCGCAGAAATGGCGAGGCCCTCATCCGCTTTGTGGACAGCGAGCAGCGGGACCTAGCGCTGCAGAGACACAAGCACCACATGGGCGTCCGCTATATTGAGGTGGGGCTTTGGGCTGGGAGCGGAGCAGGGCCAATCTGAGTCAGGCCTGAGACCCATGGGCTGCTGCTCTCTGTACCCACAGGTGTATAAAGCGACAGGGGAGGAGTTTGTAAAGATTGCAGGGGGTGAGTATACTGCAAACAGGGCCTGGCTCCCCTGGTTCTTGATCCATTTCACTTCCCCACCACCCCTTGCCTGCCTGCTCCCCTGCATGGGTGAGTGTCTGGAGGAGCATGAGTGAAGTCAGCAGGCGACTCTCATACACAGGCACATCACTAGAGGTGGCTCGTTTCTTGTCACGGGAAGACCAAGTGATCCTGCGGCTGCGGGGACTGCCCTTCTCGGCTGGGCCAACGGACGTGCTTGGCTTCCTGGGGCCAGAGTGCCCAGTGACTGGGGGTACCGAGGGGCTGCTCTTTGTGCGCCATCCTGATGGCCGGCCGACTGGTGATGCCTTCGCCCTCTTTGCTTGTGAGGAGCTGGCACAGGCTGCACTGCGCAGGCACAAGGGCATGCTGGGTAAGCGATACATTGAACTCTTCCGGAGCACTGCAGCCGAAGTGCAGCAGGTGAGCGCCCAGGGCTCCCCACCCCCAGATGTACTGTTACTCCAGGGCGGCCCTCTGTGTCCCTGCCCTACTTGGCATGACCAGCCTGTTGCTGCCTTCCTTACTAGGTCTTGAACCGCTATGCATCCGGCCCACTCCTTCCTACACTGACTGCCCCACTGCTGCCCATCCCCTTCCCACTGGCACCTGGGACTGGGAGGGACTGTGTACGCCTCCGAGGCCTGCCCTACACGGCCACCATTGAAGACATCCTGAGCTTTCTGGGGGAGGCAGCAGCTGACATTCGGCCCCACGGTGTACACATGGTGCTCAACCAGCAGGTGAAGCCACTGCTTGGTAGGGGGAACACATAAATAGGAAGGGGTGTGTGTTAGGGGTAAGGCACTCTTACACATGACAAACTGCTCACAAGATGGTGTGCACAGGGCCGGCCATCGGGCGATGCCTTCATTCAGATGACATCAGCAGAGCGAGCCCTAGCTGCTGCTCAGCGTTGCCATAAGAAGGTGATGAAGGAGCGCTACGTGGAGGTGGTCCCCTGTTCCACAGAGGAGATGAGCCGAGTGCTGATGGGGGGCACCTTGGGCCGCAGTGGCATGTCCCCTCCACCCTGCAAGCTGCCCTGTGAGTGCCCTAGGGGCTAGGGGAGGAGGAGGCCTGTGGTAGCCAGGCTGTTGTAAGCCCCTACCTTCTATAGCGGGGACTCCTTTCTGGCTACCCCACCCAGGGCAGTGCTGGGCTCCGTGCACATGCACTTTCTACTTCCGTCTCTAGGCCTCTCACCACCTACCTACACCACCTTCCAAGCCACCCCAACGCTCATTCCCACGGAGACGGCAGCTCTATACCCCTCTTCAGCACTGCTCCCAGCTGCCAGGGTGCCTGCTGCCCCCACCCCTGTTGCCTACTATCCAGGGCCAGCCACTCAACTCTACCTGAACTACACAGCCTACTACCCAAGGTACCCTGCAGCTAAGAGAATATCACAGTCCCACTCCCTGTCCCAATCTGGGGAAAGGTCACGATCCCCTTTCTGGACCAGATAACTCCTCCCTTGAGATGACAAGGGAGTAAGGTGGCAGCTGGCTAATGCCATCTACAAAACAGATCGAAAATGACTCTGTAGAGGCTGGGGCTTCAGGGAGGAACTGAATTAAGCACAAGGCAGAAACAAGGGAGGAGGGAAACAGGTCTCGGTCTAGGCCACAGGTGGCATGCATGACTAAACCTTGTCTCTCCCACCCTAGCCCCCCAGTCTCCCCCACCACTGTGGGCTACCTCACTACACCCACTGCTGCCCTGGCCTCTGCTCCCACCTCAGTGTTGTCCCAGTCAGGAGCCTTGGTCCGCATGCAGGGTGTCCCATACACGGCTGGTATGAAGGATCTGCTCAGCGTCTTCCAGGCCTACCAGGTGAGATTGTGTGGCCGGAGGGCCTGGCGGGTCTGGCTGAGCTCTCTGCCCTAAATCTGTGTCCCTTCTGTAGCTACCCGCTGATGACTACACCAGTCTGATGCCTGTTGGTGACCCACCTCGCACTGTGTTACAAGCCCCCAAGGAATGGGTGTGTTTGTAGGAGAGAAAGCCAGGAGGTAAGAGCCAGCTGATATCCTCGGCGAACATGTCTCTCCTGAGTCCAGAAGACCAGCACCCTCAACCTGGTAGCTTCTTTCTGGCTTGTCAAAGCTCTCAGAAGGTACCTAGAGGAGCCCAAGCCCCAGCTCCATCCTCCACTTATTCTGCCTGTTTCCCCCAAAGACAATGGCTGGACCCTGCATGCAGGGCTGGGGGTGGAATGGGGCTAACCAGCTCCTGATGGCCTGAGCCAGGCATCTTGACTGGCACCTGGAGAGCCCTTAAGTCTGTCCTGGCTGTGGCCCATGCCGACAGATATCGTGGGGCTGACAGGTCCACGGCAGGCTTGCTTTCTTTTATAAAATGGAAGCTCTGGTACCTTCAATGTATGACTCCTGGGAGAATCAAGGGTCCATCTGAGCCTCTGAGTAAAGATCCCAATGTTCTACCTCTCCCTGTCCCTCTTGTAGGGGATAGGGAGGCAGAGAGAGCCAGCCCCTACCCTCAGAGTATCTGGACCTCAGAGACCATGTTGTGCCAGGGGTGGTCCCACCTAAAGATGCTAGCCCCTCTCCAGGTGGGCATAAGGAGTAACAGATGGCAAAACCACAAACTATTTTGATGGACTGTGCTGCAGTATCACCAGAAGACATTAGGGGGCAGTAGGCCCCCACACAAAACCTTCAGGCTTGAATTTTAAAGGGGAGGACTTTCTGCCAACTTTTCTTGTATGCCTTGGGAAAGCCAGTTGCCCTGAACCCAGCAGACACCATGGAATGTCCTTTGCACGCATTAAATGGTACAGAACTGAAGCCTCGGAAGCAATTTGGAACTCGATCTTCTCTTCCTTAAATGAAAAGTTATTGACCAAATGGACTTTTTAAAAGACACAGGACCCTTAACTTTGCCCCAAAGTGAGGGGCTCCACACCAACCCCAGGCGGAGGAACACTCAGACAGATTAAGGATACTGTTGACCTGTCACTGTTTATTATTTCAGCACTAAAACTGAGGAGCCTCAACTGCTGGCTCTTCTTCCCTTTGTATTTGTGTAAGGAGCACTGCACTCCCATAAAAGGTTTTAAAATACAAAATGTACAAGAACACACAATTCCAAGTGCTGTAAACATAACTGAGAACCAGTTCCTTTACTAAACATCCATTTTATAAAACACAAGGTTTCAATTTGAGCCCATCTGAGCCTTAAAGATCCATTCTGAATACCAAAAACAGGGCTTCACAGCCAGGCCCAGAAGAGGTCTGGTGATAATGGCTGGCCCTGGGTGGGGATAGTTTACACCCGGGCAGCAGCACCACACATGAACCCAAAGACATGTTCTTTTTAAAGCTGTTTTCAGCCATGTTTCTCTGTGCATCTCCAGTAAGCAGAAGGCTACCCATTCCATTCCTCAACCCAAGAGCTAGCACAGTTAGAGTAGGAGGGGGTGCGTACTAGCACGTGCCCAGTTGCTCAGTGCTGCTAGTAGAAATTGATTTGCATAGTCCAATGGATGTGTGCTTTAACACCACTATGTTGCACAAAAATTTAAGTCTTTATCTACAAAGCCAAAAAATATTGACTCTTAACACCAAAGCTTTTACAAAGCTGATATAAAACTGCTTACATAGTATACAAAGCTCTATTTTAAAATTTAATGTTTATTTTAAATAGGAAAGCATTTCTAGTGCTACAGGCATCAAGGTATTTAGAAGGCATCAAAATTTGGTGCATAGCAACTCTGGATCATAGAGGCTTTTAATTCTTGAGGGCACAAAGGGTATTGCAAGGGGAACTCTTGCAATAACCTCATGTGAGGCAGCTACACCAGGGGCAAAAGGGTAGGGGCAAGTCTGGCCATTTCTCTGGAATGTCAACCGAGAGGCCAACTTCTTGCCCCTCCAAAGGAAGCTGTGGGCGTCCAACCACAGGCCCAGAAGCAAATCTCACTATCCACATTCTGTGACACAACTCACTTTTCAAGAAAATTTGAAAACACCCAGCTCCAAGAGGGGCCACAGTGATCTGCTGAAGAATAGACCTTTTTCTCTAACTAACTTTAGGGGAGAAATCTAAAATATATTTTGTTTTTTTTAAAGACCATACTTCCTCATCCTGAGTCAACAGCTCCTAACCTACTGACAACAGGTGGTGGGCAATAGGCCAGCTCCCTTTCCCAGACCTGAACTGGCCTTAGTAGAGAGAGTCCTGGCATCAAGGGCCTGCAGTCTCCTGGAATAACAGCATCAGGCCTTCAACCAGCACACTGTCTCACATATAGGCACTCAAAAAATCTGCTTCCTGAATCAATGGAAGTATATTATTTCATTTGAAAGCATACTGCAAACTTCAGAGGCTCTGTAATGGGCCCAGGAACAGGTAAAAAAAATCCCATTAGGGAGAGGGGTAAGGGCAGGTTTTTTTTTTTTTTAAAGTACCCAACTCGGGTACCTCCTTTGGTAGACAGCAGGCTGCAGTTTCTGCTGGGCCCTGCCTTGGACACCAGTCTCACCAGCAGCAGCACCAGGGTGTCTTTGGTGTGGAGGGTCAGGTTATCACTTCTGGATGTGCTCAGAGCCTTCTGGGGAAAAGGCTGGTTTTTAGATCATACAGACAGGACAGGGTAGGCCAGAATCATTTCAGGCTATAAATAGAATGGCAGATAAGCCTTCCATGCCAGTGTGACTCTTAAAACCTTCCCATCTGGAGTCCTGTATTTTCTCTGCCCATGCTGATGTACTGCTCATTTGTGCTTTAGCTCTGCACACAGCCTGGCCTCTAGCTAGAGTTAGAACTGCAAAGCTGCCTAAACCACTGAGACTGGCTTCAAAGGTCACAGAACAGCCAAAGGCAGATGCTTCTGTTTGGAAAAGGTTCTACGACCAGATGACACAAACAGGAAGCGCACTCCACAGCCTACTAGTTTTTATGATGGCAAGAAATGAAAGTGACCAAGCTAGAACCCCACCATTCAGAGTCACCTTAAATGTAGCCATCTTACCCAGGGTCCTGAGGGAAAAAGCAATTTCAACATGGAGCCAGTATGGAGAGATTGCAAGATTACCTAGAAAGTTACCAAAAGGCTATGCTCTGGAATGTCTTTTTATATTCCAACACTTCAATGATGGAATGGTCTCTTCTCATTTTATCTAACAACAGTTTAGTTTTATAAAGAGGTATGAGCTACATTTGGCTTTATTTCCTATAAATCTATGAACGTCTTCAGGACACATGCTGACTTTCTGAGGCATAGGTGTGGGCTTGGGATATTTTTTTCTTTTTCTTTTTTTCTTTTCTTTTTTTTTCTTTTTTTTTTTTTTTTTTTTTTTTTTGCTTCTAGAAGGTCTTATCAAAAGTTCCTATTTTAAAAATTATCATAAAAACTAAAGGGCCCTTCAAATGACCATAAAGCAGTACAAATCACCAATCCTAGCTAAGTAACCAGGTCACCTGCAAAAGCAGCACCTCGGAAACAAGAGAGCCTGCTGCATTCACACTCAAAGCACCCATCATATAAAAGTATCCTAGTTAAATATAAAAAGCAAAGTTCATTTCCCCAAAGCTCAAACAGCCTATGCTGCTCCTGTTCTTTTGCCAAATCTACCCAAGGCCTGAGGTGGAGGAATGCTACTTTCCCCACAAATGGTGGGTCCCACTCCTGGCCCCAGACCTGAAGGCTGCAGAGTTGGAAACCCAAGGTCCAAGGAGAGAAACATGCTGAGAAGTTGGTGGTGGACACAAGGCTGCAGTAAGCACTGTTAGAGCCCATCAGATCTTCCTAAATCCAGGGACTCAGGACTCGGGAGGGGAGCCTGCCTGCTCACCCCTGCTCCTTGGGAAACAGAAATCTGGGACATGTCTCTCCCAATTATCTCGTTCACTGAAAAACAAGAAAAGGGAGAGTGATTAGTGACCTCTGAGTGATTAGCCATATGATGCCCAACGCTGAGCTCTACCTCAGACATTTCCCTTCCCATGGCTTTCTGTAAAGATAAAGGCAGTGTCTGAAGCCTGCTCCTGAGCTGAGTGGCATTAGAGATGGAAACATCGCTCCACAAACTACTCTGGACCTCTTTTTCTCTCTCATTCAGTTCATTTTGGGTTGGGAAGGGGGCTTACCCTCACTCTAAAGGTATGTTTAAATAAGTATTCACCTTACTCTAACTTTTCTTTAATTCATATCTCTTTGAGAAAGTTTTTATTTTCTACAATGCCACCTCCTATGTAAATGGAATGAAAATAAATGCTTTGGTCAGAATAAACCACTGTGATGTGGGGGTGATTTTGCTACTGTATCCTAATACAAGCACTCTTTATTATGTGGGGGCATTTCTGTTGTTTGTGATCTTTTCTGATTGGAGGCTCTAGCTTTTCTGTTAATTTCTCTGATGTCCTAAGCATCTCAGGGAGGTACAGTGCTCTGTGAGGTCCAGAGCAAAGAATTTCCATCTTACAGAACTAACATAGAAGGGAACATCCCAAATCCCCCAAATAAGAACCTTTAGTTCTCACATCATTTCATTCCTTGCCTTATCAACTAAAGAGTCTATGCTAATTCCACTCCTAGGCATATTTACAAGAGAAGTGAAAACATATGTCCACATGAAAAACTTTCAAATGTTCACAGCAGCATTATTAATAATAGCCAAAAAGTGGAAACAATCCAAATGTCTACCAAGTGATGAATGGATAAACGTAAGTTGTCTCTATCCATAAAATGGAATATACAGCCTTGAGATGTAATGAAGTTCTGATACATGCTACAACATGGATGAGCCTTGAAAACAGTCTGCTAAGTGAAATAGGCCAGACAATAAAAGGTCATATATGATTCCATTTATATGAAATGTCCAGAACAGGCCAATCCATAGAGACAGAAAATAGATTACAGGTTGTAGAGAGGGAGAAACAGGGAGGAATTACTAATGAGTATGGAGTTTCTTTTCAGAGTAATGGAGTTATAAAATTAGATATTAGTAGCCAGGCGCAGTGGCTCATGCCTGTAATCTCAGCATTTTGGGAGGCTGAGGCAGGCGGATCACCTGAGGTCGGGAGTTTGAGACCAGCCTGACCAATATGGAGAAACACCATCTCTACTAAAAATACAAAATTAGCCAGGCATGGTGGCACATGCCTGTAATCCCAGCTACTCGGGAGGGTGAGGCAGGAGAATCACTTGAACCTGGGAGGCGGAGGTTGCGGTGAGCCGAGATTGCACCATGCACTCCAGCCTGGGAAACAAGAGTGAGACTCTGTCTCAAAAAATCAATCAATCAATCAATCAATATAAAAATAGATACTAGTAATAGTTGCAAAACTCTGACTATACTAAAAACCACTGAGTTGTATACTTTTAAGGATAAATTTTATGGTATGTGAATTATATCTCATTACAGCTGTTATAAACAAAAACAGACCAAAACAAAAAGATTTTAAAAATCTTCCAAGTATTAACATCTAATCTTTTTCTGGTTTACACAGTTCGGAACAAAAATTTCTCAAACTCATATGGCTATAAGGAGAAGGAACTAATATTTACTAATTCAGTTGCTTGAACCTGGAATGTGGAGGTTGCAGTGAGCCGAGATTGTGCCACTGCAGCCCAGCCAGGGAGACAGAGCAAGACTCCATCTCAAAAAAAAAAAAAAAAAAAAAAGCCAGGCGCGGTGGCTCATGCCTATAAACCCAGCACTCTGGGAGGCCAAGGCGGGTGGATCACAAGGTCAGGAGTTCAAGACCAGCCTGGCCAAGATGGTGAAAACCTGTCTCTACTAAAAATACAAAAATTAGCCAGGCACGGTGGCAGGCAACGGTAATCCCAGCTACTCAGGAGGCTGAGGCAGGAGAATTGCTTGAACCCGGCGGGTGGAGGTTGCAGTGAGCCAAGATCGTGCCACTGCACTCCAGCCTGGGCAACAGAGTGAGACTCTGTCTCAAAAAAAAAAAAAAAAAAAAGATTTGGCTTAGCTGTGGTTAGTACTGAACATAGAATAGTAAAGAAGTAGGGACTTGAAGCCAAAGGACTCTGCAAAACAGTGAAGATTAATCAATACTGGTGAGCTAATAACTACTAAGTGATAAGCTTTTTTTTTTTTTTTTTTTTAAACTGGTGCATGCCACCGTGTCCGGCTAATTTTTTGTATTTTTAGTAGAGACGGGGTTTCACCATGTTAGCCAGGACGGTCTCGATCTCCTGTCCTCATGATCCACCCACCTCGGCCTCCTGAAGTGCTGGGATTACAGGCATGAGCCCCCGCGCCTGGCCAGTGATAAGCAATTTTTTAAGGTATAGATTAATAAAGTACTTTGTCAGATTTTTTTTTTTTTTTTTTTTTGAGATGGAGTCTTGCTCTGTCACCGAGGCTAGAGTGCAGCGGCACAATCTTGGCTCACTGCAACCTCCGTCTCCCGGGTTCAAGTGGTTCTCCTGCCTCAGCCTCCCAAGTAGCTAGGATTACAGGTGCCCGCCATCGTGCCCGGCTAATTTTTGTATTTTTAGTAGAGACAGGGTTTCACCATCTTGGCCAGGCTGGTCTTGAACTCCTGACCTCATGATCCACCTGCCTCAGCCTCCCAAAGTGCTGGGATTACAGGTGTGAGCCACCACGCCTGGTGTTTTGTTTTTTAAGAGACAGGGTCTCGCTCTGTTACCCAGACCGGAGTGCAGTGGTGCAATCATGGTTCAAACTTGAACTCCTGGGCTCAAGCCATTCTCCCACCTTAGCCTCCAAAGTATTTGGTTGGTATAAAAGTAATTGTGGTTTTTGGCATTACTTCTAATGGCAAGAACCGTGATTACTTCTGCACCAACCTAATAACTGGGACTATAGGCACACACTACCACACCTGGCTGATTTTAAAATTTTTTTTGTAGAGATAGGGTCTTGCTATGTTGCCAAAGCTGATCTCTAACTCCTGGCCTCAAGCAATCCTCCCACAGTGCTGGGATTACAGGCATGAGCCATTGTGCCTGACCTGTCAGATGATATTTAAGTAAATTTGCCAGGCTAGGATTTATTAACCATTCATAATGGATGCTGCAAAGAATAATGGAATATAAACTAAACTTACTCCTGACTTTCTAAAAATAACTCACTGGAATAGTTTCTTTGTAAATGAAAAGTTGTGAGGATGCTTTGCATAAGAATATATTTTTCTCTTCAGTTTCCCCATCAGTACAATGGAGAAGAGAAATACCTCTTATACAGTACATAGAGAGGGAATATAAAGTGGGCATAAGAACGCAAGGCAGCCCTTGGCACCTGTTATTTCAAGTCACAAAAAATATAAGGAAGAGTGTTTTCTGTGCAGGTTCTGGGGGTTCTACGAGCTAGTCTTGTGCTAAGAGGGAGCACAAGGATGGCCCACAAATCTCTGTGCGTGACTTCTAACATGCCTCCTCTTCATATTAGATTATCATCAGGCATCATCATTATGTCTCCCAAATAGGCTATGAACTCCCAAAAGGCAAGAACCTTGCCACTGAGGAAACACCCATTCCTGATGACTAAATAAATGGACCCTAATTCAATACAATCACTTGGAAGCTATTTAGAACAAGCACAGTGAAAGTTCATTAGGTGGTAGGTAGGAAGGGGACCAGAGTATGTTAAGACTAATGCATGTTATTTGATTTTCACAGTGTGTATTTTAGGCAGGCGTTACAGCAGTGGCAAAAAGCCAAATATATAAGCAAGCACCTGGCTCACAATCAAATCATCTTTTCTTATCATTTATCACTTCCAAAGGCAATAATTTCAAAGATGTTCCAGGCTGCTATGAAAAACACTTTTAACAATTTGTATTTCACTGTTCAAGTTTTAAAACTACAAACGGATTTTAAATGGTGTTTTATCATCAAAAACCACATGACGTGTTTTCTCTCTTTTTTTTCTTTTTTCTATTTTTTTTTTTTTTTTTTTTTTTTTTTTTTTTTTTTTGGCAATGGGGTCTCACTCTGTTGCCCAGGCTGGAATGCAGGTGGCACAATCACGGCTCACTGCAGCCTTGATCTTCCCACCTAAGCCTCCTGAGTAGCTGGGCCTACAGGCATGTGCTACTACGCCTATGCCTTTCTAATTTTTGGATTTTTTTTTTCTTTCTGCAGAGATGAGGTCTCACCATGTTGCCCAAGCTAGTCTCAAACTCCTGGACTCAAGTGATCCTCCTGCCTCAGCCTCCTAAAGTACTAGGATTACAGGCGTGACCCACTGCACCCAGCCGAGGTGTTGTTCTTCTATATCTTATAAGAAGTCAATGCTTCTATTTTCCTGACGATGAGGGTCCATATCTGGCACTGTCCATCCACTTACCAAGTACACTTATATAAGGATGAAACCATCATTTTCTAAAGTAGATATGTGGTATTGATTATAATGGAAGCCTGCTCAATGCTGTGTTATTTCTGCTCCCCCTTGCCAAAGCTCTGCTGTTCCTTTGCCTGGTGTGCCTCACCTTACTTAGCTGAAGGAACCTGGAAAGTTCCTGACAGTTTAGGATTTTAAGACTATGTTAAAGTCAGAAGATTTTCCACAAAGTAGTGCTCAAGCGGACTATACTCAACTATACATTATACTACAGGATTCACTTATTTATGAATTCACCAGCAGTCAGGAGATTTAAGTTCCAACGGGGCAGACTTTCTCTATCTTGTTTTCCCCTGAATCCCTAGTGCTTACATATATTGAGTACTAAATAAAATTACTTGCCAACTGAATCTTTAAAACAATTTGGGGACTTGGAACAATGACAACAAAAATCATGCTCAAGTAATTGCTACAGGTGAGCACTGAATATAAATTTTAGGCTAGGGAGTCAGAACTGCAACAAAGTGCTTTCACAGACCTTTAGCAATAACTTGAGCCGAGTGTTAATCATGCAAGTCCTCTGCTTTCCTTCTCCCTCACTTCTCCCTCGGGCTGGGGGCTCTGGGTTCAGGCTCTCACCTCTAGATTCCTCAGATATCTTCCTGCTGGGACTGGCCAAAACGTAGGTCTCAACTGAAGCAAGTCAAAATTATTACTGGTAAACAAATCTATGATGTAATGTAAATGTAAGTCATTAGCAATCTTGATAAGCACAATTTTTAAGTTGTTAAAAATACTAATGCTTGCAATTTAATTTTTCAAGTCATCTTGAATGGATATATGCATGAATTTGCTAATTTATTTAAACTGTAATCCAGGCCAGGTGCCATGGCTCATGCCTGTTATCCCAACACTAGGGGAAGCCAAGGCAGGAAGATTGTTTGAGGCCAGGAGTTCAAGAAGAGCCTGGCCAACAAACAAAGTGACAATTTTTTTTTTTTTTCTGAGACAGAGTCTCCCTCTGTCTCCCAGGCTGGAGTGCGGTGGCGCAATCTCAGCTCACTGCAAGCTCCGCCTCCCAAGTTCACGCCATTCTCTTGTCTCAGCCTCCCGAGTAGCTGGGACTATAGGCGCCCGCCACAATGCCTGGCTATTTTTTTTTTTTTGTATTTTTTTTTTTAGTAGAGACGGGGTTTCACCGTGTTAGCCAGGATGGTGTCGATCTCCTGACCTCGTGATCCACCTGCCTCGACCTCCCAAAGTGCCGGGATTACAGGCGTGAGCCACCCTGCCCGGCCGGGACAATTTGTCTCTTAAAAAAAAAAAAAAGGAAAAATAAACTCTAGTCCACTAAGTATGTGAGGTGGTTTCCTATTTTTTTCACCAATTTAAGATAAGAGTATAAGGAATTGTTTATGCCCCTAATGTACAATTTTATCATTTTTCTTCCCCCCAATTTTTTTGAGATAGAGTCTTACTCTGTCACCCAGGCTAGAGTGCAGTGGTGTGGTCTTGGCTCACTGCAACTGCTGCCTCCCACCCAGCTAATTTTTGTATTTTTGGTAGAAACGAGGTTTCTGCCATGTTGGCCAGGTTGGTCTCAAACTCCTGACCTCACATGATCTGGCCACCTCGGCCTCTCAAAATGCTGGGATTACAGGCGTGAGTCACCGCACCCAGCCCTCATTTTCCTCCCTTTAAAGAGCAAAGTGAATTAAAAGCCTAGAACAAGAGTGAACAGTCCTCAATAAGGGTGCTAACAGGTTATGTAGGTCACAGGATCTGGCACACTTTTGGCAGCCACCATCTGTGACTTCCACTACCCCAACACCTGAATTTGCCTGTGCCACCACAACAAAAGTAGAGTCACAGCTATCAATAATGTTTGCTGTAAGAGAAAAAGTTCGTATTCAAGAAATGTTCAAATTGGCAGTCCACTGGAATGCTATTTCTACACACAAGAATGAGGTGCTTGAGTACCAATAGGACTCTTATTTAGAGCTATTTCCCATGCTTAAGAATTCAAAGTTAGAACTGACAAGTATATAGTATGGAACCTCACAACCAGGTAGAGAGGGGCAGGGTAACCCAGTGTGCTCCCTCTTTGAAGGGAGTAGATACACACTGCCATATACACAAAATCCCAACGGGCCTTTCTAATTTGCAATTTTGTAAAGGATTTCGGGGTATTTTTAGACTCCATTTATATGTTATTTCCTCTTGAAGCTGCAATGAACATTCACCAAAGTTTGGTCATGTTATTCTTTTCCTGAACCTGAAGATTAAAGGTATTCATCCCCTGGGTAAACAATTTTATGAAGGTGTTATTATTATTATTATTACTATTATTATTTTAGGAGACAGTGTCTTAGTCTGCCACCCAGGCTGGAGTGAAGTGGTGTGATCATAGCTCACTACAGCCGTGAACTCCTAGGCTCAAGCGATCCTCCCGCTTCAGAGCCCTGCCCCAAGTAGCTGGGACTACAGGCATGTGCCACCAAGACCAGCTAATTTATTTTTTTATTTTTATTTATTTTTTTTGAGACAGAGTCTTGCTCTGTCACCTAGGCTGGAGTGCAGTGGCATGATCTCAGCTCACCGCAACCTCCGCCTCCCGGGTTCAAGCAATTCTCCTGCCCCAGCCTCCCAAGTAGCTGGGATTACAGGTACCTGCCACCATGCCCAGCTAATTTTTTTTGTATTTTAGTAGAGGCGGGGTTTCACCATGTTCAGGCTGGTCTCAAACTCCTGACCTTGTGATCTGCCCGCTTCAGCCTCCCAAAGTGCTGGGATTACAGGCGTGAGCCACCGCGCCTGGTCCAGCTGATTTATTTTTGGGGAGGATAGAGACAGGGTCTTATTATGTTGCCCAGGCTGGTCTCGAACTTCTGGCCTCAATTGATCCTTCTACCTCGCCTCGGCCTCCTAAAGCGCTGGCATTACAGGCATGAATCACCGTGCCCAGCCGAGATGTTGTTTTTATAAAATAAAGACTAAATGTATTTTAAAAATGAAGCCTACATGTATGCAATTATTATAAAAGCACCATCTAGGCCGGGCGTGGTGGCTCACGCCTGTAATCTCAGCACTTTGGGAGGCCGAGGCGGGCGGATCATGAGGTCAGGAGATTGGGACCATCCTGGCTAACATGGTGAAACCCCGTCTCTATTAAAAATACAAAAAATTAGCTGGGCGTGGCGGCAGGCACCTGTAGTCCCAGCTACTCAGGAGGCTGAGGCAGGAGAATGGAGTGAACCCATGAGGCAGAGCTTGCAGTGAGCCAAGATCGCACACTGCACTCCAGCCTGGGTGACAGAGTGAGACTCTGTCTCAAAATAAAAAAAAAAAGCACCATCTAAACTAAATACAGGAAAAAATACTGAATTCACCTTTTTTTTTTTTTTTTTTTGAGAGGCTCTCATTCTGTCGCCCAGGCTGGAGTGCAGTGGCACGATCTTGGCTCACTGCAACCTGCACAGCACCAAACCTGGCCAATTTTTTCTTAAATTTTTGGTAGAAACAGGGTTTGCCATGTTGCCCAGGCTGGTCTCAAACTCCTGAACTCAAGTGATCTGTCTGCCTCGGCCTTCCAAAGTGCTGGGATAACAGGCATGAGCCACCATGCCTGGCCTGAATTCACCTATTTATGGCATGAGTTGAGAAATTAATTTGGATTTATCAAAATCTGATTAATTTGGCCAGGTGTGGTGGGTCATGCTTGTAATCCCAGCACTTTGGGAGGTTGAGACAAGAGGATCACTTGAGCCCAGGGAGTTCCAGGATGCAGTAAGCTATGATCGTGCACCACTGCACTCCAGCCTAGGCAACAGTGTGAGACCCTGTCTCCAAATAAAACAAAAAAAAGGGAAAAACCAAAAAATATTCATTTGATTTTTCAAGCTACAGACAGAAATAAGTTCCTGAAAATTTAGAAGGTATCTATGGTAGGCTGCTAATTATCTTAATTCATTCTTCCACAGTAATCGAGGTTTAGTTAGTCACACTGACACCCAGCTACAGAGTATATTTCCTGGCTTCCCCAGTGTAGCTAGGTATGGCCCATGCAATTCGTTTTCTTCAATGAAATGTGAGCAAAAGCGATGTACGTATCTTCCTCATCACTTGCTTGGCCTCCTTCTTCCTCCCTTTTTCCCATCCCTTCCTCGGGCTAAGACTCAGTCATGACTAAGTGGTTTCTCTGCTTTGACAAAACCTAAGGAGAAAGAGGAACAACAAATTGAAAGGAATCTTGATCTCTGAATTATCATGAGGTGTGAGAGAAATTTCCTATGTGGAAATGTCTCTGGGATCTCCATTATACTCACTTAGCTAATACTATTAACAAAAATAAAACTTACCACCATAATTATAACACAGGAAGAATATTTAAGTACTGTAAGCAAGAAAACCAGCTTGAGCTCTTTCATGCCAGATTTTTTTTTTTTTTTTTTTTTTTTTTGAGACAGAGACTAGATCTTGCTCTGTTGCCCAGGCTGGAGTGCAGTGGCATGATCTTGAAAGCTGGAGTGCAGTGGCGTGATCTTGGCTCACTGCAACCTCACCTCCCATGCTCAAGGGAGCCTCCTGCCTCAGCCTCCCGAGTAGCTGGGACTATAGGCATGAGCCACCATGCCCAGCTAATTTTTGTATTTTTTGTAAAGACAAGGTTTCGCCATGTTGCCCAGGCTGGTCTCAAAC
Organism: Homo sapiens; assembly: GCF_000001405.40. Classification (NCBI taxonomy): domain Eukaryota; kingdom Metazoa; phylum Chordata; class Mammalia; order Primates; family Hominidae; genus Homo; species Homo sapiens. The sequence continues at coordinate 68,217,225 of NC_000016.10, read as the reverse complement.
TCCTGGGCTCAAGCAATCTGCCTACCTCGGCCTCCCAAAGTGTTGGGATTACAGGCATGACCTACTGAATCCAAGCCTAATTATTTTTTTTCTTCTTTTTACCTTATACAATGGGGTGGACTGATAGATTTTTAACTAAGTTATCTCAAATTTCACCCTGAATTCCAGACAGCTTCCTACCATTGAACAGATTAAAAATACATGCACGATTTGAAGATATCCTTCACTTTTTTAATATAAAAAAATTTCACCAGCAATAGATCAGAGATTCACTTTTAACATTAGCTCTAATACTAGTAAAGAAAAATTATTATACCTTTTTTCCCCACCCAACGGATTGAGGGGGAAAATCAGTCCTCTTAAGACTCCTTCCTTTTTAAGAAACCTCTTCTTGGCCGGGTGTAGTGGCTCACACCTGTAATCCTAGCACTTTGAGAGGCCAAGGTTGGCGGATCGCTTGAGGTCAGGCGTTCAAAACCAGCCTGGCCAACACGGTGAAATCCCATCTCTACTAAAAATACAAAATATTAGCCAGGTGTGGTGGCAGGTGCCTGTAATTTCAGCTACTTGGGAGGCTGAGGAAGGAGAATTGTTTGAACCTGGGAGGCGGAGGTTGCAGTGAGCCAGTATGATGCCAATGCACTCCAGCCTAGGCAACAGAGCGAGACTGTCTCAAAAAGAAAAAAAAAAAAGAAAACCTCTTCTATGTGTGATGCTATAATCAACGTCATAACAATGTTTCCTCTAGGAAATGTTTTTAACTGAAAACATTCTACAAAGACAAACATTAAATCTCCAGCTGAGTAAACAGTACACAGGTACTTGAAAGTATATTCAAGTATCAGCATGTACTCTTTTCTATCAGCAAAAGCTGAAATGTGAAAAAAATAAACAACTTCTCTCAATTTGGCTTAAGATGTGAGACTCAGAAGCATTTTAAAATTATCAGAAGAATCCTTTATCCCTATTTTGCTCATTTTGTACATTTTCCTCTGAATAATCTTGTCCATTGTTGACTCCCAAATCTATCTCTAAGGGCCAAACCTGAGCTCCAGACCCAAAAATCCACAGGACCCATTCCACTACCTGTGCTCTGGAACCTCTTCAACACCTTGCGGCATCAATTTTCTTCACTTCTTTGTCTCTATCAACTTGTCTCCCCAGATCCTTCTCATCAGCACTTAATATGTGTAAATCTGGGCCAGCGCGGTGGCTCATGCCTGTCATCCCAGCACTTTGGGAGGCCAAGGTGGGCGGATCACGAGGTCAGGACATCGAGACCATCCTGGCTAACACAGTGAAACCCCATCTCTACTAAAAATACAAAAAATTAGCCGGGCGTGGTGGCAGGCGCCTTGTAGTCCCAGCTACTCGGGAGGCTAAGGCAGGAGAATGGCGTCAACCTGGGAGGCGGAGCGTGCAGTGAGCGGAGATCGCACCACTGCACTCCAGCCTGGGTGGCAGAGCAAGACTCCATCTCAAAAAAAAAAAAAAAAAAAAAAAGTGCAAATCTCTCTATCTCAAAGAAGCAAGCAAGCAAATAAAAACACTCAACCCCATGTTCCCCTCTGTATCTAATTCTTTCTTTCATGGCTTAACATCTTAAAGGAGTTGTCTACACTGCTGTTTCTTCTATGTTCTCACCTCTTATTTACTCAGTCATCCATCGATCCCTTCACTCCACATAATACTTCCTTCTTACCAAGATCATTAGTGACCAACTTGTTGCTTCACACATGGGAAGCACACTGGGCTTAACACTGGAAGAAGTAAGCTTTAGCCTTGGTTTGGCTGTGATGTGACTCAGGTGACTTAACTAATCCTTCTGCAACTTATTTTCTCACCCCTAATATGAGGAAATTATTTTAAATCCTCTGGTTATAACTCTCCTGAGAGTTTTATATACATTCAATGCAGGAATTAAGTCACCACTCCTCTCATGGTTGGACAAGAATGATGTGAGACCAGGGTAGGCCCAGTTCTGGGAGAAGTTAGGGTTTTGGTATCTTGTCTGATAGGTCATCAGGAAGCTGCAGAAACCTAAATATAAAGGTTTGGGTAGTGAACATGATTTCCAAGGCCCCTTCCAAATCCAGATTCATTTTAAAATAAAATTCAAATGGCATTTAGGAAGGTATAATCTGTGTATTTATAATTTCTATCATATATTTTCTTAAGTGGCTTTCATAGTATTTGAAGAAAGGAGCCAACATGACAGCAAGGAACAGCTTCGTTCCTCCTTGGCTGCTGAGTCTAGAAGCCTAAGCCTAGACACAGACACTGGCTCTAGTACTACAGCTTTCTTCCAAGTAGAGCCCCAGAGGACTACCGGAAGTGCAAACATGGGCCCACAGGGGAGGCTAGGGATAAATATTCTGGGTTGCCTCTGAAAAACGGACAAAATTTCCTGATTTCATTCACATCAAAAGTTAAGAGTACTTGACCAGGAATGAGTAGGCTTACATACCTGATCAGCAACCAAATTTACTGAGCAACCCAAACCATATAGAATTCATAGATACGAAACCTCTTTCTGCTTTGGTCTAATAAATCTAAGTAAACACTTCCCTTTCATTCAAGAATAAAATCATAAGCACAAGTGTAAGAGCCTGAGTGTGGTTAAGTTTAAAAAGCAGAGTCTTTTAGTCAAAGTGTAGTTCCAAAGATAATGAGTGGGCCTACCAGAAAATGCCCGTGCATACCCCCTCCTCTGTAGCACATGCAAATCCAGCCACTGCATGCAAATACCAGACTTGGGCACAAAAACAATGACACATTTCAATCAACACTCACCCTCTAGATTCTCCAGAAAGGAGCTGGACATGAGAGCACACTGTGGTTAGGCCATTTCTCTGCTGAACCTGATGGCTGGTGTTCCAAGTCAGATATAAATTGGTCTGTGTCAAAGAAGACAACATCACTACTGAATGGAACAAACCAGAGGGTGAACTTAATCTACTACAGTGCCCAGCCTGTTTTTTTTCTATAATCAAAAGGAATTTAACTGTCTTTTACTTGTCAATCACTGCATAAAATGGCTCTCCACATTTTATTAGATAAAATAAATACTGGAGTTCAGATAGCTCAGGTACTAAGATGATTCTTTTAAAAATTTGAAGGGCAATAACTTTAAGAGTTACAATTATGGTTTTCAGTGGTTTTAAGGGATAAATTCAGCTTTAAATAAACTAGTTTTTATTACATTATATCTATTAGTAGTTCCCAAATACTTGGCTAAGGCTACATCAAAATTATCTGGGCAACTGATAAAAATATAAACTCCTGAATGTTTTATAAAAATACAAACTCAAACCACAAAATCAAAATCTTCAAGGGTAGCAGCCCAGAAAACTATATGTACAGCCAAATCTGGGAGTCATGGAAGAGTATTTTTTTTGAGATGGAGTCTCACTCTGTCACCCAGGCTGGAGTGCAGTGGCACAATCTCTGCCCACTGCAACCTCTGCCTCCCAGGTTCAAGTGATTCTCCTGCCTCAGCCTCCCTAGTAGCTGGGACTACAGGCACTCACCACCATGCCTGGCTACTTTTTGTATTTTTAGTAGAGATGGGGTTTCAACCATGTTGGCCAGGTGGGTCTCAAACTCCTGGCCTCAGGTTATCCGCCCGCCTAGGCCTCCCAAAGTGCTAGGATTACAGGCGTAAGCCACCATGCCCGCCTGGAGGAGTATTTTTTAAACTAAAGTTCACATCCATTAGAAATTTATGAAATCAATTCAGCAAGTTGAAACTAGTATTTTTTTTTTAATTTTTATTTTTTTTAATTTTTATTTATTTATTTATTTATTTTTTGAGACAGAGTCTTGCTCTGTCGCCCAGGCTGGAGTGCAGTGGCACCATCTTGGCTCGCTGCAAGCTCCACCTCCTGAGTTCACGCCATTCTCCTGCCTCAGCCTCCTGAGTACCTGGGACCACAGGTGCCCGCCACCACGCCCGGCTAATTTTTTGTATTTTTAGTAGAGACAGGGTTTCACCTTCTTAGCCAGGATGGTCTTGATCTCCTGACCTTGTGATCCACCCACCTCGGCCTCCCAAAGTGCTGGGATTATAGGCGTGAGCCACTGCACCCGGCCCCTGAAACTAGTATTTTAAAGAAGAGAAAGAAACAGGCCGGGCATGGTGGCTCACACCTGTAATCCCAGCACTTTGGGAGGCTGAGGCGGGTGGATCATGAGGTGAGGACACCGAGACCATCCTGGCTAACACGGTGAAACCCTGTCTCTACTAAAAATACAAAAAAAAAAAAAAAATCAGCCAGGCGTGGTGGCGGGCGCCTGTAGTCCCAGCTACTTGGGAGGCTGAGGCAGAAGAATGGCGTGAACCTGGGAGGTAGAGCTTGCAGTGAGCCAAGATCACGCCACTGCACTTCAGCCTGGGCAACAGAGTGAGACTCCATCTCAAAAAAAAAAAAAAAAAAAAAAGAGAAAGAAATAGAACAAAATAGAAGATAGCAGGCTGCATTCCCTCTAATAAAGGTTAAGAATTGGTTTGTGAGACTTTAACATTAGTTGTATATGTATGTATTTTTTGTGTACTGGGTCACAACATAATCCTTGTATTTTATTGTAGGAAGCTGTCAAAAATGTTTGAAAGTCACTGCACAAAAGAAGAGTCACCACTGGTCAGTTTTGCAGTACTGGCTAAAGCATTCAGATGCCCCAAGAGTCAAAAACACAATAACGAAATAGTGAGACTCCGACTCAAACAACAACAACAACAACAACTCTCATCTTTTTGCCTATAAGGAATTATTCTTGGCCTCTGTTGTACAACTTCAAGTAAAAGGACCTAACCTACTTAGAAGGGAAAAATCTGCATGTAGTCTCTATGAACACTAACTAATACCTTCCTTTTAAGCAGATAAAAAAAGAAAAACAAAGGAAGAGTCAATCTGTACAAAATGCACCCTCACTATAGGGGTCAAAACAAAACAAAATCCAGAAATCCTTTGGTTAAGCAAAATTTTTCTGACTTAAGCTTGTTTATTATTTGAGATCACTCACCTAGTTTTCAGAGGTGATTTAAAGATTACAGTGTGTGCAAAGTATTTTAAATACTGAAAATATCAAAATACTCTTTCTGGGGGTTCCCAATCTCCACAACTGAATCCTCCAAAACAGACTTGAAGGTATAGAACATGTGATTACAGGTACAGCAGCATAAAAATCATAAGAAAGCATCCCAGGAACAAAGCAAGAGGCCAACACACACTATGGGAGCTTTTGTGAGTGGATGAATTCAGTGGTACTTTCAGATTGTGCTTTACAGAAACTTGCAGTGCTCCAGAAATCCTTCTAGTTCCTTGAAGCACTTTCGTGAGCTCCAAAATATACCTCATTCATCTCTCCTGATCACAAGAACTTTGACCAAACATTTACAAAAGTGTGCCGGGCACGGTGCCTCATGCCTGTAATCCCAGCACTTTGGGAGGCCAAGGCGGGTAGATCACCTGAGGTCAGGAGTTCGAGACCAGCCTGGCCAGCATGGTGAAACCCCGTCTCTACTAAAAACACAAAAATTAGCTGGGCGTGTGGTAGATGCCTGTAATCCCAGCTACTCAGGAAGCTGAGGCAGGAGAATTGCTTGAACCTGGGAGGCGGAAGTTGCAGTGAGCTGAGATCATGCCATTGCACTCCAGACTGGGCAACAGGGTGAGACTCCGACTCAAACAACAACAACAACAACAACAACAACAAAAAACATTTACAGAAGAAGAGTTTCAGCCGGGCACAGTGGCTCACGCCTGTAATCCCAGCACTTTGGGAGGCCGAGGCGGGAGGATCACAAGGTCAGGAGATAGAAACCATCCTGGCCAACATGGTGAAACCCCGTCTCTACTAAAAATACAAAAATTAGCTGGGCATAGTGGTGAGTGCCTGTAATCCCAGCTACTCGAGAGGCTGAGGCAGGAGAATGGCGTGAACCCGGGAGGTGGAGGTTGCAGTGAGCTGAGATCGCGCCACTGCACTCCAGCCTGGCGACAGAGCGAGACTCCATCTCAAAACAAAACAAAGAAAAAAGAGTTTCGATTCTTTTGAAACTCTTAAAAAGATTAAAGAAAAGGAAACACTTCCTAACTCATTATGAGGCCAGAATTTACTCTGACACAAAGCCAGAAAAAGATACTATAAGAAAAGAAAAGGCTAGGCACAGTGGCTTACACCTGGGAGGCTAAGGTGGGTGGATCACGAGGTCAGGAGTTCGAGACCAGCCTGGCCAATATGGTGAAACCCCATCTCTACTAAAAATACAAAAAAATTAGCCGGGCATGGTGGTGCGCACTTGTAGTCCCAGCTACTCGGGAGGCTGAAGCAGAAGAATCGCTTGAACTGGGGAGGCAGAGGTTGCAGTGAGCCGAGGTCACACCACTGCATTCCTGCCTGAGCGACAGAGCAAGACTCCATCTCAAACAAACAAAAAAACAAAAAAACTACAGAATATTCTTTATGAATATAGATGCAAAAATCAACAAAACACTAACACAATTCAGCAGCATATTAAAAGGATGATACATTAAGACCAAGTGAGTTTTATTCCCAGAATGCAAGGATGATTCAACAAATGAAAATCAATTAAAGTAATATGCCAAATTAGTTGAACAAAAGAAAAAAAAACATACTCCTGACTGGCATGGGCAACATGGCAAGACCCTACCTCTACAAAAATTAATTTAAAAACCACATGATCATCTCGATAGATGCAGAAAAGTGTTTGTAAAAATTCTTTTATTTTTTTTGAGACAAGGTGTCACTCTGTCACCAAGGCTGGTGTGCAGTGGCACAATAATGGCTCACTGCAGCCTCTACCTCCCAGGCTCAAGCAATCCTCCCACTTCAGCTTCCCAAGTATTTGGGACCACAGCACCTGGCTAATTTTTTGTATTCTTTTTTTTTTTCTTTTTTTTTTTTTGAGAAGGAATCTCACTCTGTCGCCCAGGCTGGAGCGCAGTGGCATGATCTTGGCTCACTGCAAGCTCCGCCTTCCGGGTTCACGCCATTCTCCTGCCTCAGCCTCCCGAGTAGCTGGGACTACAGGTGCCCGCCACCATGCCCAGCTAATTTTTTTGTATTTTCAGTAGAGATGGAGTTTCACTGTGTTAGCCAGGATGGTCTCAATGTCCCGACCTCGTGATCCGCCCACCTCGGCCTCCCAAAGTGCTGGGATTACAGGCGCGAGCCACTGCACCTGGCCATTTTTTGTATTTTTAGCAGAGATGGGATTTCATGTTGCCCAGGCTGGTCTTGAACTCTTGGGCTCGAGCAATCTGCCCACCTCGGCCTCCCAAAGTGCTAGGACTACAGGATTGAGCCAACATGCCCAGAGTGAGTGTGACTGTGAGTGTGTGTGTGTGTGTGTCTGTGTGTGTGTTGGGGGGCAGGGGGGTTAGCCAGAGTTTTATTCGTTCATTTCTTGCATTTGAAGTACTTCAACTACTACACAACTGCAACGAACCACTTTACGGGGTTTCCCCTCTCTGTCAATTTTACAGAGACCTAACCATTCCCCCTAGCTTCTTGTCATCAACCTTAAGTAGGTTGATTTGGTGTTCAGCACAAAGAACCTCTATGAACTTGACATAGGCTCATCACAGTTGGATGCAAACACACAAAAGATGGGCCTGACCCTTCAGCAGCTTTGCAAATTCCACGTGCTAGGCCATCATGGGTGAGGACAGTCTTCAACACCTCTTGTAAAGCAGTATTAACAGCCACCACACCTCCAGCAGCAACACCTTCCGTGGCCATGGTGGTGGTCTACGGGTGAAGCTGAATCTTGAATGCACCCAAGCCTCTGCCTCCACTCAACTCAGCAGTGGCAGGGAAAGAACTCTTTTTCTTTGAGACGGTCTCACTCTGTTGCCCAGGCTGGAGTGCAGTAGCATCCCAATCACGGCTCACTGCAGCCTCCACCTCCTGGGTTCTAGCTATCTGCCCGCCTCAGCCTCCCAAAGTGCTGGTATCACAGGCGTGAGCCACCGTGCCCAACTCATTTATCAAAATTCAATGCTCTTTCAAGATGAAAACATTCAATAAACAAAGAATAGAAGGAATTTCCTCAATATGAAAAAGGCCATATATGAAAAACTGTTAGTTCCTATCATTATCAACAAAGAACAAAAGCTTTCCCCCTAAGATCACAAACAAAGCAAAGATGCCCACTCTTTCACCACTTCTACTAGCCTACCACTAGAAGTTCTAGCCAGAGCAATTAGGTTAGAAAAATAAATAAATACATAAAGCCCATCCAAATTAAAAAGGAAGAGAGAAAATTATCTCTATTCACGAATGGCATGATAGTATAAACATAAAACTCTAAAGAATCCACACAGACAAAAAAATGTTAGCACTAACAAATAAAGTCACCAAAGTGGCAGAATATAGAATCAACACACAATATTCAGTTGTACTTCTATATACTTGGAATGAAAGGTCCAAAAAAAATTAAGAAAACAATTCTTGTTTTGGGGTTTTTTTTTTTGGTTTGTTTTTGAGACGGAGTCTCAGGCTGGAGTGCAGTGGCATAATCTTGGTTCACTCCAACTTCTGTCTCCCAGGTTCAAGCGATTCTCCTGCCTCAGTCCCACAAATAGCTGGGATTACAGGCATATGCCACCACACCCAGCTAATTTTTGTATTTTTAGTAGAGACAGAGTTTCCCCATGTTGGCCAGGTGGGCCCACGTTAGCCAGGTTGGTCTTGAACTCCTGAACTCAGGTGATCAGCCTGCCTCAGCCTCCCAAAGTGCTGGGATTACAAGTGTGAGCCGCTGTGCCCAATCTTAAGAAAAACAATTCTATTTACAGTGGCATCAAAAAGAATAAAATACTTAGGAATTAACCAAAGAGGCATAAGATTTCTACATTGAAAACTAGACCGGGCATGGTGGCTCATGCCTATAACCCTGCACTTTGGGAGGCTAAGGCGGGTGGCTCACCTGAGGTCAGGAGTTTGAGACCAGCCTGACTAATATGGAGAAACCCCATCTCTAATAAAAATACAAAAAATTAGCCAGGCGTGGTGGTGTGAGCCTGTAAACCCAGCTACTCAGGAGGCTGAGGCAGGAGAATCGCTTGAACTTGGGAGGTGGAGGCTGCAGTGAGCCAAGGTCATGCCACTACACTCCAGCTTGGGTGACACAGCCAGATTCCGTCTCAAAAATAAATAAATAAATAAAATAAAGGATTTGGATAGACAAGAAAATATACAAATGGACAACAGGCACATGAAAAGATGCTCAACACCATTAGTCAATAGGGAAATGCAAATCAAAATTATAATGAATATAACTTAATACCCAGTAGGATGGCTATTATTTTAAAAATGGAAAATAACATGTGTTGGCAAGGGTATAAAGAAACTGAAAGCCTTATACATTGTAAATGTAAAATGGTGTGGCTGCTGTAGGATTAAAAAAAATAGTGGTTCCTCAAAAAGTTGAACATGGAGGCTGGGCTTGGTGGCTCACGCCTGCAATCCCAGCACTTTGGGAGGCTGAGGAGGGTGGGTGACCTGAGGTCAGAAGACAGATCAGTGTGGCCAACATGGTGAAACCCCGTTTTTACTAAAAATACAAAAATTAGCTGGGCGTGATGGCACATGCCTGTAATCCCAGCTACTCAGGAGGCTGAGGCATGAGAATCGCTTCAACCCAGGAGGCAGAGACTTCAGTGAGCCCAGATCGCACCACTGCACTCCAGCCTGGGTGACAGAGTGGGACTCCATCTCAAAAAGAAAGTTGAACACAGAATTACCATAGGACCCAGCAATTCCACTCTTACGTAAACACACAAAAGTACTGAAAAGAGGGACTCAAACAGTATGTATGCCAGTGTTCACAGCAGCATTATTCCCAACAGCCGAGAGGGAAACAATACAAATTATCTTTTTTTTTTTTTTGAGATGGAGTTTTGCTCTTGTTGCCTAGGCTGGAGTGCAATGGCATGGTCTCGGCTCACTGCAACCTTTGCCTCCCAGGCTCAAGCGATTCTCCTGTCTCAGTCTTCCGAGTAGCTGAGATTACAGGCGCCCACCACCATGCCCAACTAATTTTTGTATTTTTAGTAGAGATGGGGTTTCACCGTGTTGGTCAGGCTGGTCTCGAACTCCTGACCTGAGGTGATCCACCTGCCTCAGCCTCCCAGGTGCTGGGATTACAGGCGTGAGCCACCGAGCCCTGTCCATCTTTTTTTTTTTTTTTTTTTAATATGTATGCGTTCATCAACTTTTTTTGAGACAGGGTCTCTGTTGCCCGGGTTGGAGTGCATGGTGCAATCTCAGCTCACTGCAACCTCCATCTCCTAAGCTCAGGTGATCCTCTCATCTCAGCCTCCTGAGTAGCTAGAACTACAGGCGCACACCACCACGCCCAACTAATTTTTAAATTTTTTATAGACATGGGGTCTCGCCATGTTGCCCAGGCTGGTCCTGATCTTCTGGGCTCAGGCAATCCACCCACCTCAGCTTCCCAATGTGCTGGGATTAGAGACGTGAGCTACTGTGCCTAGGCCCAAATTATTTTTCACCAGATGAATGGATAAACAAGATGTGGTGTACACAAAAAATTGAATATTATTCCTCCATATGGAATATTATATGTAAATAATATGCTATATAAAAATATTCCAATAGATTATTCCTCCGTATGCTTACAATATGGATGAGCCTTGAAAACATTATGCTAAGTGAAATAAGCCAGACAAAAAAGGAAAAACATTGTGTAATCCCACTTATATGAAGTATCTAGAGTAGGGAAATTCATAGAGACAGAAAGCAGAGTACAGGTTACCAGGGGCTGGGAGGACGGGAAGGAAATGAGTAGTTATTACTTTAATAGAGTTGTAGTTTGGGTGATGAAAAACTTCTGGAAATAGAAAGTGGTGGTGGTTATACAATATTGTGAATGTATTTAATGCCACTTAGCTATACACTTAAAATGATTAAAATGGTAAATTTTGAATTTTAAACAAACTTTGGATTTTCTCATGGGAGAACATTGTGTGAAATGACTTAATTAGGTTTTCACAGCTCTAACCATTAACTTAAAGCAAGACTTAGAGGACTTTTGTAAATCCCTCTTTTAAAATTTATAAATCTGGATACATTCAACTCATACCTCAATGAGCTAATGCACCTAACAAAGGGCTTCTATAAATCAGTAAGAGGAAGGATCAACAATCTAATAGAAAAGTAAGCAAATATGAAAGAGATCATAGATTTGGGAGGTGGGGGTTGCAGTGAGCCGAGATGGTGCCACTGTACTCCAGCCTGGGCAGTAGAGCGAGAATCCATCTCAAAAAAAAAAAGAAAAAAAGATAGTGGTGCAAATATTCAAAGCAGTATTTTATAGAATATTTTATGGAATATTCTATTTTAAGAATATCTTTTCAAGGAAGCTCTTTTATGTTACAGTATAGAATAATCTCTCAAGATTCTATATTACATGGGAAATGCAAAGTATAAACTAGTATACATAATATGCTAGTAAAAATAAGGGGAAAAAAATGCAACTGTTTATAAATGCATAGAATGACAGCCAAGAAACTAGTAACTCCAATTCTCCCTACAGAGGACAATGGAGTATCTACTTAGAAGACAGATTTTTTTTAACTATGTATAATGTTGTAACTTTAGCATTTTAAACCACATGAACATATTACTTGTTCAAAAAATGATTATATTAAGAAACACAGGCCAGGCATGGTGGCTCACGCCTGTAATCCTAGCACTTTGGGAGGCCGAGACCAACCTGAGCAACGTAGTAAAAGCCTGCCTCTACAAAAAAATTTAAAAATTAGCCGGATGTGGTGGCAGGCACCTGTAGCCCCAGCTACTCGGGAGGCTGAGGTGGGAGAGAAATGCTGGAGCCTGGGAGGTCGAGGCTGCAGTGAGCCATGATGGTCCCACTGCACTCCAGCCTGATCAACAGAGCAAACTCCTGTCTCCGTTCCCCCACCAAAGAAATAAACACATTTAAAATGTTAAAATTCCCATTCTACATAAAATCATCTATAGATGTTTTTAAATATACAACATGATTATCAAGGACTTAATCTGTACCACACTCTTGTAGATGTAAAGTTAAAATGCTTGTAACCATCACTCTCAACCCTACCCTATCTTCCAGCATAAATGAGACTTTCACATGTTGTCTCTTGCCCAGATGGAGACACTAACTGTAGGCTTTGGAAATGTCTTTAAAAAAAAAAAAAAAAAAGAGCCAGGCATCTTCAAACAGAGAAAAGCTGTTTGAACACATTTATCTAAGTCTATCAAAAGCTATGATTGTTAGCAAGAGGTAACCTTGTAATGCCAAGGCAGAAAACTGCCACCAAACCACAAAAAGCTTGTTCAACTGCTGAACCTAAAATTAAACAATTTATCTCTCATTAAAAAATCTTTTTGTTCCTGTGAATAATCTGTCTTCGAAGGAACTCAAAAAAAGGATATCAATTTTAAAATAGAATACATCTTTAAGACAGGTTTTGCTATCTTACACATGGCAGCACATTAGAAAGTTACAATGCTATTGTCTTTACGAAAGCGAGATTATATAAGTAATCAATTATAGCTATTTTAGAAGCCACTAAAAACACATGTGAGAAAATCTACATTTCAGACAAATCTGGATTCAAATGTCTGCCCCAATTATTTGTGGCCATATAACGCTGGGATGTGCTTAAGGTCTCTGAGCCACATCTATACAAAATTAAGACTAATAATTCACATTTCACACATGATTGCAAAGAATTAATGAGCCACTAGCAAAGTGCCTAGCACAGTGTTCAAAAAAAATATGAGTTTATCAAGAAACAGTAACCATAATTCATTACCATTTTTTGTATTTTTGAGACAGAGTATCACTCTGCTGCCCAGGCTGGAGTGCAGTGGCCTGATCTCAGCTCACTGCAACCTCTGTCTCCCAGGTTCAAGTGATTCTCCTGCCTCAGCCTCATGAGTAGCTGAAATTACAGGCGTTCACCACCATGCGTGGCTAATTTTCACTATTTTCTTTTTTTTTTGGAGATGGAGTCTTGCTCTGTCGCCCAGGCTGGAGTGCAGTGGCACCATCTCAGCTCACTGCAACCTCTGCCTCCCAGGTTCAAACGATTCTCCTGCCTTAGCCTCCCAAGTAGCTGAGATTACAGATGTGTGCCACCACACCCGGCTTATTTTTGTATTTTCAGTAGAGACGGGGTTTCACCATGTTGGCTAGCCTGGTGTCAAACTCCTGGCCTCCAGTGATCCGCCTGCCTCGACCTCCCAAAGTGCTGGGATTGCAATCATGAGCCACTGTGCCTGGCCCAATTTTTACTGTTTTTAGTAGAGACGAAGTTTCACCATGTTGGTTAAGCTGGTCTTGAACTCCTGATGTCAAATGATCCTCCCATCTCGGTCTTTCAAAGTGCTGGGATTACAGGCACGAGCCACCGCGCCCAGCCATTAACTATTTTTAAATACACATTTTGAGGGGAACTTAGTTTGAAGACTTCTGATATGCTGCTTTAGTGGTAGCCTCTCTTGGACTTTTCCTAGCTTATGTATAAATTATATTTTTAATTGCATTTTATTTATTTTGAGACAGGGTCTCACTCTGTCGCCCAAGTTGAAGTGCAGTGGCATGATCTCTGCTAATTTCAACCTCTGCCTTCCAGGCTCCAGCGATCCTCCCACCTCAGCCTCTCGAGTAGCTGGGACTATAGGCACACGCCACCACACCCGGCCTAATTCTGGTATTTTTTATAGAGACAGGGTTTCACCATGTTGCCCAAGCTGGTCTCAAACTCCCGAGCTCAAGCGATCCACCGGCTCTGGCCTCCCAAAGTGCTGGGATTACACACGAGCCACAGCACCTGGTCATGTATAAATCTTAATGTAGGTTGATTAAAATAAATTTTTTGTTCAGAAATAATACATTCATTTAAAAAAAGGTACAACTTATTTATGTCCATGGAAATACACAGACGCATTCGATATAAAAAATAAAAAATCTTCTCAAATGTTTGTTGTTCTTTCTTCATTAGGCCTAAAACTCAATTTTTCTTATTGTATGTCCCAGGGTGGTTGTGTCTAAGGTCTTGAATCCCCATCATGGTCCATCTCGCATAAGCCATGATTTAAAGCCTACATAGGCATTATTTACAAGACCTTTCAGCTTCTGGAATCATTCATCCTAAACACGTTTGAGGCTGTATAGTACATGTATGCTTCCCAAAAGAGGATTCGTGAGTTATCCAGTGTCCAAGTTAAAAGAGAAATTTCAGCATTATCTACCTCCCTCCACTCCAGTGCCCATAGTGATTATACCTCATAGATGACACATTCTCACCACTGGCTGTGTATGGCTTTTATTTAATTTTATTTATTTATTTTTTTTTATTATTTATTTATTTATTTTGAGATGGAGTTTTGCTCCTGTTGCCCAGGCTGGAGTGCAATGGCACGATCTCGGCTCACTGCAACCTCCGCCTCCTAGGTTCAAGCGATTCTCCTGCCTCAGCCTCCCGAGTAGCTGGGATTATAGGTGTCCACCACCACGCCCAGCTAATTTTTGTATTTTTAGTAGAGACGGGGTTTCACTATATTGGCCAGGCTGGTCTCAAACTCTTGACCTCAGGCGATCTACCTGCCTCGGCCTCCCAAAGTGCTGGGATTACAGGCGTCAGCCACCGCGCCTTGCCTTGTTTTATTTTAATAAAATAGACACCAGTGAAACCACTAACCAACAGGTGCAAGAGAACACTGACAATACTAACCTCTCTGTTCCTCCTCCATACCAGTCTCCTGCTTCCCACATCCAAGTAACCACCTGAATGTTGTGTTTATCATTCCCTTGATTTTAAAAAGCACCTGCTTTTTGAAAGCAGGCTCTTCTGCTTGTCTTTTACATACAGAACTGAAGCAGCTGAGGTCATGACTAGAGTCCCTGTTTACTACTGCTGAATTACCAAATGCCCTACATTCAGGATCAGCATGTTACTGCACAGAGCCTGCAAGTGGCAGTGTCAGTTTTCAGCACAGCATCAGGTCAGGCTATATTTAACATGCATCCTCTTCTCTGCTGAAGAGCTGCAGCTGTGGCTCTGTTAGTCTGTGAACAAGGAGGACAAGTGGGAACTGAGGGACTTTAATGGAAAGTTGTAACAGGATTCGGTTAACTCAATCATAAATTAAATGGGCCTGTATTTAAAGGTCTAAGATAGTCTAGTTTCACAATACTATAATCTTTTTTTTTTTTTTTTTTTTTTTTTTTGAGATGGAGTCTCACTCTGTTGCCCAGGCTGGAGTGCAGTGGTGCCATCTCAGCTCACTGCAACCTCCACCTCCCGGATTCAAGTGATTCTCCTATGCCAGCCTCCCAAGTAGCTGGGACTACAGGCATGCACCATCGTGCCCAGCTGATTTTTCTTTTTTTCCTTTTTGGTAGAGATGGGGTTTTGCCATGTTGGCCAGGCTGGACTCGAACTCCTGACCTCAGGTGATCCACCCACCTAAGCCTCCCAAAGTGCTGGGATTACAGGCATGAGCCACTGTGTCTGGCCGCTATAATCTTTCTTTTTTTTAAAAGAAACAAACAAAAAAACAGTATCAATTACCACACTGAATCAAATCTTAATTAAAATGTTTAAAACAGCTTGACAAACGGGCACAGTGGCTCACGCCTGTAATACCAGCACTTTGGGAGGCCAAGGAGGGCAGATCACTTGAGCCCAGGAGTTTGAGACCAGCCTGGGCAACATGGCGAAACTCCATCTCTACCAAAAACAAAAAACAATAAAAAAAACAAAAACAAACAAAAAACCCCCCAAAAATCAGCTAGGCACTGTGGTGTGTGCCTGTAGTCCCTGCTACTTGGGGGGCTAAAGTGGAAGGATCACCTGAGTCCCAGGAGGTCAAGGCTGCAGTAAGCCATGATCACGCCACTGCACTCCAGCCTGTGCAACAGAGTGAGACCCTGTCTCAAAATAAATTTTAAAAAGGCCAAGTGCAGTGGCTCATGCCTGTAATCCCAGCACTTTAGGAGGCTGAGGCAGGCAGATCGCTTGAGGTCAGGAGTTCAATACCAGCCTGGCCAACATGACTAAACCCTGTCTCTACTAAAAATACAAAAATTAGCTGGGCACGGCAGTGGGCACCTGTAATCCCAGCTACTCGGGAGGCTGAGGCATGAGAATCGTTTGAACCCAGTAGGCAGAGGTTGCAATGAGCTGATATTGTGCCACTGCACTCCAGCCTGGGTGACAAGGGAAACTCCATCTCAAAAAATAAACAAATGAAAAACAGCTTGACAGTTTCCATATCTGTTATAAAATCAACTGTTTTAATGTTTACTGTCTGGTCCAAAACCTGCGGCATAAAAACCATAACGAACATAAATGTTTACGGAAAATTACATTTCCAGGCATACGAATTGTAAATATGAGTAAAATTCAGTGATAATTGGACAGCCACAGAACATGCTTTTCAAGGAGGTGCAATGATATATGGAGGTAGTGAAGAAAATATAAAGACAAGAAGCAAAATAGTCATGAACTATGCCTTAATTGTTTGAGTAAGTTTATATTACAGCCTTCCAGGGGGACTACTTGAAAGAGAACTTGGTGAAACGTCAGTACTGTGCTGCTGTTGTAACCCCCAAAGGAATATCTGCCTTGCCCCAGGAAGCCTGAGACTGAGAAATGCTTCTGGGATTCTTCTGAGCTTGGAAAATTGGTATGAGGCACCGAAATCATCTCAATGAAACTGAACAAGGATAATTATAAAGTTTAGTCTTTGGTCCAAAAAAACCCCATATATATATATATATAAACCTATGTAGGGAAAGGACACAACTTTGCATAATTATGACTCACTAAATCAACAGTATATCACAGCTAAGAAAATCCCCTGACCTCAGGCCATACTGATAAAGTCTTTTCAACAGGGAAAGTGACAGTCTTAACCCACAACAAGCTAGCTACAATGTGTTCCCTTCTGGATACTCCACTATGAAAGGGAACTTAAACATCACGGTTCAAGCAGAAGGAAATTTGCATTTTGGTGAGGGAAGGATGAAGTTGCTGGAGAGTTTTTAAGACTGGGAAAGAGATCAAGCTTTCACACATGTGAAGGCTATTATACAAGAAGGATTAAATATGTTCTGAATTAATCTAGAGGTATTAGATAGAGCCCACATAAAACAAGAAGAGTAGTTAGAACTCAAAAGGCCCTGAGATGTTCCAAAGAAGCTAGGGAAGAGACACAGACGAATATAATTATCATTAAGAATACCAAAGTGTGAACTCCAGCGAGAAAGAGAATGGAGAGCCTTTAAAACTTCATCTAGGCCGGGCGCAGTGGCTCACACCTGTAATCCCAGCACTTTGGGAGGCTGAGGCAGGCGGATCACAAGGTCAGGAGATCAAGACCATCCTGGCTAACACGGTGAGACCCTGTCTCTACTAAAAATACAAAAAATTAGCCGGGCATGGTGGCGGGTGCCTGTAGTTCCAGCTACTCAGGAGGCTGAGGCAGGAGAATGGCATGAACCCGGGAGGCAGAGCTTGCAGTGAGCTGAGATCGCCACTGCACTCCAGCCTGGGCGACAGAGTGAGACTCCGTCTCAAAAACAAACAAAACAAACCAAAAAACACTTCATCTAATACTGAGAATAATACTTTTTTTTTTTTTTTTAAACAGGGTCTTGGGGCCGGGCGCGGTGGCTCACGCCTGTAATCCCAGCACTTTGGGAGGCAGAGGTGGGCGGATCATGAGGTCAGGAGATCGAGACCATCCTGGCTAACACAGTGAAACCCCGCCTCTACTAAAAAATACAAAAAATTAGCCGGGCGTGGTGGCGGGCGCCTGTAGTCCCAGCTACTCAGGAGGCTGAGGCAGGAGAATGGCGTGAACCCGGGAGGCGGAGCTTGCAGTGAGCCAAGATCGCGCCACTGCACTCCAGCCTGGGCGACAGAGCGAGACTCTGTCTCAAAAAAAATAAAAAATAAAAAAAAAATAAACAGGGTCTTGGTCTGTTGCCCACGCTGCAGTGCAGTGGCGCAATCTCAGCTCACTGTAACCTCCGCCTCCTGGGTTCAAGCAATCCTCCCACTTCAGCCTCCTGAGTAGTTGGGACTATAGGCACACATCACCATGATCAGCTAATTTTTTTTCTTTTTCTTTTTGAGATGGAGTCTCGCTCTGTTGCCAGGCTGGAGTGCAGCAGCGTGATCTTGGCTCACTGCAATCCCCGCCTCCTGGGTTCAAGCGATTCCCCTGCCTCAGACTCCTGAGTAGCTGGGACTACAGGCACGCACCACCATGTCTGGCTAGTTTTTTTGTATTTTAGTAGAGACGGGGTTTCACCA